>NC_000001.11:61978077-62281107 GCF_000001405.40 Homo sapiens | reverse complement strand
GCTGGATGGCTTAGAATGGCCACACTCACATATCTGGGGTATCAGTAATGACTTGGCCACGTGTCTCTCGTCATCCAGGAGGTTGGCTAGGGCTTGTTCACATGGTGACAGAAGAGTTCAAGCACAACACAAGGACAGACTGACTCCAATGTGCAGATAATGTTCCAGTCTCTGCATATGTCATATTGCTGTTGACCCACTGGCCGACACAAGTCATAAGGCCATCATCCAGTGTCAGCGTGGTAGAGGAGTACCCCAAGGGTCAGATATTATTGTGGCTATCTTTGCAAACAGTTGACAACACCTTTTCTATAAACAGGTATTAATACTATTTCATAGGGTTGGTAAAGAACTAAATTACGTAATGCATGGAAAGTTGTTGAGTAACAACTACCTAGCATAATGAATGTCTGCATGTTCCCCTCTTCCTGTCCCCAGGAAACTTGCAGAAGGCCACAGTCTAGACCCCAATCTCCTGACTTCTAATGAAATGTTTTTTTCTAGATCACCATATATCAGGAAAAAGAGAGCCTCTAATTCCCCTTGAATCACATGGCCCTTCACGGGCACGGGACTTAGGGACCTGACATTAGTTCCCGCCCTGCCTCTTCTTCCAAATGCAGTTCCCATTTATTTCAAGAGTTGCCTTTCTCCCCAGAGAGCTGCCTTTTCAGTGCATCCCTGGCAGTGGTCCCACAGAACACCCACTCATTCCCTCAAAGCTCCGGGGGCCTGTTAGCCCAGCTGCCTCTCAGTCCCTTCTCAGCACACTGGGGAGGTCTGCTGTCCATGTGATTGCCCATATGAGCCCAAGAAAGGCTCCCTCCTTTCAGCCATGGGCCTCCCAGAACAGGGACAAGCCTTCCCAGAGGGGAAGGCTTCCCTCCCTGTCTTGGCCTTTGGAAGAGTTTCATTTTACTCCCCTTCTTTCTGGCTTTATTTTCAGCCACTTTCTCTCTAGTTTCTGTTTTTCCCCATTTACTTCAGAGACTGAATATAGGCTTTTGAATTTCTCTTTCACACTCTAAATGCCTCTGGTTGGTTCGCTCACCTGCTTTACTTCACTTGTCCCTTCAGATAATTACTGTGGTTCTCCCTCCTTACCTTGTCCCCTTGAAGTCCCCTTTTCTCTTGTCTGTGTGTAACTCTGAAGCTGACTGTGTTTGTAGGTCCTATACAAGGATCTAGTGATCTGTTGTTCTCTTAAGCAAGACTCCGTAGGGAATTCCAGGTAGCTCTGAGCCTCCTCTAGCTTTCTTTTTTCTTCTCCCCAGACTCACTTTCCCACTTTCTCCAGAATTATTTTCTTGGACTCTCATTCACTCTTGAGCTGTAGGGAGACAGCACATGCTCAGTGAATCCTCGCCTGCCGCATTCAGAACCAGCCCATCCTTGCTGTTAGGGTCCTTCACTGAGCGCCTACTCTGGGCTGTGTTCTCTAGTGCATTCGTGCTAATAATGACAACAATTCTGTAAGTTAGGCATTATTATCTCCACTTTACAAATGGAGAAATCGAGGCAGAGGGAAATGAAATAATTGCCCCAGAATCACACAAGTGGGAGATGACAGCCATGATTCAAATCCAGCCAGGTTGGCCATGTGTTGGTTTATTTGATCTGAATTTCATTTTGAACAGAGTCAGGTCTTCCTAACTGATTCTCACCCTGGCCCAGTGCCTGGAATTCTGAGCTCCCGCATACCTGTCACCAGGTAGAATGAATAGGAGCAGAGCCGCATGTGAGGGTAGTCTCTCAGCTTATCAGCTCAAACTCCCTCATCAAAGCCCAGCATTCCTCTTGTGCTGGGAGAAAGAGAAGGAATGCAGAATGGCAGGTGGCAGGCAAGGCAGCATGATGGATCACTCTGTGTGTGTGTGTGTGTGTGTGTGTGTGTGTGTGTGTGTGTGTGCGCGCGCTAGCTTAGGAAAGCACCTATTAAACCTGCTATTAAACCTGTCATCCTTGGTAGCTGCTCAGCCTCACTTGCCCTCCTCTCCCTTGTGGAGGATTCTGCCTTTGAATCTGCTGTTTCTTATTTTATGCTATGATTGTATTTGTGCTCTGGACCTGCGCCCAGAGGCCGTTGGGCAAATCGGTGCATTTCTAGTGAATTGAGGCAATAAGCAGATAAATAATGCAGCCTCTCCTTTAGGAGAGCTCTTTGCCTTCTAGGTCATAAATCTGCTCTCTACTTAACTTTAGATAAATATCTCTTCTCTGTTTGGCCTGTCCTTATAATCTGTGGGGCTGTTGAGCAGACCAGTAGGTCTAAGAGTACAGCCAGTGCAACTTGGAAAACTAATGGAGAGAAATACAAGATATTGCTCTCATTTACTAAAATTGCCAGTGTGTTTCTTTGCGAGGGGATGGGAAGGTGGGGGAGCAAGTTGGTTAAAAAAAAATTGTGTGGGTCAGCCGGGCGTGGTGGCTCATGCCTGTAATCCCAGCACTTTGGGAGGCCGAGGCAGGTGGATCACCTGAGGTCAGGAGTTCAAGACCAGCCTGGCCAAAATAGTGAAACCCCCTTTCTACTAAAAATACAAAAAAAATAGCCAGGCATGGTGGCACGCACCTGTAATCCCAGCTACTTAGGAGGCTGAGGCAGGAGAATCACTTGAACCTGGGAGGCGGAGGTTGCAATGAGCCAAGATTGCACCATTGCACTCCAGCCTGGGCAACAAGAACGAAATTCCATCTCAAAAAAAAAAAAGAAAGAAAGAAAGAAAGAAAGGAAGGAAGGAAGGAAGGAAGGAAGGAAGGAAGGAAGGAAGGAAGGAAGGAAGGAAGAAAGAAAATGTGCCCCAGGAAATGCCACCATTTGCAACTTTTTTAAACCCGTCCCTTTCCCTCCATTACCTTGAGCTCCTCTCACCTTAACCATGTCAGCAGCCTCCCAGCTGATCTTGGGGCCTCTGGTTTGCCTTTCTGTTAATCCTTGGCAAGATGCTCTTTTTGAAATCACATTCAACCAAGTCACTCCCTTGTTTAAAACCCTTCAGTGACTCCCATGACCTAGAGCGTAAAGTCAAAGCTTGTTCGCGTGCATACAAGTTGCTCCATGATCTGGCTGTTGCTGTCCTTTCCAATTTTATCTTTCTCTACCATGTTTTAAGTACTGGCCATATCAGCTGCATTTATAGAACTTTGAAATACTGTGTGATTTCACCCTCCATCCCTTTGCACATTCTCTGTGGAGATCTAGATTTTCTGTCTTGGCTATCTATTGCTGCATAACAAGCCATCCCAAAACTTGGTGGCTTAATACAATAATTTATTATTAATACAGGCTCAGTTCAGTGATTCTCACTTGGGGTCCCTCCTGTAGTTAAAGTCAGATGAAGGCTGAAGACTTTTTTACTCATGCATGGCATCTGGGCTAGGGTGACTGGAACTGCTTGGGGCTGACTGGGCATTTCCTTCCCTCCCTCCACTTGACCTTTCTGTGGGGCTGTTTGGGCTTCCTCACAACATGGCAGTCTCAGGAAAGGTGGACTTATTACACGGCAGCTGGCTTCCCAATAAGTGTGCATTGTAAGAGACCCAGGTGGAAGCTATGGGGCTTCTTATGACCTAGCCTTCAAGATCTCTCAGCATCTGCCATATTCTTTTGGTTAAAGCAGTTGCAGGCCAACCCGGATTCAAAGGCCTGGAATTGTAGACTCCACCTTTAACTATAAAATAAGCTTGCTTGTCCAAAGGGGGTAGGAATTGGTGGTGGTCATCTTGAAGATAAATTGCTACAATGTCTTTTACTCTTTTGTTCTCCTGGCAAGTCCCTATTTGTTCATTTATCACCCAGTCTTATGTCACTTTTATGTAAACTCATCCCTCTCCTACCTAGGAAAAATTGTTTTCCAAGTCCAAAAAAAATAATTCTGCAGAAACTAGAAAAATAAGTCAGGGAAGAAGCCTGTACTATAAGCATGCATCTGTTACTCTCCCTATCTCACTGCATTGTATGTGTTTGTGTCTCTCCTGCCTCATCATAAATCCTTTGAAGGCAGAGGCTGAACCTGATTCATCTTGGTGTCCTTAGGGTCTAGCTTAGCACATAGGTGCTCAATAAATGGGTGGTTGAGGTAAGTGAATTGAATCACAGCTATTTTGTAATTTTAACCTAGGGCCTACTACCCTTAAAACCAAGCAATCAACCAGTCACAACATGTTTGTGGAGACCAGCAGTGAGTCATATAAGTCACTTTCCATTATGGGGCTTCCATTGTCTATATTTTGGGATTCCACAAAGATAAACTGAATGTTTATCATGTGTGAGGCATTGTCCAAAATACTTTATTATTAATTAACTAGTCCTCACAATAGTCTTATTTTTGAGATGGAGTTTTGCTATCGTTGCCCAGGCTGGAGTACAATGGTGCAATCTCGGCTCACTGCAACCTTCGCCTCCTGGGTTCAAGCGATTCTCCCGCCTCAGCCTCCTGAGTAGCTGGGATTACAGGTGCCTGCCACCATGCCCGGCTAACTTTTTGTATTTTTAGTAGAGATGGGGTTTCACCGTGTTGGCCAGGCTGGTCTCGAACTCCTGACCTCAAGTGATCCACCTGCCTCGGCCTCCCAAAGAGCTGGGATTACAGGCATGAACCACCGCACCCGACCGTCCTCACAATAATCTTATTTTACCTGTTATTATTCCCACTTTACAGATGATGAGACATAGGAAGGCTAAGTAACTTCCCCAAGGTCACACAGCAGAGATCTAGACCAGGCTCCAGAATCTGTATTCTGAACCTCTGTACTCTCCATTAACGTTCTCTCCTGAGCTCAATATTTTCAGAGCCTGTTTAGCATAATGTCACAGAGGTAATTAGGGGCGTCACATGAGGAATATTGAAGAAACAAAGACTATTTAACCTGAAGAAGAGGTTGCTTGGCAACAGGCCCCTATGGATGCAGATAGTCGAAGGACTGGCTTGTTTCCAGTGTCCTCTGTTGGAGTCAACAGGTGGATGCTGCAAGGAGATCCTGGAACCTTGGTGTAATGGAGAACTTCCTCATCATGATGGCCCCCCAGGGTATGGGTTGCCCTGGAAAGTCAAGTCCCATTCTTCTTGGAGGATGGATACCAATGTCCCTTTTGACATTAATTGGCCCTTTTACCACCTTTTATCTAGTGTGTGAAAAATGCGATTTCTTTCTTTCTCTCTTCCTTCCTTCCCTTCCTTTCCTTTCCCTTCCCTTCCCCTTCCCCTTCCCCTTCCTTCCTTCCTCCCTTCCTTCCTCCCTTCCTTCCTCCCTCCCTCCCTCCCTCTCTCTCTCTTTCTCTCTTTCTTTCTTCATTGAGTTACTGGCCAAAGTAGGTATTTCCTTACTTGGCATGGGTTTATGAAAGTGAATTTCGTGTTTGTTAAGCACTAGGCAGTTTTCACATGCAAAGAGCGTAGGCCATGGATGATTACTTGTTCCAGCTCTCTCTGATCTGTGCATACCTGAGGCGCAGGCATCTGCACAAGCTTAAATAATGTAAACGGCATAACTCATTGATACCTCCGGCTTTAGCAAGATTTACTTCTACCAATTTGAGTCATGCAAGTTAGGGTTGTTTTTGCAGATTTCTTTTTTACTGCTGAGCCACTTGTGTATCTTATCCTTTAAACCCTTCCATATCCGTAATTGCCAATTAGTACCCTGATTTGGCAAATTCCTGGCTACTTCAGTGCAGCAATTATGTGATTCAAACCCAGAAAAGCAGTACAAGACCATTTGGTTTTGCCAGTCTGCAGGCAGATTCCCCAGTAGAAACCCAGATGACATACTGCAAATTGGAAACCATTCCCTCTCCCTGTTTCCTTGCAGACATTGGCTAAGTACACATTGATTTAATAAGATGATTTTCCAATACAGCCAAAAAGACTGAGCATCTCAGCATAATTTCGAGGCTAGAACATTTAGAAGAAGTCTCAAGTGACAGCGTTAAGTTAAAATCAGAGATATTAGGCCTCATCGCCCTGTAATGCTTAATTAAATTTGTGCTTTTTTTTTTTAACTTGTCTTATGTCTCCCAGCCAAAGACCAGTCCTCTCAGGGGGATGAAGAGAAAGACCCTCCGAAGAGCCACCCTTATTCTGTGGAGACCCCATATGGCTTTCATTTAGACCTGGACTTCCTCAAGTATGTGGATGACATCGAGAAGGGAAACACTATCAAAAGAATTCCTATCCACAGAAGGGCCAAGCAGGCCAAATTTAGCACTCTGCCCCGAAACTTCAGCCTTCCTGACAGTGGGGCTCGCCCCCCTGCAGCCCCGCCCCTCCAAAACTGGTCTCCCGTGGTGCCAAGGGAGGCATCACTTGGGACACAGGAGCAAAACCAGTCACCACCGCTTGGTAATGCCCCCCAGGCCTCAACAAGCAGGAGTGAGGTGAGCTACCACAGGAAGGCTCTGTTGGCAGAGGCCACCAGACAGTTGGAAGCTGCTGAGCCAGAGGATGCCGAGCTCACTTTTGGGAGTGGACGGCCCCAGCTCTTGAGAGCATCCAGCATGCCTGCCACGCTGCTGCACAGCAGGGCTTCTGAGGAGCCAGGCCTGAGCCTGGGGCCCCCTGCCCCTCCTGCCCTCCCTCCCCTTCAGGGTGAAGGCAGTGTCTGTGATGGCACCTTTGAACCTGCAGAAGGATTGGCAGGTTTCCACAGCTCCAGCCCACGAGCATCAACTCGGATTCCAGAGCTGGTCCAGGAGGGAGCTGAGCCTCCAGAGGGTGTGGTGAAGGTTCCAAATCACCTCCCTCTCCCAGGCCCTCCTTTCTCATTCCAGAATGTGCTTGTAGTTCTAGAGGACAAGGAAGATGAACACAATGCCAGAGAAGCAGAGGTGTTGTTCACCCCTGGCTCCCCTACGCCAAGCCCGCCACCTCTGCCATCACCCATCCCTGAGAATGAGCTCCTCCTGGAAGAAATCGAGCTCAACATCAGCGAGATTCCACCCCCGCCACCTGTAGAGGTGGACATGAGAAGCATTGGCATCAGGGTAACTGAGGAAAGCCTGGGCCTTGCCAGGGTGGATCCAGGCAGCATCTCCAGCCTGAAACAGCAGGTCTCGGCCCTGGAGGGAGAGTTGTCTGGAAGAACCGAGGAACTGGCACAGGTCAGAACTGCTCTCCAGCAGCAGGAAGAGGAAATCAAAGCTAGGGAGCAAAGAATTCGAGAGCTGGAGTTCACTGTAGCCCAACTGGAAGGACAGTTTCACCAAGAGAACGCCAAAGACACTCAGGGCCAGACGGACGTGATGGTGAACACTGACCCTGTCCATGGACTCTTGACCAGGGAGTCGTGTGATAAGGGCATTGAAGTCAACCTTCTAGGCAGCATGGAGTCTGAAAGCTGGGGGCACCGAGGAGAGGAGAATGGCCTCCTATGGGGGCCAGATGGTCATAAACAAGGGAATCAGAGCCCAGCAGAACGTGTGCTTCTGCCCCAGCTGTCACTGCCACAGGGACCCGAGCAGGTCCTTACCTCCTCTGTACATAGCTTCCTCTCCACTGAACTCAGGATTGAAGAAGCAGGCACTGAACAGGAAGGAGGCCCTCAGGGAGGAACCAGGGGAGCAGGAGGCTTTCTGTGGGGCAGCGACAGAAAGACTCCCCCAGCAGGGAGGGAGGAGACCAGTTCCAATCTCCCAGGGAAGGAGCACCCGGGAAGGCCACCAAGCTCGCCAACGGATGCCACTATTGGGCAGTATGTGAAGAAGATCCAGGAGCTCCTGCAGGAGCAGTGGAACTGCCTGGAGCATGGGTACCCGGAGCTGGCCAGCGCCATCAAGCAGCCAGCCTCCAAGCTCAGCAGCATCCAGAGCCAGCTGCTGAGCTCCCTCAACCTGCTGCTGTCGGCCTACTCGGCCCAGGCTCACCCACCCAAGGAGCCACCGGCCTCCTCCTCCTCCCCGCCAGTGGGTAAATACCATCAATATAGGGGCCTGAGACAGGGAGCCATTTCTCCTTCACATGATAAGGCAGAGGGAACAAGGTTTTCAATTATATTAACATGTTTTTAAAAAGATTTTAGCAGCTGGGAGCAGTGGCTCAGGCCTGTAATCCCAGCACTTTGGGAGGCGGAGGTGGGAAGATCTCCTGAGATCAGGAGTTCAAGACCAGCCTGGTCAACATGGCGAAAACCCATCTCTACTAAAAATACAAAAATTAGCCGGGCATGGTGGCAGGAGCCTGTAATCCCAGCTACTTGGGAGGCTGAGGCAGGAGAATCACTTGAACCCAGGAGGCGGAGGTTGCAGTGAGCCGAGATCATACCACTGCACTCCAGCCTGGGTGACAGAGCAAGACTCCATCTCAAAAAAAAAAAAAAAGAAAAAAAGATTTTAGTACTTCCAGGAACCCAGTGGAATAAAAACTGATGTGTGTGACAGTGGAGGCTCGGGACCTCTACTCTTGCCTTTGCTCTAAGGTTGGGTCTGACTATGGGCCCACTGCCTACAGCTGTATGGATAGCACAGGGCACAAAGATGCCAGCCAGGGAGGGCAAATGAGAGTTGAAAGCCAGCCCACACTCCATTTGCCAAGCCTTGCGCTGCAGCACCACATCCACCCAGAGGGGGCTGTTCTCATTTGCATTGTGCAAAGGCAGTGTCTGGGGCCAAGAATGGCCCTGCTGCGTGGACTCCAGACCTCTTCCTGGGCTTTTGCATTCCTGTGTTCCTCTCTGGTTCTTGCATAGTAGAGGTTTTCTCTGGCCTGGTTTTGGAGGAGCATTATATTGATATCTGGTATAGTTCACTGAATATTTTCTCTGCGTGCATGTGTGTGTGTACGTGCATGTGTGTGTGTACAGGGGCAGGAGATTAAGTGCTGCTCACATATGGAAATGGGCCCTTCGGCTGAGCAGCACTTCCTGTTGTAACAGATCAAACCCTCTTCACTGTCGGGTAAAGTGGAACCACGTTTTGCTTTGCAGGGCAGCATGCGAGTCTGCTTCCTGCCACAAATCACAATTTGACTGCTTTCTCATTGTTTCAGTGCTAGTTCTAGCCTTCCCCGTTGGGAGCCGCCTCCTGTCCTGTTGAGCACATTGCAAGATCTGTGTCCTTGCTCGTGTATCTACTGTGAGCACGGTGTCATCACCACCCCCACAACCCTAGTGTCAGTATGCACTTGTGAGCCAGGAAGGACCACTGAGGTGCCCTTGAGCAGAAGTGGGTGCTAGACCATGAGTCCAGAGGCCTACGTTCTGCTCCTACACTCCCATTCACTGAGCAAGTCTGGGCCTCAGATTTCCCAGCTGTAAGACAGGGACAACAATGGCACCTACGCCACATGGTTCTTCATCCACACTTAGAGGGGCATTGTTAACAGAGACAGTTCTCCCAACATTGAGCAGAAAGCAAGGCTCCTCCAAGAGGTCCCCAAAACATTGATTTACATGATCTGGTTCCCTGTCCCTCCTTACCTCTCCACACACCTGCAACCCTTGTCCCCTCAAAGCAATATCCTGGTTTTGCTACATTCCCATGCATCCCCAAGATCATTCTAACCTGTGATGTTGTGTCTGCCTAGAGATCTCCCCATCGACCAGCCTTAAATCCATAATGAAAAAGAAAGACTATGGCTTCCGTGCAGGAGGTAATGGGACCAAAAAGAACCTTCAGTTTGTTGGGGTTAACGGTGGGTAAGCATCGCTTGTGAAGCTCAGACTGCCTTTCTTGCTACCTCTCCTGCTATTGTCCTTTGCACTCTCTTTTCCTAGGGGGAGGCATCTGGTTTTCATTCCTCTTCAAGGGAATTAATTTCAATGGCCCTTTAAAACTCCATCTCGGGTTTGCATGCGTTTGGCTTCTTGCCAGCTGTGGTGGTCTGTTGGAACCTCTGCTTTTAATATGTCTTGGCTTTGGTCTTCCCCAGGGCCAGGACTCCAGGTGGCTTCTGGGAGTTTTGGGGGTATACGGGCCCTTAGAGGAAGACATTTAACCTGAACCATAAAACTGAAACTAGTACAAATTCTGTTAATTCGTGGAACTTCAAATTTCATCCATTTAATTTTTTTCTTTCTTTAACTTCCTGCAAGCCAAACCCAAGTGTTTGGGGATGAAGAAAAACAACTAGACTATTGGCTTAGAACATGAACAAAACCTCATATATTCTATAGAATTGAATGTTTGATTTAGAATATTTTCTAAATCAGTCATTCAACAAACATTTATTAAATGCCAACAGTGTGCTCGGTCGTGGAGATTAAAAAGTCAAATAAATAAAGGTCTCTGCCTTTAGCTCACAGATAACAGAAATAAAGATGAAATGCTGATGTGCTGAGATAAGTTTTGTTAGGTGAGGAAGCACAGGATGCTGTGGAAGCCCAAACCCTGAAGGCTGCCCAGAGAGCTCAGAATCCCTGCTAATTTGAGTCACACCAGAAGGGAAGACATTAGACGCCAACAAGGGGAAACATCAGAAATGATGAACTGGGGCCAGTCGCTGTGGCTCATGCCTGTAATCCCAGCGCTTTGGGAGGCTCAGGTGGACAGATCACCTGAGGCCAGGATTTCAAGATCAGCCTGGCCAACATGGTGAAACCCCATCTCTACTAAAAATACAAAATTAGTTGGGTGTGGGGACATGCACCTGCAGTCCCAGCTACTCAGGAGGCTGAGGCAGGAGAATCGCTTGAATCCAGGAGGCAGAGGTTGCAGTGAGCCGCCGAGATTGTGCCACTGCATTCCATCCTGGGTGACAGAGCGAGACTCAGTCTTAAAAAAAAAAAAAGCAAAGCAAAGAAAAAAAATGATGAACTGGGTGTCACAGGAGGGTTGCTGTTCCCACTTCCACTAACATCTGACACGGGATCATGTGCTTTCACAGTTCATGTACAGAAAAGGAGAATCAGCCTAATCTCAAAGCCTAGTATAGGTCACGTCTCTCCCCAGCTGAAACGCCCCCAATGGTCCCCACTCTGCATCCAAATGTGGAAGAACCAAATCATGGCTCTGCCCAGCCTTAGCCCCTGCCACTGCCGTTCCTTCCCTCCCTCCAACAGGCTGAGGTCAGGCCCATCTCAGGGCCCTGGCACTTGCTGTTTCCCTGCTAAAGGCCTCCTCTCCTGGACATTCCTCAGCATTTGTTACTCCAGTACAGTGATTCTCAGCCTTGGTTGCACGCTGGAAACACCAGGGGAGCTTTTAAAACATCCCAGTGTCTGAATCCTTTCCCTGAACACTCTGGTTTAATTAGTCTTTGTGCAGTCCACATACTGGGAATTCTAAACACCCTCAAATGATTCTAATGTACCACTAAGGTTAGGAACTTCTGCTCTAATTAAAGTAGCCACTCCTCTTATCCTTCTATCCCATGGCTCTTTTTTTTTAAATTTTATTCATTGTTTTTATCACTACCTAAATATAATATTTGTTTACATGTTCATTTTCTGACTCTACCTTCTAGAATATAAGCTCCACTAGGGCAGGGACTTTGGTATAGGATTTAGAACTGCGCCTGGCATATAGTAGGTGCTCAATAAATTCCTGTTGAATGAATAAGTGAACTTCCAGGCAAAGTTTTTATGGAAGCAGTTCCAAGATGAGCACTGTTTGGTAAATGTAATATGCCCTCCACTCTCTTAATCACAAACATGAAAGGCTGTTCCATACATAATAGAGGAAGAAATGTCTGGGGTTTAAGTGAGACAGAATGCAAGCATAGCAGGGAGCAGACTCAGTTTACAAATCCATTGAGCACAGGGGCTTATGTAGAGGCCACCATTCAGAGAAGGGTCCTTAGGGGGTTCAATGGAGGCCATGGCCACCAGTCTCTGTGGCTGTGTCCAATGGCCCAAGAACCTGAAATCATCTTACCACCAGCATTCTCCATTAGGGATCTCCTGTTGAATATCAGTAGAGGAGTCAATAAATCTTCCAGGACTTTCCTCCATGGCCTCTGGTCTGCCAACTCAACAGAGTCACTTATAATTGAGCATAAGCGTCACTACCAGGAAAGAGGGCCACGAGTCAAGTGGCCTGTGCTCTCCTTTTTGCTGCTCCAAGCAATAGTTCAAACAGGCTGCAGCAAAGACAGGCAGGTGCTGTGCTGGGGTATCCCACAGAGCACTGGATGTAGGTGTGGAGGAGTTCATGCCTTGCCAAGTGCAAGCTGGGCTGGAGCAGTCTGAAGGGAGGTCTCGGTCTCATCCAGAGATGTGAAGATTTGCAGGCAACTTGGTGAATTCAGGGTGGAGGTGGGGATGTTTGGCTAGAGTTGGGCCCCTCTCCGGACCTAACGTTAGGATTGCACAAGCAAATGCTTTCATGAGAACGCTGGATGGCCTGTCTAGATCACCGAACGCATCAGCCAGTGAGGGGACAGGCTGCTCGTGGGTTTGCTGCAATGAGCACAGTTAATTATTTTGACAATAAGCACAGTTAATTGAGTCTCCCCAAATAGCCTCTCTGCACCAGAGCCAGGGCCCTTTACTGCATGTCTTTCTGACACCAAGATTCCTGGGAGCCTGTCACCCTGCCGGCAGGTGTAGAGAGTGGGGGAGGAGATTAGCAAGCTGCGGAGTGTTACCCGAGGCCCACCCAGCTCTCACTGGTGTTGACATGGGCACTGGGCAGGAAAGACAGGACGAGTGACCTTTGTTTTCTACCCCAGGTATGAGACCACCTCAAGTGAGGAGACCAGCGGTGAGGACAGCACCCCAGAGGACTTGTCTGACAGCGAGGCAGAGAAGAAGTGTGACGGCCCAGATCACAAGCATGTCAAAGATGCCCATCTCACCTGCGAGGCTGGGCAGGGCATCCCTGAGGGCACCTGCCATGCTGCCCAGGAAAGTGGGCCTGGGGAAGAAGTCCCCCACTCCAAGGCCGAGAGGTGAGCAAATGGACACAAACGCGGGCACTTGTTCCTCTGAAAAAGGTCAAGGGCATATATCTACCCGTTCATGCGATCATTTGTTCATTCATGTACCCATCCATTTGCCAGTGTTGTTTAAGTCTCTGTTTCATGCCCACACTGTGCACTGGTTGAATAAAGTAGATATATGGCTCCTGCTTTCGTGGAATGTACTGTCACAGCCGATATCTACCTGTAAAGTCAACATTTACCTAGTGCTGAAACTGTGAAGGACTTTACAAGTATTATCCTATATACACAACTTCCAACAGTCCTGCAGGACAGAAGTTATTGTGACCTCCCCACTCTACAGTTGTGGAAACAGAGACTTAGGGAAGTGTGGGGACGCAGCTAGCAGAATAGGGACCCTGGCCCCAGTCCTTCTCATTGTTACCCATAAGCTTTTCTGCCTGTCCTGTTGACCATGCTGGCTTTTAAAGTGATGTGTCTTTTTTTTTTTTTTTGAGACGGAGTCTTGCACTGTCACCCGGGCTGGAGTGAAGTGGCACGATCTCGGCTCACTGCAACCTCTGCCTCTTGGGTTCAAGTGAGTCTCCTGCCTCAGTCTCCTGAGTAGCTGGGACTACAGGTGCTCACCACCATCCTCAGCTATTTTTTTGTATTTTTTAGTAGAGACGAGGTTTCACTATGTTGGCCAGGCTGATCTTGAACACCTGACCTTGTGATCCACCCGCCTCAGCCTCCCAAAGTGCTGGGATTATAGGCATGAGCTACCGTGCCTGGCTGGTGATGTGTCTTTTAAAGTGATGGGAGCAGCCAGGCACCACAGCTTATAGCTGTAATCCCAGCAGTTTGGGAGGCTGAGATGGGAGGATCCCTTGAGGTTAGGAGTTTGAGCCCAGCAGTGCCCTTAAGCCTCACCTGAGGCCTCTTGGTGCTGAGCCTGCCTTCAGATCAACACAGGAAGAGTGCTTGTCACTGTGGACACCCAGCTTCAACGAGTCTCATATTACTGACTCTGTTAGTACTTACGGTGTCCTTCATGGAAGAATAACCTGAAGAAAGTTTCTGGTATGGATTGGATTCTTTGATTTTTTTTTCCAGTCACCCAGGCAGAAAATGTTTGGTTCAAAGTCAGAAAGACAGGCCTCCCCTTCCCAGCATGCCAGGAAATGCAGGTGGGCCTGTCCACCACCCCCTACCACGACCCCCCACCTAAATGCTTTGGTTATTGGCCCCAGCCCCTGACAAAAGCAGGATTAAATGGGCAACACACTCGGCTCATCTTCAGAAGCATTCAGAAGCCAAGTCACATCGGCACACACCATGGTCACTCCAGATTTTTGAAGCTCACCCTCTCCTAGGGCAGTTGCCCAGTTTGGATTTTTGAGCTGCTGAGATGTGAAAGAGGAGGAGAGTGAAAGTCTTGTTTATCAACTTGAAAATGATTATATAAATATGTGTATATATGTTTGTTTTATTTAGATATAAACCCTCAGAAGAATTTCTTAATGCATGCCGGGCACTGAGCCAGCATCTGCCAGAAACTGGGACCACCACAGACCAGCTCTTGGTACTCTAATTTTTCATTGTCATGTAAAGATTTCCCTTCTGTTTAAGACGTTAGCTCTGCCAGGGTGACTTTGGTCCCATTCAGTGGTGTGAGGCAGGCAGTGGTGTGAGTGTGCAGTGGTGTGAGTGTGCAGTTTACAGTGTGAGGCAGTAGTGTGGGTGTGCAGTGATGTGAATGGTGTGAGTGTGCAGTGTGAGGCAGTGGTGTGAGTGTGCAGTGGTGTGAGTGGTGTGTGTGTGAGGCAGTGGTGTGAATGTTCAGTGGTGTGAGCATGCAGTGTGAGGCAGTGGTGTGGGTGTGCATTGGTGTGAGCGTACGGTGCACAGTGTGAGGCAGTGGTGTGAGTGTACAGTGCACAGTGTGAAGCAGTGGTGTGTGTGCAGTGGTGTGAGTGGCGTGAGTGTGCAGTGCACAGTGTGAGGCAGTGGTGTGAGTGTGCAGGCCAGGGCCCATTTCCTCTGGGTGTTCTCTCCTTTACCCAAGCACTGCTGCCTGAAGTGATGGGTCACACTGAGGAAGTGGAGCCCATGGATATGCACAAGAAAGCAGGCCGGGGGCTCAGAGGCGCTTCCCATGTGTCATTAGGCAATGCACCATGAGTGTCTGTCATCAAACTCTGTGGCTTAGGCTCACGATGGCCCTGTGGTTTGAGAGGACTGTGGACAGAGTGTGAAAAGCATGTAGAATGGGAACTGAAGGTTCTATTCCCAGGACCCTCATCTGTGAGATATTAGGCAAGTCAGTTCGATGCTCAGGGCCTCTGTTTCTTCATCAATAAAATGAAGGTGGTGGATGGCATGTTTCCATTCCTCTCAAACCCTGACGTTTAATTCTGTAGTCATTACTGTTTTTCTTGAAGTGTACCTCTGGGTCAAGAGACTGAAAACAAGAAAATACGCATTGGCTCCTTCACACCTTCATGGCTTACAGAGATTTAAACACATAGTGATTCTACTTTTAATCAAGGGATATTGGCACAGACACATTTTCCCAAGTTATGAGAGCAGCTGTAAGACCCATGGTGGAACAACCCGTAAGCATTTTTAAAAGCCATTTTGCTCTCCTTTGCAAAAGAGCCCTAGAAGTAAAAACGATCAATTCATCAGCATTTATTTCTTACCCAACTCATTTTTGTTATTTTATCTTAGCTGATTTGACAAATAGTTGTTCCCTAAAGAACCAATATGTAGGGCCAGGGCCAGTGTCTCACGCCTGTAATCCCAGTACTTTGGGAGGCCAAGACAGGTGGATCACTTGAGCCCAGGAGTTTGAGACCAGCCTGGGCAATATGGCAAAACCCTGTCTCTACAAAAAAATACAAAAAATTAGCCTGGCATGGTGGCACACGCCTGTAGTCCCAGCTACTCAGAGGCTGAGGTGGGAGAATCGCCTGAGCCCCAGAGGTTGAGGCTGCAGTGAGCTGTGATTGCACCACTGCACTCCAGCCTTAGCACTAGAGTGAGATCCTGTCACAAAAACACAGAGAAAAAAAAAAAGAACCAATATGTGATGTGGATGTTGATCAAAACTCCTGTCACTTATTCTTAATTGAATTATCGAACTAAGGTCTTTCTTAGCTCTTCATTCAAAATCCACCACTCGACCGGTCGCAGTGGCTCACGCCTGTAATCCCAGCACTTTGGAAGGCCGAGATGGACGGATCACCTGAGGTCAGGAGTTCAAGACCAGGCTGGCCAACATGGCAAAACCCTGTCTCTACTAAAGTACGAAAATTAGCTGGGTGTGGTGGCCCGCGCCTATAATCCCAGCTACTTGGGAGGCTGAGGCAGGAGAATTGCTTGAACCCAGGAGGTGGAGGTTACAGCAAGCTGAGATCATACAACTGCACTCCAGCCTGGGCCACAGAGCGAGACTCTGTCTCAAAAGAAACCAACCAACCAAACAAACGGACAAAAACAAAAAACAAAATCCACCCCTCTGTTCCTTAATATTAGGATCTTTCTCCAGATTTTCTTGAAGATCCCATGGATAAAGGAGATACTCTGATTTATTAAAGTGTTTCAGCCACAAAAGATTCCACTGATTCTGCTCTAGAAAAGTGATCAGAGGATATGCAAGCCCGGCACCACACCCATGTTAGGATCAAAGCACCGGATACTGTCTCCCTTGCCCCCATCTTAGAGGAAGAAGCAGGTGTGTAAGGACCTCACTCTGTAGAGCCATGGAAGGTAAGGGGCCAGTCCCCTTTTACTCCTATTTTATAACAGGACAAGTAAGGATCAAAAAGGTTGTATGACTTCCAAGGTCCCACAGCTGAGTCAGTGATTTTATTTATTTATTTATTTTTATTTTTTAATTTGAGACGGAGTTTCGCTCTTGTTGCCCAGGCTGGAGTGCAATGGTGCACTCACACACAACCTCCACCTCCCGGGTTCAAGCGATTCTCCTGCCTCAGCCTCCTGAGTAGCTGGGATTACAGGCCTGAGCCACCTTGCCCGGCTAATTTTGTATTTTTAGTAGAGACAGGGTTTCTCCATGTTGGTCAAGCTGGTCTTGAACTCCCAACCTCAGGTGATATACCCGCCTCGGCCTCCCAAAGTGTTGGGATTACAGGCGAGAGCTGCCGCGCCCGGCCGAGCCAGGGATTAAACTGTGTCACATCGATTCAGTGACTCCCAAGTCTAGGACTCTTCCCAGCATGAGTATGCAATCATTTATCATAATCATTTCTCAATAGCTTCTCTTCCCCATTAGGTAAATACCCTTTAAACACTGAGCTCATGTCACACACAAGAGTTGATGTCATTGGCTCTGGAACTCTTCTCGTTCATGGTCCCAGAGGAGCTGAATGCTGCAGATAGCAGGGTCCTGCCGTGGGTTCTTAAACCATTTACTCTCAAGGTCCTTGGAAAGCTTAAAAGCCAAACATGTCAAGCACACCTGTTTGGGTTTTATTTCAAGCATAAATTGGAGATGTTGTTTGCCTTCGCATGCATGTTTCCCATTAGTAAGATGTTGCGATTTTCCAGCTATGCCTATTAAACACACGCAGGTGTCCTGATAGAGTCTGGGGAAAGGTCATTGTGGGCTGGCTGTGTGAGGGGGAAGGAGAGGGCCTTTGTAATTGTGCGCATACCAGGGGTTTGAGCTAAACTTCTTACTGGGGGGTGTGAGCTAAACTTCCCGCAGACTCAAACTTTTTCCAGTTAAGTGCCTTGTTACTGGTTACTAGGCTGTCCTCCCAGTCTTCCTTTCCACTCCCAGAGGGGGCTGATCGCACAAGTACAAAGTATGTTGCTGCATTCCTAACCCCACCAGCTCTGAGCCCTTCAGGAATAAATCACATGGCAAGCTGGAGGGAGCTGCAGGGACAGAGGCCAAAGCTGTCTTTCCTTGTGTAAGGGAGGAACTCTTGCTGGCCGGGGAACCTCTTGGAATTGGTCTTTTTTGGGGTTTCAGAGGCAAAGCTTGAACACCATCAGTCAAGAGTGGTTCCGCGTCTCCAGCCGGAAGTCGTCTAGCCCCGCCGTGGTGGCCTCCTACCTCCACGAGGTCCAGCCTCACTCCCCACACTTCCTGAAACTGCTTGTCAACTTGGCCGATCACAACGGGAACACGGCCCTTCACTACAGCGTGTCCCACTCCAACTTCTCCATCGTGAAGCTGCTGCTGGAGACAGGTCAGAAGTGGTTGCATTCATACAGTCTGGGTCCCTCCTTGAAGAGCAGGGCAATTTTTAAAATTTTTTTCAAAAATTTCAATAGCTTTAAAGGTACAAGTGGTTTTTGGTTACATGGATGAATTGCACAGTGGTGAAGTCTGGTCTTGTAGTATACCCATCACCCAAATAGCATACATGGTACCCAATAGGTAGCTTTTCCTCACTGCCTTCCACCCTCCCCTCTTCTGACTCTCTGGTATAATTGTCCATTATGCCACTCTGTATGTCTTCGTGTACCTGTGGCTTAGCTCCCATTTAAATGAGAACATGCAGTATTTGGTTTTCCGTTCTTGAGTTACTTCACTTAGAATAATGGCCTCCAGTTCCATCCAAGTTGCTGCAAAAGACATTGTTTTGTTCTTTTTTCTGGCTGAGTAGTATTCCGTGGAATGTATGTATGTGTGTCTGTGCATATACGTATATATAACATTTTATTATATGTATATGTGAGTATACGTTATATATTTATTTTTTATATATATAACATTTTCCTTATCCACTCATTGGTTGACAGGCATTTAGGTTGATTCCATGTCTTTGCAATTGTGAATTGTGCTGTGATAGCATATAAATGCAGGTGTCTTTTTGATGGAATGACTTGAAGGGCAATTCTTATACCACATTTCTTTCTGTCAAGGAAATGCTTCACTGTTGAAAGTTCCCTCTGTGTTCCAGGAACTGGACTAGACCACTTTGCCTGTGTTTGCCTCATTTGTTCTTCACAGCATTCCTGTGATGTGGGTATTGTTCTCATGTTGCAGCTAAGGAAACTGAGGCTCAAGAGTTATAAAACTTGCTCAAGTTACAGCGCTGGTCAAGGGTAGAGTCAGGTTTTGTACTCTGTCCACCTCCAGAGCTATATACCGTACTGCCTCTAGGGAAAATGGCATTTTCCCATCTTCAGAAGATACTTTTTAACAAAGGTCATGGCTCCATTTGACCAATTTGACTCAACTTGATTCATTCATCTTTCATTAGATATTTATTGACTACACATGAGGTCCATACTGGCTACTACCAGGGATGCAAAGGTGAGCTAGGTGAGCCCTCTGCTTCTTGGGAGCTCACAGCCTAGCAATTGGGATGGAGCTGGATGGTGGCTCATGAAAGAGAGATAGAGAATGCAATTTAGGAACTGAAATGAGAGCGTGTCTAGTTCAGGGAGCGGCAAAGGTGCACTGGAGCAGGTAGGGCTCCAGCAGGCAGACAGTCTTCCAGGCAGAAGGAACTCCATGGAGGTTAGACAGGGAAAAATGCCTGGAGACTAGAAAGCTTCTAGTTTGGATGGGATGGGAATTAAGGTTGGAAGGGTGAGTTGGAGCCACCACATAGAGAAATGGAAGACCTGGAGTGCCAGGCTGAACCCTGCTTGGAAGGTCCCAGGAAGTCAGTGCAGATTTTTTTGTAGGAAACTCCATAACCAGGGTAATTCTCTAAAAGAGTCATTTGACAGTAGGGGTGGGTTAGTGAAGGGAGCAGGAGAGGAGGTGGCAGGGCAGACAGGAGGCCATTGCAGAGGTCCACAGAGAGGTAGTGAGGGCTTGTAATAGGTGAGGATGGTAGGAACCAAACAGCAAAAAGCCATTGGGAGGTCAGGCATGGTGGCTCACGCCTGTAATCCCAGCACTTTGGGAGGCCGAAGCGGGTGGATCATTTGAGGTCAGAAGTTCAAGACCAGCCTGGCCAACATGGGGAAACCCTCTCTCTATTAAAAATACAAAAATTAGCTGGGTGGTAGTGACGCATGCCTGTAATCCTAGCTACTCAGGAGGCTGAAGCAGGAGAATAACTTGAGCATGGGGTGGGTGGGGGTTTCAGTGAGCTGAGATAGTGCCATTGCACTCCAGCCTGGGCAACAGAGAGAGACCCTGTCTCAAAAAAAAAAAAAAAAAAAAAAGCCATTGGGAGGGTAGTGCCGGACTGGTGAGGTGAGTTGGAGCTCTCTGTCAAGCCTGGATGGTTGAGAAGGCAGTGGGCTGCAAGAGGAGAAGGACCAAATGTGGAGGAAGCAGAAAGGATAATTCAGTTTGGGGCAGATTTTTAGTTTCCAGTGGATCATCTCTGCGGAAATGTGCAAAGGCTATTGAGAATTCCAGATGCAAAATGAAAGGGCAACAGAGCTTTGGGTGGGGCCAGCCAGAGCACATGCAATGAGGCCTTTAGGAGAGGAGTCCTCTTTTGCTCTTGGTTATCCTGTGCAGAGAGAGAGAGAGCACGTCAGTGGAGGAGACCCAGGCAGTCGTGTGATAACTAGAAGAAATAAGAGGATTGTGGCTGATGGGGAAGAACAGCCCATGAAAAACAAAGATTGTCAACTGTGTCAGATTCTGCAGGGTCCCTGAAGGATGATGCCTGGGTTTGGCAGATGGAGGGGACGGAGAGTGCCACTGGTGACTTTGGAGACAGCTGCTTTAGGGGCATGTTGGGAGGAAACCAGCTAGCAGAGTGGAAGGAGCAAAGCGACAGGCTTGGGGAAGGCAGCGATGGGGTGTCTTGGCTGAAGGAGGTGGGAGAGCCTTCGGAGAGTTGGTTTTGTGTGTTTGTTTGGGGAGAGGAGCTCTGAACATATTTTTTGACTGAGAAGAAGAATCCAAGAAAGAAGAGGAACAGATAAGGTGGGGGACAGAGACAGGGAATGAGAGACAGAGAGACAGACAAAGAGAGAGATGGAGAGGGAGAGAATGAGAGACAGACAGGCAGAAAAAGAGAGAGAGGGAGAGAAAAAGGAAGAGATAGAGACTGACAGAGAATCAGAGAGAGAGAAGGAGGAAGGTGAAAGATACAAAAGAGAGAAGCCACTTGGCAAAGCAAGGTCTGGGAGGAGCCGGGAAAGCCTGGACTCCACAGCGGAGGCAGGTGAGGGCAGCCGAAGCAAGACGCTGGGCTATTCATTTCTCTGAGATGGAAGCAAAAAAAGGAGAAAGTGGGTAACAGTGCAGAGAGATGTTGAGGAGAGCAGGGAGGTGGAGGCCACTGGCCTCAGATGGCCTCGATCTCCTCAGGAAAGTGAGAGTAGAATCAGGGTTACAGACTGGAAAGGGGTAGTTAACAGTCAATCAAAGACAGGTGCATGATGAGGCTGAGCGAAAGTGCATGGGCCTCGGTCAAATGTCATCTATGAGTTTAGGAAAGCTGTATGGGGCTGTCTAGCAGGGTACATACAAGAGGTTTAAAACCCCAAATGATCCCCACAGATGTGGCCTTCTGCTAAGTATTTAGCACCTGCTAAATATAATTTAAATTTATGATAAATTATATTTATAAATTATATTAATTATAAATTATATTGTCTTTATAATTATAATTTATATAATAATGAATATAATTATTTCATTTAATAATAAAAATTTATTATTAGAATAGGATGATTATCCCACTTTACAGACCATGAAAGTGACATTCAGAAAAGTCAGCAAACTTGCCCTAGATCACCCAATAACTAAGTGTGCTACCAGGGTTTAAAGTCAATACTGGTCCAGGCGCGGTGGCTCACGCCTATAATCCTGGCACTTTGGGAGGCTGAGGCGGGTGAACCGCTTAGGCTCAGAGGTTCAAGACCAGTCTGAGCAACATGGTGAAACCCCATCTCTACCAAAAATACGAAGATTAGCCAGGCGTGATGGCACACGCCTGTGGTCCCAGCTACTCAGGAGGCTGAGGTGGGAGGATCTCTTGAACCCAGGAAGTTGAGGCTGCAGTGAGCCGTGATCACACCACTGCACTGCAGTGTGAGTGACAGAGCGAGACCTGGACTCAAAAAAAAAAAGAAAGAAAGAAAAGTCGGTCCCATTCCTCTTTTCATTTCTGCCATCTAGGAGGTAGAGCATAACTCTTCTTTTAGGAGGCCTCAGGTGGGAATTTCAATGAACATCAAAAGTCTGAATTTAGGATCCAACGGCTTTCCCTAACTTGGGTCCTGTCTGGCTGAAATCCCTCCTGTGGCCTCCTATTGCTCTTAGCATGAGAGGCGGCTTCTTCAGCCTGGCCTTCAGGACCCCACCTGCCCTGGCTCCCACCTGCCTGGGCCGTCTCTGCTGCCACCACGCTCTCCTCCTTCCCTCCACTCCAGCCACGCTGGCCTCACTCACCAAGGTCATTCCCTCCTGGGATTTTTGTATTTGCCTTCTACCTGGACTCTTCCCCCTGAGGCTCTTCTTGTGACTGGCTCCTTCTCGTCATTCAAGTCACAGCCCCAATGTCACCTCCTCAAAAGTCTTCCTGGTGCCTCTGTCTAAAGTGGCTGCCCCTACCTCTCTCTAGGGGAGAACCCTCTTTCTTTCTTGAGACACTCTTTGCTTTTCATTTCTACCCAACAGAATGTTAATTCACTCAAAAGGGGCTCCTGTCTGTCTTATCTGTTTCCCTAACACCTAGACCAGTTCCTGGTTCCTAGTAGGTGTTGAGTGAAAACGTCTGTTAAATGAATGAGCGATGGATGACTCTCGGGAGCTAGGTTAAATTCCAGTAAACTTCCAAGTCTTCAAAATTCTGCTAAGCAGCTTTGAGTCTCTTCAGCTGAACGGGAAAGGCAACGTACATAATGACAGCCTGAAGTTGTTTCTGATTTTCACATCATCAAAAGAAGATTAAATTATAGCTAACAGTGAGCTGATGTTATTGATTTCAGTTCTTCATGGATGCATGGATACCATCGAAATGGTAGATCAATTGAGAAAGGCACATAATTAAATGGAGCATGGCTCTGTGTTCTGTTACTGTATTCAACGTTAGAAGCCATCAGTGTAGAATGTGAATAAAGCAGCTACTGCTTTTTCAATGTCATCCTCATCCCAGACACTGGGCTTAGTGTGATATACATATACACTGTCATGTACAATCCATGCAGGAATTGTGAAGCAGATCTTAATTGCCTTTTCCAGTGAGGAAACTGAGGCTCAGAGATGTCAGGTAATGCAGTGAAGGTCACAGAGCCTGTAAGAAGCTAATCCAGAATTCAAACCAAGATCGATCAGTCTCTTAATCTGGGCTTTTTCTACTACCCTATCTATGCTTCTGGGACACTGAGACTTTGGGAACATCCATTATGTGCATGAAGAATCCAAAGACTGGTAACATATGGCCCTTGTCTTTAGGTAGCTCACAGTCTTGTAGCCTGTTAGAAGTTTCTGGGTGGGCCAGGCCAGGACAGAGAAGAGACAACTAAAATTTGGGTGGTATAAATATCTGCTGATGCTAAGAATTCACTTAATACTCATCGACTTTAAAGTGGTTTGGGAACTTTTCCCTTTAACATAGTGAAATAGCTAAATAGCATAAAGGTAAAGTAAGAAGGGGGTTGGGGAGAATGGGTTGAGAGAGTCGTTACTTTCTCTCTTCTGTAGAAGGGATATTGAGGATGACAGATCTGTCACACTCTCAAACCTGGGGTGTCCTTAGAAGCAGTTGTTAAGCATCCAGAAAAAAAAATTACAAACTGTAAAGGGGTGTACAGAAGTGACTCATTATTGAGAATAGAGCCAGAGTGCACCTCTGCCGGCTCAACCCCAAGTGATCCGTCCTTTATTTTGCCAAATGCCCTTGCAGGGCTTATTGAGTCAGAGGATGCTCTGTCGAGAGCCTTGCTCCTCTGTCACCTCCAGGGAGAGTTGGCTTTGCTGCCTGATGGCTGCTCTGAAGTATCTTCTATAAAGTCCTGGGTCCTGGCAGGATGCAGTGGCTCACACCTGTAATCCTAGCACTTTGAGAAGCCAAGGCAGGTGGATCACCTGAGGTTAGGAGTTCAAGACCATCCTGGCCAACATGGCGAAACCCCATCTCTACTAAAAATACAAAAATGAGCCGGGCGTGGTGGCGCATGCCTGTAATCCCAGCTACTTGGGAGGCTGAGGCAGGAGAATCGCTTGAACCCAGGAGGCGGAGGTTACAGTGAGCCGAGATCACACCACTGCACTCCAACCTGGGCAATAGAGTGAGACTCCATCTCAAAAATAATAAGTAAATAAATAAAATCCTGGGTCCTTAGCCCCTCCTAGTCCCTTTCCTGAGCCCCTGAGCAGGTGTCAGACCTCATTCTACTGAGCTAAAAATCATGTTTCTAAAGAGATAAAAGAGAACTGATAAGCTGAGGCTCCTTTACACATCTTAAAAGCAAACAGAAAATAATCAAGGTGTAGAAATAAAGTTATTAATAAGGTAGTGCAAACGTTCACTTCCGTATCAGGACAGAGCTATGAGGTGATGTATGGAGTTGTTATTTAGCTTCCATCACCTGCCGGCTCATGGCAGTGGTCCAAGGAGCTTGAGGGAAAACTGCTGATAAATGAGACAGACTGATGCCTCTGTCTCCACTGACGGCCTGGTATTTTCATGGCACACTTCTGAAAAATTGTTTGAAAAATTATGGGGTAGCCAGGCGCGACGGCTCATGCCTGTAATCCCAGCACTTTGGGAGGCCGAGGTGCGCGGATCACCTGAGGTCGGGAGTTCGAGACCAACCTGACCAACATGGAGAAACCCCATCTCTGCTAAAACTACAAAAATTAGTGGGGCGTGATGGCTCATGCCTGTAATCCCAGCTATTCAGGCTGAGGCAGGAAAATTGCTTAAACCTGGGAGGCGGAGATCGCAGTGAGCTGAGATAGCAGCATTGCACTCCAGCCTGGGCAACAAGAGTGAAACTCCATCTAGAAAAAAAAAAAAAGAAAGGAAAATTGTGGGGTGGAGGGAATATCAAACAAATGTTGCTTTTTTCCACTTGCACAGAACTTGCAAATAGCACTAATTGACATTTTTTTCATAAACCATATTTTTACAATGAATACCTAAACCTTATGAGAATATCATTCTGGACAATAATAGTAATAACAGTGAACTCTTACCGAGTGTTTACTGTGTACTAGGCATGATTCTAAGTCAGGGGTATCCAATCTTTGGCTTCCCTGGGCCACATTGGAAGAAGAAGAATTGTCTTGGGCCACACATAAAATACACTAACACTAATGATAGCCGATGAGCTAAAAATAATGCTTTAAGAAACTTTATGAATTTGTGTTGGGCCACATTCAAAGCTGTCCTGGGCCATAAGTGGCCCCATGGCCCATGGGTTGGACAAGCTTGTTCTAAGTGCTTTAAATATATTAGGCTGGGCATAGTGACTCGGGCCTGTAATCTTAGCATTTTGGGAGGCCAAAGTGGATGGATGGCTTGAGCTCAAGAGTTCGAGACCAGTCTGGGCAACATAGTGAAACCCTGTTTCTATAAAAAACACAAAGAATTAGCTGAGCATGGTGACATGCACCTGTAGTCCCAGCTACTCAGGAGGCTGAGGTGGGAGGATCACTTGAGCCCAGGAGGCAGAGCTTATAGTGAGTGCCACTGCACTCACCCTCAGCCTGGGCAACAGAGCCAAACCCTGTCTCAATAAATAAATAAATAAATAAACTCAATAAATTTCACCTATAAGGTAGGTTGTGTTGTTATCCCCATTTTATAGAGAAGGAAATGCTAAGAAAGGCTAAGTGACTTGATTAAGTGTAATTGTTTTTCTGTTGCCCAAAGGAGCTACATAAGGAAGGATTGCTTGAACCCAGGAGGTTTAGGCTGCAGTAAGCCATGATCTCACCACTGCACACCAGCCTGGGCAACAGAGCAAGACCCTATCAAAAAAACAAACAAATAAAAAGAGCAACATAATTTTTTCAGATAAGTAACAGTACAAAGACGTTTGATTTTCCCATCACCCTTGAGAGGTGGGGTCATTTACTTAACAGTTATCGGTCTATGCCTGATGATCCCCTACCTCTCCTTAGGTGGGGAGGAATATGGATACATATCCCCAGGGCTACAAAGCAGAACTTTCTTTAAAGTTCTCATTTACTACTTAGTCTTAAAAATATGTCAGGTTTGGCTAGGCACCGTGGCTCATGCCTGTAATCCCAGCACTTTGGGAGGCTGAGGTGGGTGGATCATGAGGTCAGGAGTTTGAGACCAGCCTGACCAACATGGTGAAACCCGGTCTCTACTAAAAAATACAAAAATTAGCCGGGCATGGTGGCGTGCACCTGTAATCCCAGCTACTCAGGAGGCTGAGGCAGGAGAATCACTTGAACCCAGGAGATGGAGGTTGCAGTGAACCAAGATCGCGCCACTGCACTCCAGCCTGGTGACAGAGCGAGACTCCGTCTCAAAAAAAAAAAAAAAAAAAAAAAATACCAGGTTTAATCAGGCACAGTGGCTCATGCCTGTAATAATCCCAACACTTTGGGAGGCCGAGGTGGGCAGATTGCTTGAGGTCAGGAGTTCGAGACCAGCCTGACCAACATGGTGAAATCCCATCTCTACTAAAAATACATTAAAAAAAAATAAAAAATCAGCTGAGCGTGGTGATGCACGCCTGTAGTCCTAGCTACTCAGGAGGCTGAGGCAGGAGAATCACTTGAACCCAGGAGGCGGAGGTTGCAGTGAGCCGAGATCATGCAACTGTACTCCAGCCTGGGCGACAGAGAGACTGTCTGAAAAAAAAAACAAAAAAAAAAATGCCAGGTTTTTGGCTGGGTACAGTGGCTCACACCTGTAATCCCAGCACTTTCGGAGGCCGAGGCAGGTGGATCATTTGAGATCAGGAGTTCGAGACCAGACTGGCCAATACAGTGAAACTCTGTCTCTACTAAAAATACAAAAATTAGCCAGGCATGGTGGCGGGCACCTACAGGCTACTCGAGAGGCTGAGGCAGGAGGATCACTTGAACCCGGGAGGCAGAAGTTGCAGTGAGCTGAGATTGCACCACTGCACTCCAGCCTGGGTGACAGAGTGAGACCTTGTCTCAAGAAAAATAAACAAATAAACAAATAATGCTAGGTTTCCATTGTATTGTGAAATGTAATTCTTAATTGTTTTAATATAAAAATTGTGGAGTTTTTTTTCCCTCCATTTTTCAAGTGAGATGGTTGTTCTTAGAAGATTTCCCACGTTTATCCCATGGTGTTGTTCACCCTCCTGGTACTTGGCACAGTAGACCCCTAGGCCCTTGGAAAGGACCTACAAACACAGCCATTAGTTTGTTACACACAAACGTGAGCTAGTGAGTGTGAAACCCAAAATGCACAGCCGTGGGTGGCATTCCAGGCATATGGGCAGGTGAGGGATGAGCACCAGAGCCGGACAGACCTGAGTGTTCCTGACCCACTTCACCTTCACATGAGTGGACAATGTAACTTCTCTGGCCCTCAGTGTCCTCATCTGTAAAATGGGAATAACATCTTGTGCTCCAGTTTAGGAGATGAAGTCAAGGCCACTGGCCCTTTGGCCATCTCTGGCTTTGTTGTGGGCCTCCCTTGCTGGGTATCCTCAGAAAACTTGTCAAGAAAAGTAACCAGCTGGCTGGGCGCGGTGGCTCATGCCTGTAATCTCAGCACTTTGCGAAGCCAAGGAGGGTGGATCACGAAGTCAGGAGTTCGGGACCAGCCTGACCAACATGGTGAAACCCCGTCTCTACTAAAAATACAAAAAAAAATTAGCCAGGTGTGGTGGCGCACGCCTGTAATCCTGGCTACTCAGGAGGCTGAGGCAGCAGAATTGCTTGAACCTGGGAGGTGGAGGTTGCAGTGAGACGGGATTGAGTCACTGCACTCCAGCCTGGGTGACAGAGCAAGACTCTGTCTCAAAAAAAAAAAAAAAAAAGAAAGAAAGAAAAAAAAGAAAAGAAAAGAAACCATCTTTAAAGGCTGCTACAAATGTAAACCACTGGCTCCAGCTGTGGAAAGCATTGCTCTAGTCCATGGCTTTCTAACCAGCGAGCAGTGTCCCATTGAAACGGCTAAAGTGGAGTCTGGCTCCTGGCCCCTCAGGAGCCTTTGCAGCACCCATTGCTTCTCTTGCAGGCGTCTGCAATGTGGACCATCAGAACAAAGCTGGCTACACTGCCGTAATGATCACTCCCTTGGCTTCCGCAGAGACCAATGAAGACATGGCTGTTGTCTGGAAGCTCTTAAGAGAAGGAAATGTGAACATTCAAGCTACTCAGGTGGGTGGAATGAACAGGATCTCCTCTTCAGTAAATGCAGGGGCACCTCCCGCTTTATTCTGCTAGTGGGGTGAGAAATTCCATGCAGATCCATGTAGTTTTTAACCCAAGGAGGCTGGGACCTCCAAATGGCATCAGGCAAAGCCTGAATATTCAGTTTTCCTTATAGGCTCCCGAGACCCAGCCAGGAGCTTGCACAGCTTGCACAGAGGTCAGTGAGCTTCTAATATAAGTCCCAGTCTGAAACTGAGCAAATTCCATCTGGATGCAACCTCTAGAACCAACATTCCCAGTTGCCATCTTGAGAAGGCATTTGCTAGTTGGCTGCTCTAAGAAAGCCCTCACAGGTGACCCACCTTGATCTTGGCCCACAGGCACCTAACTAGGCTCTTTGGAGGTCCAGTCCTTTAAAGAAGTTCTCACCTCTGTCACCCCAAAGCCTTTTAACAAGGTCATGAGTCCTCAGACTGAGGGAAAGTGTGGATAGCCAGGGCAGACAGAAGCACTGGCTGATCATTCCTAGGGGTGTGAGGATTCCCACTTTCCAGGCCTCAGCTTAGCTCAGAGGCTTATTATAGAGTTCTGCAGGTCATTATCAATCAACCTGGCATGCTGCCTCAGCCCTTGAAATAACCAGATCCCAAAACACTCCTATCTGCCTTACCTCTGCACCAACAATTGTGAGTGGTATTATTCCAGACACACAAATCATGCCCCAGTCCCCAGGAGCAGTGCTATGGGCCAGGCTGGGAGCAGCAGTTGCTGCGAAGACCCAGTAGGGCCCTACACAAATGTAATAGCCAGAGATTCAGGACACGTGGGCTCCACTAATTCACTGGGTCACTTGTGCCTTAGGTCAGAAGAGCCCTTAAATGTCACCTAGGTCTACCCCTTATTATTTTGCAAAATCCTACCAGGTGGTCTCCTGCTTCTTTGCTTGGTCTCCAGCTCCAGGACCTCCAGTGTCAGGAAACTCATGCACTACCAAAGTAGCCCATTTGTTACTCTAGACACCTCTGATAACTTTTTAAACTGAGCCAAGACTGGGTACTCTGAATCTTTTTTTTTTTTTTTTGAAACGGAGTCTCACTCTGTCACCCAGACTGGAGTGCAATGGCTTGATCTCGGCTCACCGCAACCTCCACCTCCTGGGTTCAAGCGATTCTTCCGCCTCAGCCTCCCAAGTAGCTGGGACTACAGGCACCCGCCATCATGCCCAGCTAATTTTTGTATTTTTTAGAGATGGGGTTTCACTATGTTGGCCAGACTGGTGTTGAACTCCTGACCTCAGGTGATCCACCCGCCTCGGGCTTTCAAAGTGCTGAGATTACAGGCGTGAGCCACCGCGCCCGGCCTCTGAATCTTTCCTGCAGTGATTAAGTACAAGTTGATTGGGGTTCACTCCAAAAAGGATCTTAAGACAGCAAAGGCAGCACAGAGGGTTGGAATGTCTCTATTCATCTTCTGGGGCCCTCTGCTTGAGAACACAGGGTGGGGGTGTGGTCCTTACCCAGAAGGGCTTTGAGTTAGACAAGGCTCCACATGGAACAACGGGGACTCCTCAAAAGGTCATTTGCCCATTTTTTGAACCTACAGGAATGAATGGAGTATGTTTAACTCTCCTTTCCCCTGGAGTGATCATAGATGATAAGGTAACTGTTGAGAACTGTGAAGAGTCTGGGCTTTTACCCCACGTTAAAGCTAACAAGGTAGCCTGCTACAGTTTTGTGGATGCTGGCAGAAGACATGAGACTTCTGTGCCCGAGACAAAGGACTGTGTATTACCCACAGCCGAAGCAGTAGCCACAGTATCAGCATTGCCCAAATCCCAGCTCCCACAGGGCAGTGTGAGGAGGGCCACAAAGCTAAGCATGGAGTGGGCTGCGTTGCAGGACAGGACACCTGAGTGTAGGGAACCTGAAGCTTTGATAAGGGACAGTAAGCCTGCCTGCCCTTTTCTCCAAAGAAGACAATATCTCCAGCTTCCAAGGCTGTTCACTATATAAACAGCCTTAAAAAGATAGTCTAGAGCAAAAGGGCAGATTGTGGTGTGCTTTACTCACAAGATGTGCAAAAAAGCAAGAGACTTATGGAAAATGGACTCCTAACAATATATTAAGCACCACTGTCCTACACTCCCCCAGAGAGATTGCAGATAGTAACCTAACCCGATGGCAAAGTCACCGTTGCATACTTCATCTGATAGCAACCCTAGTGACGGCCAGAAGCCGATGTTTATAGATTACTTTCTGGTTTTCAAGGTATTCTAGTCACCTACAACTCCTGTCCCTTAAGACTCAATACAGCTAATGTTTCATTTTAACTAATGTTTCCCATAAATACGTTAATTATTTTCTAAATTGTCCCTCTTGTAAGAGGGGTTGCTTGCAAGAGGATCAAAATCAACCCCTTCTTTGTACAGAGAAGAAACTGATGCTGTAGGAGGGCAAGGGACTCATTCCGGGTCACCAAAGGAGGGGTGAGAATGCATAGCTGCAGCCATTCCCTTTAGCTCCCCCTGGGCCTTCACATGTGAAGAGAGCAGAGGTACCAGGTTAAATGGGAATACACTGGGAGTGTATTCCTAGGAAAAAGCTGCTTCTCTCTGGATCTCCAGGGCAATGCAGCAGCATATAGTAGCTCTCTATAAATGCTCATTGAATTAAATTATATTGAAAGGGACCGGGAGGACAATGAGGAAGGAAGGGGCCCTGCATCAGGCAGAGGGGCAGATGTGAGGACCATCTGCATATGTCATCTGGCTTTAATAACAGCTGGGGGCTGGGCACGGTGGCTCACGCCTATGATCCCAGCACTTTGGGAGGCCGAGGCGGGCTGATCACTTGAGGTCGGGAGTTTGAGGCCAGCCTGGCCAACATGGTGAAACCCTATCTCTACTAAAAATACAAAAAATAGCCGGGTGTGGTGATGCACGCCTGTATTCCCAGCTACTTGGGAGGCTGAGGGGCAGGAGAATCGCTTGAACCCAGGAGGCGGAGATTGCAGTGAGCCAAGATCACGCCACTGCACTCCAGCCTGGGTGACAGAGCGAGACTCCATCTCAAAAAAAAGAAAAGAAAAGAAATATACACACAGTCAGGCACGGTGGCTCATGCCTGTAATCTCAGCACTTTGAGAGGCCAAGGTGGGTGGACTGCTCAGGATCAGCCTGGGCAACATCGCAAAACCCCATCACTACAAAAAATACAAAAATTGACCAGATGTGCTGGGTGCGGTGGCTCATGCCTGTAATCCCAGCACTTTGGGAGGCCGAGGTAGGCAGATCACCTGAGGTCAGGAGTTCAAGACCAGCCTGACCAACATGGTGAAACCCCGTCTCTACTAAACATACAAAAATTAGCCTGGCGTAATGGTGGGCGCCCGTAATCCCAGCTACTCGGGAGGCTGAGGCAGGAGAATGGCTTGAACCCGTGAGGCAGAGGTTGCAGTGAGCCGAGATTGCACCATTGCACTCCAGCCTGGGCAACAGAGCAAGACTCCATCTCAAAAAAAAAAAAAAATTGGCCAGATGTAGTGGCACATGCCTATGGTCACAGCTACTCAGGAGACTGAGGTAGGAGGATCACTTGAGCCCAGGAGGCAGAGGTTGCAGTGAGTCGCGATCATGCCACTGCACTCCAGCCTGGGTAATAGAGCGAGATTCTGTCTCAAAAAAAAAAAATACATGTATATATATATATACACACACGCACACACACAAACATGCACACATATAGTGTATATAACAAAATTAAGAAAATCTATGGGAAATGATGGTCAATTTGTAATCAGAAAAATTATTACTGTACATCATTATATTTACATACTTTATCTCACTTGATTCCCACAAAAGCCCTGCGAGGTACACAGGACAAATCATTGTTATATTAATTTTTTTTTTTTGAGACAGATTTTGCTCTGTTGACCAGGCTGGAGTGCAGTAGTGCAATCTCAGCTCACTGCAACCTCTGCCTCCCGGGTTCAAGTGATTCTCCTGCCTCAGCCTCCCGAATAGCAGGCGCCCGCCACCATACCTAGCTAATTTTTGTATTTTTTTTTTTTTTTTAGTAGAGACAGAGTTTCACCATGTTGGCCAGGCTGGTCTTGAACTCCTGACCTCAGGTGATCTGCCCGCCTTGGCCTCCCAAAGTGCAGGGATTACAGGCGTGAGCCACTGCACCCGGCCCCAATTGTTACATTAATTTTTAAGAGAAGGAAAACAAGCTGGGCACAGTGGCTCACACCTGTAATCCCAGCACATTGGGAGGCCAAGGCAGGCGGATCACCTGAGGTCAGGAGTTCAAGACCAGCCTGGTCAACATGGGGAAAGCCTGTCTCTAATAAAAACACAAAAATTAGCTGGGCATGGTGGCAGCTGCCTGTAATCCCAGCTACTTGGGCGGCTGAGGCAGGAGAATGACTTGAACCTGGAGGCGGAGGTTGCAGTGAACTGAGATCGTGCCATTGCACTCCAGCCTCGGCGACAAGAGTGAGACTTTGTCTCACAAAAAAAAAAAAACAAAAAAACTAACCAGGTATATTGAGTGGCACGTGCCCATGAGCTCAGCTACTTGGGAGGCTAAGGTGGGAGAATCACTTGATCCCAGAAGACTGATGCTGCAGTGAGCTGTGATTGTGCCACTGCACTCCAGCCTGGGTAACACAGCAAGACCCCATCTTCAAAAAAAAGAAAAGAAAAACCAAGAATCAAGGAAGACAGTGATGTGGCCTGAATCATGCATTAGGAAACAGTAGAACTAGAGCTTGCTTTCTGATTCCGGCTCATTGCTACGTCCACCTATGATTACAGAGATGCCCAAGATTACTGTCAATGTCTATAGATTAGAAATGACCACAGGACATGCAACCAGAGATCGTGTTGAGAGAAGAGGGTTCTGGGTATCCTTAAACTGAAAATTTCAGAGGCATTGAGCAGAGAAGGCTTCCTGGGGAAAGTCAGGCTGGGGCAGGCAGTAAGAAGCCATGATGCTCAAGCATTCAACCTTCATCTGTTCCGTCATTCGACATTTATCAGCACGTTCTTGGTGCTAGACACTGGGGAGACAGGGACAAAAACACTTAGTCCCTGCCGTCAACAATGTCACAATCCGTGAGAAAGAGAAGTTGACAAGTTGCAATACTAAGTGGTGAGTGCTGTGTTAGGATTCCCGTGCCTGGGGAGTGAGAGAAGGCTTTAGAGAGGATGTAGCATTTGACTAGTCTTAAAAGAGTAGAATTTTGCCAAGCAGAGAAGGTTATGTCCCATATCAAGGGCAGGAGATTCAAATCAGTGGTTGTGGTATTGAGAAGTCTCTGATGAGCACACCCAGGCTGGAGAGGGGGTCCTTCCCCACTGGCAGCAACCTCACCACATCCCTGTGGCTCTGCATGCAGGGAGGCCAGACTGCGCTGATGCTGGGAGTCAGCCACGACAGGGAGGACATGGTTCAAGCGCTGCTTAGCTGCCAGGCAGATGTCAATCTGCAGGACCACGATGGATCCTCGGCCCTCATGGTGGCCTGTCACCATGGCAACGTGGACCTGGTGCGGCTGCTCCTGGCACACCCAGCCTGCGACAGCAGCCTGACTGACAAGGTGAGACTTACAGGCAATTAACAAGTAGCTGTTGCTGGGCAGGGTGGCTCATACCTGTAACCCCAGCACTTTGGGAGGCTGAGGCGGGAGGATCACTTGAGCCCAGGAGTTCGAGACCAGCCTAGGCAACATAGGGAGACCCCCATCTCTTAAAAAAAAAAAAAAAAGTAGCTGTTTAACTTCCCCTCCTCAGAGTGCCTTGCCGGCCAGCAGAATTCAAGGAATCCTATGGCAATGCAACAAAATCAGCTTCCTAAGGCTGTTGTGGGATTTAAATAAGAGGCTCAGCACAGTGGCTCACGTCTGTAATCCCAACACTTTCAGAGGCCAAGGCAGGAGGATTGCTTGAGGCCAAGAGTTCAAGACCAGCCTGGGCAACACAGTGAGACCCTGTCTCTTAAAAAAAAAAATAGCCTGGTGCAATGGCTCACACCTGTAATCCCAGCACTTTGGGAGGCTGAGGCAGGTCGATCACCTGAGGTCAGGAGTTTGAGACCGGCCTGGCCAACATGATGAAACCCCATCTCTACTAAAAATACAAAAATTAGCTGGACCTGGTGGTGGGAGCCTGTAATTCCAGCTACTCAGGAGGCTGAGGCAGGAGAACCGCTTGAACGTGGGAGGCAGAGGTTGCAGTGAGCTGAGATCGCACTATTGCACTCCAGCCTAGGCAACAACATGAAACTCTGTCTCAAAAAAAAAAAAAATTAACCAGGTATGGTGGTGCACGCCTGTAATCCCAGCTACTCAGCAGGCTGAGGCAGGAGGATTGCTTGAGCCCAGAAGGTTGAGGTTGCAGTGAGCCATGGTCAGGCCACTGCACTCCAGCCTGGGTGACAGAGTGAGACCCTGTCTCTAACAAATTTGAATAAATAAATAAATGAGATGATTCATGGTAAATGTTTGGAGTCTTAGAGCCGTGAAACCCACAACCCTGACCTTTCACAACACCATCCTGGGTGAATATTCCCAGGCCTGGCTTGGCCCTGAGTCTCATCTGGTCATGGCAATAACAGCATGTGGGCTTTGAGGCAGTAGCTTAGATGGGGAAGCTCTGCTGTCCAGCAGGGACTCAAAAGCCTTCAGAAGGAATCAACCTTACAGAGTCATCTCTGTAGTCACTTAACTGAAAGTGCCTCTCGGACACTGACCCACTTTCTGAAGCAGCCCATTCCATCGAGCCAGCCTACTTGAAGTTGCACTGTCAGTCACAGGCTTCTTAAATAAACTTCCTCGTAAGGTGACGGCAATGATGATGATGACAATAGTAACTAATCAGTAACAATAGTAACCAACACACATGGAGGGCTTACTCTGTGTCAGGTACTGTACTAAGCATTTGCCATGGACCATCTCATTTAAACCCCACAACAATCTTGTGAGATTGACCGTCTTCCTGCTGCCCCACTTTGCTCAAGGAGACGGAGGCATCAAATGGTTAGGTTACATACCCAAGATTACTCAGCTAGTGGAACCCGGCTCCATTAAACTCCTGGGCCCATACCCTTAACGTTCCATCATCATCACTGTTGTCACATTGAAGCATCCATGTCTCTGGCTCCCACACCTAGTAGAGTGCCCGCCACATATCATTGAAACAATCAACAAATGAATGAGTGAACCCCTAAACTTTGGAGGTAAGTCAACAGTAAGTGACCTTGTTCCTGATAATTACAGTAGATATAATAATATTTCTAGAGTGCTCCTGGGAACTAAACCTTTCCCATGCATTACCTCTAATCCTCTCAGTAATCCAGTGAGATAGATATCGACCCCACTTTTTACTTATGAGAAAACAGGCCTGGAGATGTTATGTAACTGTCCTAAGATTTTCAAGCTACTGATTCGCAGAGCAGAGATTCAAGCCCAGGTCTGACTCCTTAATATTGGCACTGTAATTTAATGATTTAAGCAGATGACTTTATGCTTTCTTAACAGCCACAATTCAAAGGGAACAAAAACCTGGAGAGGGGAAGAGAGTCATCTCCCTGCCCAGGGACAGCACCTCTTACTGGGCCACATTTAAACTACCCAAAGATTGACTCATCAGCAATTTAAGCTGCTGAGTCCCTCAGTCACACCCAGACAGCAGGCACTCATCCAGTGACTCTAGGTCCTGTGAATCTTAGCTTCACCCCAAAGCCATTTCTAAGATCATTAGAGGGCACTGACCTTCTTGACATTCATATGGGAACAGGGGTGGGCTACTGGAAACCAGAGCCTCCTTTTCCAAACATTATGTGGTCAAACAAAGGATCTGTGTTAATGAGCTCCCTGCTGGGTTGTCCTGGGGGAGAAGGAGGCAGCCCTTAATCTGGAACAGGTTTGTACATCAAAGGCCCCTGGCCCTCTAAGGAGTAGCCACTGCTGATGCCCGAAGAGGCCTGAGATGGGAGGCCCGTGGGACAGGCAGGCAGGCATGAGCTTTGGAAGTCCCTGGTTAGCTAGGATAATCAGGCAGTGGATCTGAGAGCTCTCCTGGGTATCTCTGGAGGTCTGTCACAGGTACGAGAGAGCTAAGTGGCTGTTTTCTGATGGTGGAAGAGTTGTGGGATCTGTTGCATTTCAGACAACTCAAGCATGATTGTTAGAAGCATGGACTTTAAACGCTCATGAGGCCAGGTGCAGTGGCTTCTGCCTGTAATCCCAACACTTTGGGAGGCCAAGTCAGGACGATTGCTTGAGCCCAGGAGTTTGAGACCAGTCTTGGCAACAAAGTGAGACCCCCTGTATTAGTCTGTTTTCACACTGCTGATAAAGACATACCCGAGACTGGGCAATTTACAAAAGAAAGAGGTTTAATTGGACTTACAGTTCCACACGGCTGGGAAAGTCTCAATCATGGCGGAAGGCAAGGAGGAGCAAATCACATCTTACATGGATAGCAGCAAGCAAAGAGAGAGCTTTTGCAGGAAAACTCCCCCTTATAATAACCATCAGATCTCATGAGACTTACTCACTATCATGAGAATGGCACAGGAAAGACCTGCCCCCATGATTCAATTACTTCCCACAGGTCCCTCCCCCAACACATGGGAATTCAAGATGAGATTTGGGTGGGGACACAGCCAAACCATATCACCCCCTCTCTACAGAAAATAGAAAAAGATTAGCTGAGTGTGGTGGCTTGCACCTGTAGTCCCAGCTACTTGGGAGGCTGAGGCAGGAAGATTGCCTGAGCCCGGGAAGATGAAGCTACAGTGAGCCGTGATCATACCAGGAAACACCTGTCTGGGTGACAGAGTGAGACCCTGTCTCAAAAAAAAAAAAAATAAAAAATAAACACTCATGAGTTTGAATCTAGGTTCAGTGACTTTGGGTAGGTTCCTTTGGGTAGGTGACCTAAGTATTCTGGGCCTCTAGATGCTCATCTGTAAAATGGGGACAGCAGTAGACTCTATCTAAATACTGTAATGTTTATAAAGGCTGAATCTGACATCTAGGAGCACACAGGGGATGGTAACTATTTTAATTATGAATAGATGAACAGTGATAGCTAAAACAAAAAAAAAACCACCACATCAACCAGCAGGGAACATGGCATTTACAGACAGTGTCTGGAGGGAGCAGGGAGAACAAAGGTCTTGAATTAGGGGAACCAATCAGAGTAGGGCGACTGACCCCTGAAGGGAGAAGCCACTGACAGACTTGGTTCAGTCTAGTGGTTCTCAGCTAGGGGTGATTTTACTCTCTGGGGGAGATTTGGCAATGTCTGGGGACATTTTTAGTCACAAGTGGGTGAGCAAATGCTCCTGACATCTAGTGGGTAGAGGCCAGGGATACAGCTAAACATCCTACAACGCACAGGAACAGCAAAGAATTAACAATTATCCATCCAGGCCCAGTGGCTCACACCTGTAATCCCAGCACTTTGGGAGGCCGAGGCGGGTGGATCACTTGAGGTCAGGAGTTCAAGACCAGCCTGGCCAACATTTTGAAACCCTGTCTCTACTAAAAACACAAAAATTAGCCAGGCATGGTGGCACGCATCTGCAATCCCAGCTACTCAGGAGGCTGAGACAGGAGAATTGCTTGAACCTGGGAGGTGGAGGTTGCAGTGAGCTGAGATTGCGCCACTGCACTCCAACCTGGGTGAAAGAACAAAACTCTGTCTCAAAAAAAAAAAAAAATTATCTGGTCCAAAATATCAATAGTGCTGCAATTGAGAATGCCTGGTTTAGGCAAACACTGAAATCCAGGTGGGTTTAGGTAGCTAATCCCGGGGAAGTGCTGGATCAGGGAGAGCCAGGCCAGGCTGAGGACCAGGCAGGCTGGAGTTCGGGTAGGCTGTAAGCCTGGAAGGGAGGGACTGGAGTGCCAATCAGGAAATGGAGGAGGAAATCTATCATGGCAGAAACTGGAGTAAGTTAGGGAAAGCCCAGCCGGCACAGTGGTGCCCAGGTAGTGCAGGTAATGGGCCCACAGGTAAGATGGGTTCCAGACCCCACTCATGGATGGGTCACATGCTGCCCACCTGGGTCAGGGTTGATTCACATGCAGATTCCCAAGGGTGACTTTGGGGAGCACAGTGTCTCCATCCACAGGGTGAGACATTTCAGTGGGAAAAGGGAGCTTTTGACAAGGCTCTACCAAGCACCAAGGCTTGTACCTGGTGCTTCACATTTAGAGGGAAAGTCTGGCCCTTATCATACCCACCATATCATTTCCGTATTCATCTTTCCTATGGAGGCTTAGATGTTAGCAGCAGAGCTCATTTGGGAATGTCTTTGGAAAACTGGGAGAGAATTCATGTCCTGAAATTGGTTTATTTCATCAACATTTAAAGTTCGGTATAAATGCAGAATTCCCAGAACAGCTGGCCAGGCCCTTTCCCTAGATTTAAAGACAATTTGAGGAAATCTGCCACCCAGCCTCTTCTGGGTCCCAGAGCCCACCCTTCATTTTGGCAGCTTCTTTAAAGCACCCATCAGATTGAAAACTTCTTGAAGGCAGAGGTTATGCCTTGCTCATCTTTGGGTGATGCATAGTGGACTAGTGATGAATTCAAAGACACCCCTCTCCAACACATGGATACACACACAGTTGTGCCAGCTGCCTGCACCCTTCTCTTTTTCTTTCCTTTTTTTTTTTTTTTTTTTTTTTTTTTTTTGAGGTATGGTCTCACCCTGTTGCCCAGGCTGGAGTGCAGTGGCACGATCATGGCTTATTGCAACCTTGACCTCCTGGGCTCAAGTGATCCTCCCGCCTCAGCCTCCCAAAGTGTTGGGATTACAAGCATGAGCCAGTGCACCTGGCCAAGTGCAGATTCTTGAATCCCTGAAGTTACACGCAAATTTTGCACCATACCTGGCTAGTTCCCCATCTCTTCAGTCGGGGTCTCCTAGAGCAGCTCTGGAGTGTTGTCGAGCAGAGGCTCACCATACCTGGCTCCCATGGGAGCTGCATGGCATGGGCTTGTTCCCAGAGTTCTGGCAGAGGCATCTGAGGAACACTAACCCTCGCCAAGTGGTCTCTCTGGCCACACCTCCTGAGCTGAATGGGGTCCTCTGCTCTCCATGTCTGCAGTCGAGGAGTCCACAGCTGCAGGCTGTCCTCCAGATGGACCCTGTTAAAAGGTGCACCTCCCCTGGGACTGGCCCTGTGGCTCTTCTCCGTAAACACTGTCAGTACATACTCTGTGTTTACATAGAGGCTTAGGATTGACAAGGCACAGCAGATGAAGTTCAGGAGCAGGAATTCGGGCCTACATAAACCCAGGCTCCTCCTTTAGGAGGCTTTTACAGGACTCCCTGCTTAAAATCTTTGTTTTGTTCCAGTACTTTCCAATGTAAGAACCCATTCACTAGGATTTAGATTCCATCAGCTTGAATGAATACCGTTAGGTTCTTGTGCAGCATTCTCTCTTTCAACAATGTTTGTTGAGGGCCGACCAAATGCCAGGCCCTGGGCCAGGTGCCAACATGCAGCAGTGAACAGGCCAGATCAAGTTCTTGACCTCGTGGAGACTGAAATTTATCAAATAACCTCACAAATACGAGCATAGAACGAGTGGTAAAAGAAAAGTCCAGGGAGTCATGAGGGCTTTTCGGGGAAAGAGTTTGTATGTTTTGAGAAGCCCATGTGCCATCTTCGGGGGTCCCACTGAAATGCCACTTCCTTCCTCTGCCTCCCCCCGAGCCATCTTCTACCCCGCCCTGGCACACAGTGCCCATCCTCTCCCCTGAGCTCACTCTGTTCCTGTCTTCTGACTCGTTTAGTGCTTTGCCGTGCTTTATAGTTATTTGCATGCGTGGGAGCCCTGATGGCCGCTGGATTCTATCCCCGTGCATGGGAAAAAGCCTGAAGAGTGTTCAGCTGGGTGTTACACTTCCTACACTTCCTGCCTGCTTCTGTGAAAGAATTGTCCATATTTTAGGAAGTAAATCTGTGCATATGCAATAAAGAACAATCTAGTGGGGTCTTGGGTGTCCTCTACCCATCAAACCCTTTACAGCAGCAAAATGTCAAAATATTCACAGTAGGCCAACAGCCTCAGGTCAGGTTTCAGCTCCCAATAAGTTATCTAAAGAGTGTGGTTTTTGGAGCTGTTTAGAGTTCAGAATTCTGTACATGGGATTGAGCTCATTCATAAGAGACTGCAGCTGCTCAGTCAGGCCGGTGGTGCCTGATGAGAGCCCTCTGGGTGCAGCTTCTTTAGACAGTGGGACTGCCAGCTTCCTGCATCACCGTGTCAATGTAAAGAGTGCTGTGACATCACAGATCAGGAGGTGAAAATGTGCATGTCCCTTAATGCTGTGAGCCCACTTCTTTTTATTTAATTTAATTAATTAATTTATTTTTTGAGATGGAGTTTCACTCCTGTTGCCCAGGCTGGAGTGCAATGGCGCAATCTTGTCTCACCGCAACCTCTGCCTCCCAGTTTCAAGCGATTCCCATGCCTCAGCCTCCCAAGTAGCTGGGGTTACAGACATGTGCCACCACGCCAGGCTAATTTTGTATTTTTAGTAGAGATGGGGTTTCTCCATGTTGGGCAGGCTGGTCTTGAACTCCCAACCTCAGGTGATCCACCGGCCTTGGCCTCCCAAAGTGCTGGGATTACAGGCATGAGCCACTGCACCCAGCCTCTGAGCCCACTTCTAAGAGTGAGTCCTTTTTCTTGTAAAGTGGGCAAAGGATATGAACAGACACTTCTCAAAAGAAGACATTTATGCAGCCAAAAGACACATGAAAAAATGCTCATCATCACTGGCCATCAGAGAAATGCAAATCAAAACCACAATGAGATACCATCTTACACCAGTTAGAATGGAGATCATTAAAAAGTCAGGAAACAACAGGTGCTGGAGAGGATGTGGAGAAATAAGAACACTTTTACACTGTTGGTGGGACTGTAAGCTAGTTCAACCATTGTGGAAGACAGTGCGGTGATTCCTCAGGGATCTAGAACTAGAAATACCATTTGACCCACCCATCCCATTACTGGGTATATACCCAAAGGACTATAAATCATGCTGCTATAAAGACACATGCACATGTATGTTTATTGTGGCACTATTCACAATAGCAAAGACTTGGAACCAACCCAAATGTCCAACAATGATAGACTGGATTAAGAATATGTGGCATATATACACCATGGAATACTATGCAGCCATGAAAAAGGATGAGTTCATGTCCTTTGTAGGGACATGGATGAAGCTGGAAACCATCATTCTGAGCAAACCATCGCAAGGAAAGAAAACCAAACACCACATGTTCTCACTCATAGGTGGGAATTGAACAATGAGAACACCTGGACACAGGGCAGGGAACATCACACACCAGGGCCTGTCGTGGGGTGGGGGGAGTGAGGAGGGATAGCATTAGGGGATATACCTACTGTAAATGACGAGTTAATGGGTGCAGCACACCAACATGGCACATATATACATGTGTAACAAACCTGCATGTTGTGCACAGGTACCCTAGAACTTAAAGTATAATAATAATAATAATAAAAGAACCAGTCCTTAGGAAATAATTTAAAATGGGAAAATGCTTTTTGCACTAAGATTATGATGGCAGAGACTTAGAAACAACATACATTTCCACTGAAAGGAAGTTATGGAATATTTCCATAATTAGCAAAAATTAGTAAATTATGGAATATTACACAGCCAAAAAGAAAAATCATGCATTATAATGGCTATGTAAGAATAGAGAAACATCTTATAGCATATCATGGTAAATTAAGAATAAAAGCAAATTCAAAGTTGGTATACAATATAATTCCTTTATTTAAAAACCAACAACAGGACAGGTGCAGGACAGGACAGGATTGCAAATTCATGTCTGTAATCCCAAAACTTTGGAAAGCCAATGTGGGTGGGCCACTTGAGCCCAGGAGTTCAAGACCAGCCTGGGCAACATAGTGAGACAGGTTTAAAAAATTAAAAAAAAAAAAAGAACCAACAACAAATTTGCACAGGAGAAAAGATTGGAGGAAAACACACCAAAATGCGAACTTTCACTTAGATACATGTAATGGAACAGCAAGAGTTATTTTATTTCCTGTTTTCCAATTTAAAGTAGAAAAAAGTGGGGCTGGGCTCAGTAGCTCACACCTATAATCCCAGCAGTTTGGGAGGCCAAGGTGGGCGGACCACTTCAGCCCAGGAGTTTGAGACCAGCCTGGGCAACATGGTGACACCCCGTCTCTACAAAAGATACAAAAATTTTCCAGGCATGATGGTGTGTACCTGTAATCCCAGCTACTTGGGAGGCTGAAGGTGGAGGATCACCTGAGCCCAGGAGACGGAGGTTGCAGTGAGCTCCGATTGCGCCACTGCACTCCACCCTGGGCGATAGAGTGAGACTCCATCTCAAAAAAAAAAAAAAAGAGCATTAAAAACTAGATGGCCCTTCTTTATTTCTGTTGTCACAGATTTCCCAGGAGTCACTATTGTTTCTGTGGAAGGGACCGCATTTCTGGTGATCCTCATGCCATTCGAATCTTCTCTACCGAGGTCTCTGGAAGCCTTAATAGACACCTGTGTCCCAGGCATACCCTCTACTCCCAACTTGCCCTTCTCCCCCAGGCAGGAGGCAGATTGGATGATATTTATTTCTTCTTTCCTTTTTCTCCTGTAGGCTGGCCGCACAGCTTTGTCCATCGCTCTGAAGTCACCCACCCATATGGAAATTGCTGGGCTTCTGAGAGCCCACGCGGAGCAGGGCAGGTCCCTGGGGCTGTAGGGGCTGCAGAAGAACTGGCCGTGGGGAACAAAAGCCTTCTTCTCTGGACTCCTCCCTCGCCCTTGAAGAGGGCAGAGGTCACAGGCCAGAGAGCCACCCTTCTAGAGAAGAAACTATGTCAAATATGCACATACATTCCTGTTGTATAATTCTGCTCATTAGGATGCTTTGTAGTTTTTGCCTTAGGCCAAGCCTGAAAACTACACGGGCTTCAGAGCAGGGTTCAAGGTGCAAGGTGAGGGGTACGTCGGTGTCATCCAAACATCCAAAACATCTTCAGCCTTGAATTCCTCATGACTCTACCCTCTGTAACATTGTGTAGCAAGCAGGCAGGCAGGAGCACATTAGCACATTAGAAAAGCAATACTTTTTACATGGAATTTTACAGTGCACTATCTTTCTGTTTTTTAAGCAAGTGTATACAAATATGTCCCATTGATATGCATGTCTATAGATGGGAGGGGATTTAAGCCAACCCCCTGGCAAGCATTCTGTAGGGGACCCTAGAAGAATCACCGTGCAGACTGGTGAAACTGAACAAGCACCATTTGGGAGCTTTGTTTCGATGGGGTTGACAGAGAAATCTTAAAATCTGACAGGGTAGAAGAAGCACTTTGGCATCAATGCCATATGTACAGTCTTGACTATTTCTGAGTCATCTAGTGGCTCCAATTTGCTCCAGGGAAATTGGAATTAATTAAGAAATTTATTATCTAGTAAGTTGCTATGTAATAAAGAAAAAAAAGAAATTCAATCCAATGACACACACCACATGTATTTGGGCAGAGTCAGATTCTCTCAGCTATTTTGAGTCTGTGGAAGAAACAAAAAAAAGCTTCCTCCTGAGGATGGGTTATTGTCATCAAGAAGCCACCTGCATAGCCGTATCCATTACCTCATGGTAATTCCCGGTGCTTTCCCCTCATATCCCCTAGAAGCAAATATCTGTTCTGAGGTTTTTTGGGACTTCTGGCTGCAATAGGAGCAAGGGACCCAGGCAGGGCAGAGCAATACCTTCCGAAGCTTCCATATTCCCTGGGGCCAGCACATGCAAGGTTTATATGGTCAGTAGCTCACGTGAAGTCATCTGAATCTTTCTTAAATCTGCTCTCTTAAAATCTCTTATGCAAAAAAAAAAAAAAAAAGCCCCTTATATAAAAAGAAGTAATGTCAAAGTTTGATGAGCTTTACATTGGAAACTCAAAAGCTTGCACTCTCATTTTGGCTCAGATGCCAATTTGCTGGGTGCCCCTGTGGTGAGTCATGAAACCTCCTTGGGCCGCAATTTCATCATCTCTAAAAACAGAAATTGTCATACAACCTACCTCCTGGGAGGTGCTGCACAAGAAGCAGCTGATGGAAGTTTCAAAATCCAATTTGTGGCCGAGCGCGGTGGTTCACGCCTGTAATCCCAGCACTTTGGGAGGCCGAGGCAGGTGGATCACCTGAGGTCGGGAGTTTGAGACCAGCCTGACATACATGGAGAAACCCCGTCTCTACCAAAAATACAAAAATTAGCTGGGGCGTGGTGGCAGGCGCCTGTAATTCCAGCTACTTGGGAGGCTGAGGCAGGAGACTCACTTGAACCCGGGAGGCGGAGGTTTCAGTGAGCCGAGATCGTGCCATTGCACTCCAGCCTGGGTAACGAGCAAAACTCTGTCTCAAAAAAAAAAAAAAAAAAAATCCAATTTGTAACCCATTAAGGCCATCTACAGCAATGGTACAGCAAACTTCTTTTGCCATTGTGATTCATAAGAGAGGCTCAGAGTCCCAGAACACAATGACATGTGTTGATGCAACTCAGAGGTGGAGAGAATGGAGCAAATAATGAGAAAAAAAATGCTTTAAATGAGTTTATTTTGACCTCAAAATACATTGTAAGAGCAACATCCTACGTTAATAAATGTTCTAGCCCGGTGCTTCGCGAACATTTATGTGCATACAAATCACCTGGGATCTTGTTAGAAGGCAGTAGGTCTGGGGTGGGGCCTGAGATTCTGCATTTCTAACCAGGTCCTGGGAGATGCTGATGCTATCGAGCCACAACCACACTTTGAGTAGCAAGCCTCTGGCCTATCCTTATTGTTTGTTATATTAAAATGCTGCCTCTCAGTCTTCTGTCTCAAAATTTCTTTGCATATCTTTGCTCTTGGTTCTTGGGAATTTGCAGTGCGGGTCTTATTTCCTATTGTCTCTGCAGACAGCAGTATGGGGTCTGTGTCCTGTGTTGCCTGTTTAGGATTTATTTCTGCATCTCATATTAGGTGGCAATTTTCATTGGGTCACTTTAAAAAAATGAAATCATATTAAAAACAACTTATTTACCAGGAAAAGCAAACTGGGTTTCCTAGAGCTTGAAGATTACTTATTCATCACTATCAAAAGACTGTCCATCCTTTCTGAGATTTTTAATAATTTTATTTTAATCTTGAGTTTTGGACATGAGCATATGATCTCATCCTTTATAACCATTTCTTTCCTTTGGAATGTCTGAGCTCAGAGTGTGGTGAGATGAACAAGCACAGCCTGCCTTCCTGTCACTGTCCCTCAGCTCTAAAATTCATTTAAAAATATCTATTGATTGGGGTGCTGAGGCGGGCAGATCACTTGAGGTCAGGAGTTAGAGACCAGCCTGGACAACATGATGAAACCCTGTCTTCACCAAAAATATTTTTAAAAACTAGCGAGGTGTGGTGGTGTGCGCCTGCAATCCCAGCTACTCAGGAGGCTGAGGCTGGAGAATTGCTTGAACCCGGGAGGCAGAGGTTGCGGTGAGCCAAGATCATGCCACTGCACTCCAGCCTAGGCAACAGAGCGAGACTCTGTCTCAAATGTATATGTATATATTTATAAACCGGCCAGGTGCCTGACACTGTTCCCAGCACTAGAGACATCACAGTGAGTCCAGTTCAGTCTCTTGCCTCATCATCCACTAGGGAAAACACATAGAAGGTCAGAAGGAAGCCCAGAGAGGTACCACTAAAGGGCACCAGAGCTGGCCTTAGAAAGTCAAGGGAGGCTTCCTGGAGAAAGGGCCAATGAACTTAAAGATTACTGGATGTTAGGCAGAAAAGGAAGCGGAATGAGAGGTGAGTGTGCCAGGCAGAAGAGTACTGCCATAACTGCCTAGTGAGTTCACCTTGCCGGTTGCCTAGACAGAGCCGATTTATCAATACTGGGGAACTGCGATAGAGAAAGAGTAATTTCATGCGGAGCTGGCTGTGCAGAAGAACAGAGTTTTATTATTACTCAAATAAGTCTCCCCAAGCATTCGGGGAGCAGAGTTTTAAGGACAACTTGGTGGATGGGGGGAAGCCAGTGAGCCGGGAGTGCTGATTGGTCAGGTTGGAGATGAACTCATACAGAGTCGAAGCTGTCTTCTTGCGCTGAGTCAGTTCCTGGGTGGAGGCTGCAAGATCAGATGAGCCAGTTTATTGATCTGGGTGGTGCCAGCCGATCCATCAAGTGCAGGGTCTGCAAAATGTCTCAAGCACTGATCTGAGGAGCAGTTTAGGGAGGGTCAGAACCTGGTAGTCTCCAGCTGCATGACTCCTAAACCATAATTTCTAATCTTGTGGCTAATTTCTTGTCCTGCAAAGGCAGTCTAGTCCCCAGGCAAGAAGGAGGTTTGTTTTGGGAAAGGGCTGTTATCGTCTTTGTTTTAAACTATAAACTTTCTCCCAAAGTCAGTTCAGCCTGTGCCCAGGAACCAACAAGGACAGCTTGGAGGTTAGAAGCAAGATGAAGTTGGTTAGGTCAGATCTCTTTCACTGTCTGTTACAAGTTTGCAATGGCAGTTTCACTGCAGAGGCTGGAAGAAGGGAAAGCAGGCATTTGGGGGCCTTCATTCAGTTCAGTGTGGCTACCATGTTTGAGTGGGACACTGAAATCAAAGGGTATATTTTTAAGAGACGAGACTAAAATTACATGGAGACCACATCAGAAAGTGCTGTAAAAGCTGTGGTAAGGCTTTATTCCAAAGGCAACAGAAAGGTATTGAAATCAAGATTTAAAATGGAGAAATCCATTCCTCTAACCCACATTTAACACATTTATCAGGTACCTCTTCCCTTCCAAGTGCTGTGCTTGAGGCTGGGGCTACGCCAGCGGGTGAGTTAGGCACAGAGTGCACTGCATGTGAGCAGGGAAGGAAGACAAATGAGCCACCGCCTTGCAGTGAGAGCCACGTTGCAACTGGGCGAACATAGGGTGCTGGGGGTGTGCATAGATGGGGCCCTCAGCCTAGTACCCCCTTCACCTAGAAGTGGGGAGGGGATCCAGGAAGACTTCCTGAGGTATATTTTAACTATCTGAAGGATACGTAGGAGCTAGCCAGGCAAAGAGGAGCAGGAGAACGTTCCAGGCAGAGGAAGAAGCAAGAATAAAGCTCCAAAACAAGAGAGAACATTGATTTGGGCCATTCAAATAATATTAATGTGCCTATGCTGGGTACAGTGGCTCATGCTTGTAATCCCAGCACTTTGGGAGGCCAAGATGGGTAGATCATTTGAGGTCAGGAGTTCAAGATCAGCCTGAACAACATGGTGAAATCCCATCTCTACTAAAAATACAAAAATTAGCTGGGTGTGGTGGCATGTGCCTGTAATCCCAGCTACTTGGAAGGCTGAGGCAGGAGAATCGCTTCAACTGGGGAGGCAGAGGCTGCAGTGAGCCGGTATCTCACCACTGCACTCAAGCCTGGGTTACAGCCAGACACCATTCCCCGCTCCTCCGCAAAAAGGAAGCAATGCTCAGATTCACATGTTAGAAACAGCACTCCAGTTTTTTTAGCATGAGTGACATTTATTCAATAAACATTTGTGGAGTGTCCATTCAGAGTCCTGGGCTCCAGAGTTAATGGTTTGTTGGTGGGGGGCAGGTGTAAGCTAACGACCACTATGAAATGTGACAAGTGTTGGAGGCCTGAGTCGAGCTGTGGAGACTGAGTGGGACAAAGGGAGTCAAGGACGCCTCCCAGAGGAGGTGGCTTTTCAGCCAAGCCATAACGATGCCTAGGAGTTTAGATATAACGGCAGGTGGATGGAAGATGTGGCATGTGAAAGAGCATGACCTGACCTGGGCTGGGCACGCTGGCTCACGCCTGTAATCCCAGCTATTCGGGTGGCTGAGGCATAAGAATCGCTTGAATGCGGGAGGTGGAGTTTGCAGTGAGCCAAGATCACGCCACTGTACTCCAGCCTGGGCGACAGAGTGAGACTCCATCACGAAAAGAAAAAAGGAAAAAAAAAGAAAAAGTGTGACCTGTTGGGCAATGGAGACAATTTCAAAATGACTTTAGTTTCAGTTACGCAGGAGACGTGACTAAACAGGAGACGTGAAAGGGAGGTCAGGAAACATACCACACTCGTACATGGATACTTGGAATTTGGACTTGTGCCTGTAACTTGAGGGGAATAACAGACCCCTTTGAAAATGCAAAGGCCTCAACAGAAAAAGTTTGGGAGGCCAAGGCGAAAGGATTGCTTGAGGCCAGGAGTTTAAGACCAGCCTGGGCAAAATAGCAAGACCTCATCTCTACAAAAAAAAATTTAAAATAAAAAATAGACAGGCATGGTGACACATGTCTGTAATCCTAGTTACTTAGGAGGCTAAAGCAGGAGGATTGTTTGAGTCCAGTGAGTTATTTTCGCACCACTGCACTCCAGCCTGGGTGACAGATTGAGACCCCATCTCTAAAAGAAAAAAAAGAAAGAAAAAGTAAAATGGCCAGGCGTAGTGGCGCACGCCTGTATATCTCAGCACTTTGGGAGGCCAAGGTGGGCTGACCCATTGAGGTCAGGAGTTCCAGACCAGTCTGGCCAACATGGTGAAACCCCCATCTCTACTAAAAAATACAAAAATTAGCAGGGCATGGTGGTGCATGCCTATAATCCCAGCTACTCGGGAGGCTGAGGCATGAGAATCACTTGAACCCAGTAGGCAGAGGTTGCAGTGAGCCAAGATTGTGCCACTGCACTCCAGCCTGGGTGATAGAGCGAGTGAGACTCCATCTCAAAAAAAAAAAAAAAAAAGTTTTTGCAATAAAAAAAAAAAAGAAGGCAAAATTTGCATACAACTTCAGGGATTCAAAAATCTGCACTCAGCTGAATGCAGTTGCTCACACCTGTAATCCCAACACTTTGAGAGGCTGAAGCAGGAGGATCACTTGAGCCCAGCCTGGGCAACATAGTGACATCCCATCTCTACAAAAAAAAAAAAATTAATAACTAGCCAGGCGTTGTGATGTGTGCCTGTAGTCTCAGCTACTTGGGAGGCTAAGGTGGGGAGATCACTTGAGCCCAGGAGGTCAAGGCTGCAATGACTGTGATCTCACCACTACACTCCAGGCTAGGTGACAGAATGAGACCCTGTCTCAAAAAAAAAAGGATTCAAAATCTTACTGCTATGGGCAGTGGGGAGCCATTGATTTCTAAACAATAGGGGCATATGATCAGATTTGCTATTTATTAATAGAATGATCACAGAAGGTGACTGAAAGCAAAGGGATCAGCTAGGACGTTCTAATGAGACAGTGGGTATAAAGCAGGAAGGGCCCAATGCATGGTGGTATTGGTGGGGATGAAGAATAGAGCCCCATAGGAAAGGCATCAGGAATGGGATGTGCCAGCATGTGACAGACTGGATAGTGAGTGGAGAGCAGTCAAAAACGGTGACAGAATGGTGGGATATGCATTCTTCTCTTCCTCTTCCTCTTTAATAATAGAATTCCCAACTTTTAGCTGGGCACATGGCCACCCAAAATAGACTTCATTTGCCAGCTCTCCTTCAAGCTTGATGTGACCCTGTAACTACGTTCTGGCTGGCAAGGTGTGAGTGAAGTGAGGTGTGCAAACTCTGGCTCCCGCATTTAAAGGAAAAGGAAATGCATTTCCCCCTTCCCACTGGCTGGAATGTGGTAGTGATCCATCTGGATCCAAGGAGATGAGGCCACCGTCCAAGGGATGATAGAACAGCAAGTCAGAAGGAGCATAGGTCCCCAACACCATAAAGCTGTCATCTCCTCTCTGGACTGCTTATTCTGCATTTGATATCTGAACAAGAAATAATCTTCTCACACGTGTAAGCCATTGTACACTTGAATCTCTGTGGCAGTAGGAGTTAGACAACTGCACTTAGCACTATATGGCAGTGTCAACAGTGAAATGCTATGGTTAGTGGATTTCAGGGGGAAACGCTGGGAAAGGCCTTTTGGAAGGAGTATCCTTTCAATGCCTAAGGCATAAAGAATGTCTCCTTATGACACCAGCCCGTGTTCCACGCCCACAGTGGAGTCATCCAGCCCACAGCCTTGCAGAAGGTACAGCTATGTGTTGCTCTAGCAGATTCCTGAATACAGGCTGTGCACCCTGAGGCAGCCTGTCCTTAAGTGAGTCATTGTCTATGAAGTGGCCAGGTGTGGAATTATGGGTGGAACCATTGAATTATCTGAGAAATCTGAATGAAGAAACATGTGGCATTTCAGGCAGTCACAGTGGGGTGCGATCAGGGAGAAGAGAGTGAAGCCGTGAGGTGGAGTGAGGCATAAAGGGAAAGGTAAAATTTGCATGAGTAGAGGTCAAACTGGCTGAAAGCGCTGGGCACAGTGGCTCATGCCTGTAATCCCAGCACTTTGGGAGACCTAGGTGGGTGGATCACTGGGGAGGTCAGGAGTTGAAGACCAGCCTGGTCAACATGGTGAAACCCTATCTCTACTAAAAATACAAAAAAATTAACCAGGTGTGGTGGCACACGCCTGTAATCCCAGCTACCTGGGAGGCTGAGGCAGGAGAATCACTTGAACTTGGGAGGTGGAGGCTGCAGTGAGCCAAGTTCATGCCACTGCACTCCAGCTTGAGTGACAGAGCGAGACCCTGTCTCAAAAAAAAAAAAAAAAAAAAAAAAGGACAGGCTGAAAGTGTGAGCAAGAAGGATCTATCTATGAGGTAGATAAAAGATCAAGTGCAAAGAGAAGAATGCACTTATGGAGCAGATGCCAATCCTCCTTGCCTTGGAACTTCTCCTCAGCCCCATCCAGGATCCCCGACTGCAGGAGGAGCTGTCACACTCCTACAAGAAAACCTGGCTCCTGGCCATTGCAGGACGGACACCAGACACTGCCTGGACCCATGAGGCCCTCTCTTGGGAATTTTAGAGCTGAGATTTGGGAGAGAGATTCAGTCTCCTTCTGGTGTCTGGACTGTATCATGTAGATCTCAGCTGCTGATCACCAGGGTCAGCCTTGTGGAGTTAAGGGGCCAAAGGGACTCTTCAGTCATAAAGCCTAAAGAGGTGGTTAGAGCAAAGCAGAGATAAGAATTTCTGGCTTCTCTGGAGCAACACTTGTTCCTTCAGGAAGACCCCAGATGATACCTACTCTTGAATTCTGTAACTTGTTTCTCTTTTCCCAATCTCCTCTCTGGGTTAGGCAGCTAGTGGGAAGCAAGGAAGGGCTGGTATCTGGAGTCAGATATCTCAGGTGTTGAATTCCAGCTGGACCACTGCTTCACTCAGCTTTTGATCTGTAAAATGGGGGATAATTGTTCCTTGTTCCTCCTCTGTCTTTTTTTTTTTTTTTTTTTTGAGATAGGATCTCCCTCTGTCGCCCAGGCTGGAGACCAGTGATGCAATCTCAGCTCACTGCAACCTCTGCCTCCCAGGCTCAAGTTACCCTCCCACCTCACCCTGCCCCCTAGTAGCTGGAACTACAGGCATGCGCCACCACACCCAGCTAAATTTTGTATCTTTTGTAGATGGGGGTCTCACTTTATTGCCCAGGCTGGTCTCGAACTCCTGGGCTCAAGCAATCCAGCCTCCTAAGGTCTGGGATTACAGGCATGAGCCACCACACCCAGCCCCCTCCTCTGTTTTTCTGTGTTTAGCTAAAATGGTCCCTATGATAGAACTTAATATACAGTGGAGAGCATCCCCTTTCCCCTGGCTGTTTGATTCTTTTTTCCTAGACCTGGGCCCATAAAAACAGCAGCTTGCCTTCACTGAGTACTTAGAAATGCCCAGGCATCAGTCCTAAGGGGTTTGTATGAAGTTACTTACGTCTCATCATAACCCAGTGAGCTAGATATTATCCCTGTTTTACATATGCAGAAACTGAAGCACGGAGAGATTAAGTAACTCACCTAAGGCCACACAGCCTAGTAAGCAAAGGATCTGGGATTTCAAGCCGGATCAGGCTCTGTGACTACACTCCACTGCCTGCTGTGAGCCCAGAACTCTTCTTGCTCCCTTGCCAGTGACCCAGGCTGGGGGAGAGAGGTGCCTGGCTGCAGGCCAGTGGACACTGCTGAGAGAACAAAACTGCTTCGGGGACCTGACATGAAGTCAGTGCCTGACCTGCAGGTCCTACGGGGTGGCTCAGGACAAAGGGGACAAACAGGCAGAGTATTTGGGACTGGAGGAGTTGAGGTATCAGGATGCCCATGTGCTTAGCATTCCTGGGGAAGAAAGAGGCCTCTGTCCAGGGCACAGATGGTCTGAACCCTGCATTACCTCCACTGCCCACTAAGGAAGGAGTTCTTGACAGTTCCAAATCCATTCCTTCACACCCTCTCCTGTTTCAGTGAGAGCTGGGCCTGGAACAGAGGAACCCCAGCTGCTGTCTGAGGGAGTCCCGCCTGACCTCCCCTCTGAGCCCCATCCAGCCCTTCGTCCATTTCCACGCTTGGGAGAGGTCTGGAAAGGGCTGCGGAGCCTCTGCTCTGAAGCAAGCAGAACAATTCTGTTGCTGTTTGGGGATTTGAGAGTACATTCTCCAATCTCATGTTGCCTTTGAGATGAGGGGATTTCCACTCTTCTCCCTGGAAGGGAAAACTATGGGAGAAAACTGTCCTTTGACACCCTCTCCCACAATCCCAGTGGTCAGATCCGGGGCAGGAACGGAGGGAAGCTCAGGCCTGGGCCCCACAAAGAGGAAGCGGCTGCTGTTCTCCCCACCTCTTGTGGGCTTAGCAGGGCTGGTCCAGCCCAGTGTGGGACCGTGTGACTCTGCGCGTGAGTGTTAGGATGGTCACTGTAAATCTACGCCACGCCCTTCTTTTGAGCTTTAGTCAGGAATAAAGTTGATGTCTGTCTATGGTATCTTATCTTTCAATTGGTTACCTGCCTGGGAAATGAGAAAAGTGATGTTATTTATTGTCCCCATGCCCCAAGCCCCACACATTCCCTGGTCAGCACACCGGGCTTGTAGATGACGCCTAGCTTGGTCCAGCTAGGAGAAGTGGGATGGAAAAAGAGGGGTGAGGGTGACAGGGCACATGAAATGGAGCACTGCCAGACCCAAAGGATGTCTGAGCCCACAGCTGACATGCCCTATTGAGGGCTCACTGTGTTCCAGGAGCTGCCATTTACAGAAGACACAATGGTGCTCCCTGGAGTTGTACAACAGAGCGCCCTAGGTCCCAACATGAGGTAGGACAGAGCCTCACAGGAGGAGAGACAGGGCATCCAGGCCTTGAAGTTCAGAGGTCTGGTCAGGTAGACAAGGGGACAGAGAGGCAGGCGGGACCATACCAGGGGCCAGGATTTGCCGCCCAGGAGCCTGACCAGGAGTCAGAGGAAGTCGGTGGTCCCAAGATGGGGTTCGGTCCAAGTAGCAAAGAGGGCAATAATTCAGGACAGCAACAATTATGGAGCCACCTGGGTGCCAACCCCAATCAGACCCGATCTGGGTTTTAACGCACTCACATTCGAGGCCGGGCGCAGTGGTTCACTCCTGTAATCCCAATACTTTGGGGGGCCTAGGTGGGCGGATCACCTGAGGTCAGGGGTTCAAGACCAGCCTAACCAACAAAGTGAAACCCCATCTCTACTAAAACAAACAAACAAACAAACAAAAAACAAAAGTAGCTGAGCGTGGTGGCACATGCCTGTAGTCCTAGCTACTCGGGTGGCTGAGGCAGGAGAATCGCTTGAACCTGGGAGGCGGAAGTTGCAGTGAGCCGAGATTGTGCCACTGCACTCCAGCCTAGGCAACAAGAGCGAAACTCTGTCTCAAAAAACAACAACAACAACAACAACAAAAACCACTCACATTCGAGGCTGGCTGTGGTGGCTCACGCCTGTAATCCCAACACTTTGGGAGGCTGAGGCGGGAGGATCGCTTGAGGCCATCACTAAAAATACAAAAAAAATTAGTCGGGCATGATGGTGGGTGCCTGTGGTCCCAGCTACTGGGAGGCTGAGGCATGAAAATTGCTTGAGCCCAGGAGGCGGAGGTTGCAGTGAGCCAAGATTGTACCACTGCACTCCAGCCTAGGTAACAGAGCAAGACTCTGTCTCAAAGAAACATAAAAAAATAAGTAAAATAAAATAAAACATTCATATTCAAATCTAAATGGACATAAGAAAAACAAAATATAAAAACACTCACAGCCCAGCAGGGAACAGACACAGGAACCAAGGGGTCAGCTGAGCCAGGACTGAGCTGGGTCTTGAAGCATGAATAGGAAGGAGTTCACTCAGCAGAGATGTGGGGTAAGCATTCCAGACTAGGGGTGCAGGCAGGAAAGAGCACCGTGATGTCCTCTGACATCCAGCAGTGGGTGGCTACCTGGGGCCGAAGTACTTAGGGGATTACAATAATCTTAAAGGCTATTGTTGATTGATAACTCTGTACATTCACATGCTTAACGTAGATGCCAAGTTTGTTGAAGAGTGAATTTCATAGGCTTCAAGACCATAGCATGCCATGCTGGACCGTAGCTTCAGAATCACCCCATCCTCCTTGAATTCCTCTGGGGTTCCCTTAGGTAACCTGGAGGAGAAGGGAGGGAAGGTGGATGGGGAGGCCACTGGTGCTCTGGTCCTCTCAGAAGTCCTCAGGTTGTGCCAGTTGGCTCTCTTTAGAATGTGTGCCAGCAGGCTGGGCATGGTGGCTCACACCTGTAATCCCAGCACTTTGGGAGGCCAAGCTGGGCAGATCACCTGAGGTCAGGAGTTTGATACCAGCCTGGCCAACATGGTGAAACCTTGTCTCTACTAAAAATACAAAAATTAGCTGGGCGTGGTGGTGCACGCCTATAATCCCAGCTACTCGGGAGGCAGAGGTTGCAGTGAGCAGAGATTGTGCCATTGCACGCTAGCCTGGGCAACAAGAGTGAAACTCTATCTCAAAAAAAAAAAAAAAAAAGAATAATACACAAGATCAAGTGGAGTTTATTCCAGAAATTGAAGAATCAAAGATGGTGCTATATTAAGAAATTTTGGGCCACACGCAGTGGCTCACGCCTGTAATCTGGCACTTTGGGAGGCCAAGGCGGGCAGATCACTTGAGGTCAGGAGTTTGAGACCAGTCTGGCCAACATAGCGAAACCCTGTCTCTACATTAAAAAAAAAAAAAAAAAAAAACTTAGCTGAGTGTGGTAGCGGGTGTCTGTAATCCTAGCTACTTGAGAGGCTGAGGCAGGAGAATCACTCGAACCGAGACAGAGGTTGCAATGAGCTAAGATCGCATCACTGGACTCCAGCCTGGAGGACCGAGTGAGACTCCGTCTCAAAAAAAAAGAAAGAAATTTTGTAATGTAATTATTAAGTCAAAAGAGAAACTATATATATAATCACCTTTATTAATGTTGAAAATACATTTAGTCTGGGAGTGATGGCTCACACCTGTAATCTCAGCACTTTGGGAGACCAAGGTGGGCGGATCACTTGAGGTCAGGAGTTCAAGACCAGCATGGTCAACATGGCGAAACCTCATCTTTACTAAAAATACAAAAATTAGCCTGGCATGATGGGATGCGCCTGTAATTCCAGCTACTAGGGAGGCTGAGGCCCGAGAATCGCTTGAACCCAAGAGGCAGAGATTGCAGTGAGCCGAGATTACACCACTACACTCCAGCCTTGGTGACAGAGTGAGACCTTGTCTCAAAAAACCAAAAAAAAAAAAAAACAACGAAAATACCTTTTGGCCAGGCGTGGTGTCTCACGCCTGTAATCCCAGCAGTTTGGGAGGCCGAGGTGGGCAGATCACTTGAGGTCACGAGTTCGAGATCAGCCTGTCCAATGTGGTGAAACCCTCTCTCTACTAAAAATACAAAAATCCATCATGGCTAACACGGTGAAACCCTGACTCTACTAAAAATACAAAAAATTAGCTGGGCGTGGTGGGGTGCATCTATAGTTCCAGCTACTCAGGACGCTGAGGCAGGAGAATCGCTTGAACCCGGGAGGCAGAGGTTGCAGTGAGCCAAGATCACGCCACTGCACTCCAGCCTGGGTGACAGAGCGAGACTCCGTCTCAAAATACATACAAAAATTAGCCAGGTGTGGTGGCAGGCGCCTGTAATCCCAGCTATTTGGGAGGCTGAGGCAGGAGAATTGCTTGAACCTGGGAGATGGAGGTTGCAGTGAGCCGAGATCGCGCCACTGCACTCCAGCCTGGGTGACAGTGCAAGACTTTGTCTCAAAAAAAAAAAAAAAGAAAATACATTTCACAGCTGGGCGCGGTGGCTCACGCCTGTAATCCCAGCACTTTGGGAGGCCGAGGCGGGCGAATCGCCTGAGGTCAGGAGTTTGAGACCACCCTGGCCAGCGTGGTGAAACCCCGTCTCTACCAAAAATACAAAAATTAGCTGGGCATGGTGGCAGGTGCCTATAATCCCAGCTACTCGGGAAGCTGAGGCAGGAGAATCGCTTGAACCCGGGAGGCGGAGGTTGCAGTGAGCCGAGATTGCACCACTGCACTCCAGCCTGGGTGACAGAGCGAGGCTCTGTCTCAAAAAAAAAAAAAAAACAAAAAAAAACCCCAGAAAATACATTTAAATAAAATTTCTATACCCATTCCTAGTAAACTTCTCTCTTAGTCACCTCAGGCTGCTTTAAGAATGTATCATAGACTGGGTGGCTTAAACAACAGGCTGTTATTTTCTCACCATTCTGGAGGCTGGAAGTCTGAAATCAGGGTGCCAACATGGTGAGGTTCTGGTGGGGCCGTCTTCTTGGCTTGCAGACAGCTGACATCTCACTGTATGGTCACATGGCCTTTCTTTGGTGTGTGCTCATAAAGACAGAGCTCTCTGTCCCTCCTCTTATAAGGAAACTAATCCACTGCAAGGCGTCCACTATCATGGCCTGATCTAAACCTAAGTACTTCTCAAAGGCCCCACCTTCAAATACCATCACATTGGAGGTTAGGGCTACAGCATATGAATTTCGAGGGGACACAAACATTCAGTCCATAACAATCTCTTAATACATATTTACGGGTAGTTCTTTATCTTACTCTTTTATATTGATTCTTCTAAATAGAGACAGAGTCTCACTATGTTGCCCAGGCAAGTCTCAAACTCCTGCGGTCAAGTAATCTCCCAACGTTGGCCTCCCAGAGTGCTGGGATTACAGGCGTGAGCCACCGTGCCTGGCCACCTTTATTCTCTTTTTACCTCTAACAAAAAGTAAATAAAAGTAGCCGGGCGCAGTGGCTCATGCCCGTAATCCTAGCACTTTGGGAGGCCAAGGCAAGTGAATCCCTTGAACCCAGGAGTTCGAGACCAGCCTGGGCAACATGACAAAACCTCATCTCTACAACAAGTACAAAAATTACCTGGGGGTGATGGCGCACACCTGTAGTTTCAGCTACTTGGGAGGCTGAGGTGGGAGGATTGCTTAAGCCTGGGGAGGCGGAGGTAGTTGTGAGCCAAGATCGTGCCACTGCACTCCAGCCTGGGTGACAGAGCCAGACCCTGTCTCAAAATAAATAAATAAATAAATAAATAAAAGTTAAAAGAATTAGTTTGTATTTTCTATTTAATTAAAGATAAAAAGGGCTGGTTTGTATCTTTTTCTTGGAGTCTTATTTTTCCCCTTAAATTTTAACTATCATCATCTTGTCTGATGTCTGTCTTCTCATTTAATTCCATTTTTGTAACTTTTAAAAATAAATGAGGCCGGGCACAGTGGCTCATGCCTGTAATCCCAGCACTTTGGGAGGCAGAGGCGAGTGGACTGCCTGAGGTCAGGAGCTTGAGACCAGCCTGACCAACATGGTGAACCCCTGTCTCTACTAAAAATACAAAAAAAAAATTAGCTGGGCATGGTGGTGGGCGCCTGTAATCCCAGCTACTCAGGAGGCTGAGGCAGGAGAATTGCTTGAACCTGGGAGGCAGAGGTTGCAGTGAGCCAAGATCATGCAACTGTACTCCAGCCTGGGCGACAGAGTGAGACTCTGTCTCCAAAAAAAAAAAAAGGAAAAAAAAAATAAACCCCAAGCAGATATAATAAAGGACACTTCATACAAATGAATCAAAAATGAATTAAAGCCAATTAAAGAAAAAGTTGAAAACATGAAATTAGAGGGAATAAAAGATATGGTGGGTGAAATAGACCCAGTTCTTTAGCCCTGTAAAAAAATAAGATAAACCACATTTTTTTAACTTTTATTTTTTTTGGAGTCAGAGTCTCACTCTGTTGCCCAGGCTGGAGTGCAGTGGCATGATCCCGGCTCACTGCAACCTCCGCCTCCCAGATTCAAGCGATTCTCCTGCCTCAGCCTGAGTAGCTGGGATAACAAGTGTGCGTCACCATGCCCAGCTAATTTTGTATATTTAGTAGAGATGGGGTTTCACCATGTTAGCCAGGCGGATCTCGAACTCCCAACATAAGGTGATCTGCCTGCCTCCGTCTCCCAAAGTGTTGGGATTACAGGCGTAAGCCACCACGCCTGGCCTTATTTTTATGTTTTTGAGACAGGGTGTACTTCATCACCCAGACTGGAGTGGAGTGGTGTGATCACAGCTCACTGCAGCCTCGACCTCCTGGGCTCATACAATCCTCCTACCTCAGCCTCTCGAGTAGCTAGGACTACAGGCGCACATCACCACACCTGGCCAGATTTTGTAATGTATTGTGGAGACAGGGTCTCACTATATTGCCTAGGCTGGTCTTAAACTCCGGAGCTCAAGCAATCCTCCTGCTGCAGCCTCCCAAAGTGCTGGGATTATAAGCGTGAGCCCCCACGCCCAGCATAAAGCACATTTAAGGATACAAAATTCGGCCATGCGCCGTGGCTCATGCCTGTAATCCTAGCACTTTGGGAGGCCAAGGTGGGCAGATCACTTAAGGCCAGGAGTTTGAGACCAGCCTGGCCAACATGGTGAAACCCATCTCTACTAAAAATATAAAAATTAGCCAGGTGTGGTGGTGCATGCCTGTAATCCTAGCTACTCAAGAGGCTGAGGCAGGAGAATCATTTGAACCCAGGAGGCAGAGGTTGCAGTGAGCCAAGATTGTGCCATTGCACACCAGCCTGGGGGACAAGAGTGAAACTCCTTCTCAAAAAAAAAAGGCCGGGTGTGGTGGCTCACACCTGTAATCCCAGCACTTTGGGAGGCCAAGGCAGGCAGATCACGAGGTCAAGAGATCAAGACCATCCTGGCTAACACCGTGAAACCCCATCTCTACTAAAAATACAAAAAAAAATTAGCCGGGCGTGGTGGCAGGCGCCTGTAGTCCCAGCTGCTGGGGAGGCTGAGGCAGGAGAATGGCATGAACCCAGGAGGTGGAGCTTGCAGTGAGCCGAGATCATGCCACTGCACTCCAGCCTGGGCGACAGAGCAAGACTCTGCCTCAAAAAAAAAAAAAAAAAAAAGATACAAAATTAAAAGCCCAATTTGCATAGCTAGATGAGTGCAGTATGGTGGAAGTAATACAAACAGAGGTGTTCTAATCACACTAGAAGTCAACATTGAGCATCGCAAGGTACCATTTTTTTCTTCATTAAAATGTGTTTTAAATTATGCCCTTTGTTGACAGGAAGAGGTGAAAAGCCAGCTCTCTCAGTTGAGACAGTATAAATCACTAACTCTGTTTTTGAAAGTAATATGGATAATATGTAGCACAAGCCATAAAATGACCAGACCCTTTGGTCTATTAATTCCAGTCTTGCTAGCCTGTCCTACCATAAGGGTGGGGTGGAGAAGGAGGGTAGGACTAAATAAAGGAAATTCTTATTCATAAAAATTTACATTTGTATATATGGTGATTAGAAACAAAATGGCTGCAAGGTCCAATGGTTATTTTAGAGGAAAGATTTAATTTAAAAATTGGCCGGGCACAGTGGCTCACACCTGTAATCCCAACACTTTGGGAGGCCAAGTTGGACGGATCACCTGAGGTCAGGAGTTCGAGACCTGCTTGGCCAACATGGCAAAACCCCATCTCTACTAAAAATACAAAAAAAATTATCCAGCACCTGTGATCCCAGCTACTAGGGAGGCTGAGGCACAAGAATTGCTTGAACCCGGGAGGTGAAGGTTGCAATGAGTCGAGATCGCACCATTGCATTCAAGCCTGGACAACAGAGCGAGACTCTATCTCAAAACATAAATAAATAAATAATTGACTTTTAGCAGCTTTAATTGCTTATTATTATTATTTGAGATGGAGTCTCACTCTGTCGTCCAGGCTGGAGTGCAGTGGCACGATCTTGGCTCCCTGCCACCTCCACCTCCGGGTTTCAAGCGATTCTCCTGCCTCAGCTTCCCAAGTAGCTGGGATTATAGGCATGCACCACCACACCCGGCTAATTTTGTATTTTTAGTAGAGACAGGCTTTCTCCATGTTAGTCAGGCTTGTCTTAAACTCCCGACCTCAGGTGATCGGCCTCCCAAAGTGCTGGGACTATGCGCGCAAGCCACCATGCCCGGCCTACTTTTCATATTCTTATGCAAGTTAAGCAAATAATTGAAATATCCCTATTTGTTTATAGACTTGGGTCAGGATGTTGTATAATAACATCTCTAGACTTCTTCAATGTCTCATCTGAAGTGTGAGGCTCCTCAGTCCTCTTTCTCAGGTGTTCAGAGAACACAGTATTGTCCCTTTCATATAACTCAGAAGCCTTAACATTCTTTAATGTCTGGTTTTCCCACTAAGACCATAAACTCTATCAAGTCAAGGAAAGTCTTTCTTGGCATAAAAATATTTGGGCCACCGGTATTGAGTTCACATCCTCCATTGTTGCAGTGAAAGGAGAGATAGATGTCACAATCCCTAACAGCCTGGAGTTTTGCTGCCCTGTTTTTATACTACCATACAGAAAACTTAAATGTCTGCATACTGTCATTTAAAAGCTAATAATAGAGAAGTAAAAAATATGGATTTTTAAATATCTCTAAGCCCCAGCCATACTAAAGGAGAAATAATTCTCTGCATGAGTCAAGTCCTCTCTCCAGCCGGGCACGGTGGCTCACGCCTGTAATCCTAGCATTTTGGAAGGCTGAGGCAGATGGATCCCCTGAGGTCAAGAGTTTGAGACCAGCCTGGCCAACATAATGAAACCCCCTCTCTACTAAAAATACAAAAATTAACCAGGTGTAGTGGCGCATGCCTGTAATCCCAGCTACTCAGGAGGCTGAGGCAGGAGAATTGCTTGAACCCAAGGGGAGGCGGGGAGTGCGTAGGTTGCAGTGAGCCAAGATCGTGCCACTTCAGCCTGGGTGAAAGAGTGAAACTCCATCTCAAAAAACAAGTCCTCCTCTCTCCTCTAGGTTTTTTCAGGCTATTCTTTCTCTTTTTTTTTTTTTTTTTGAGACAGAGTCTCACTCTGTCGCCCAGGCTGGAGTGCAGGGGTGTGATCTCAGCTCACTGCAACTTCTGCCTCCTGGGTTCAAGCAGTTCTCCTGCCTCAGCCTGCCAGGTAGCTGGGACTACAGGCGCTCGCCACCATGCCCGACTAATTTTTGTATTTTTAGTAGAGATGGGGTTTTACCATGTTGGTCATGCAGGTCTTTAACTCCTGACTTCGTCATCCGCTCACCTCAGCCTCCCAAAGTGCTGGGATTACGGGTGTGAGCCACCACGCCCGGCAGGCTATTCTTTCTATCTGGAAGCCCTTTTTCCTGCCCTTGTTGAGCTAAGTCCTAGGATCCTTCAGGACTTGATTCAGTTATCACCTCCCTTAAGAAGTCTCCTTTCAGGCCAGGCGAGGTGGTTGCAAGAATTTGGTGATCTACAGGTACCCTCTAACTCTCTTCCTATGCTGCCTGGGACATGGCCGGGTGTAATGAGTGGCCCATGCCTGTAATCCTAGCACTTTGGGAGGCCAAGGCAGGTGGATCACTTGAGGTCAGGAGTTCGAGACCAGCCTGGCCAACATGGTGAAATCCCATCTCTACTAAAAATACAAAAGTTAGCCAGGCAGTATGGCGTGCGCCTGTAGTCCCAGTTACTGGGGAGGCTGGGGCAGAAGAATCCCTTGAACCTGGGAGGCGGAAGTTGCAGTCAGCCAAGATTTTGCCATTGCACTCTAGCCTGGGTGACAGAGCCAGACTCTATCTCAAGAAAAAAAAAAAAAAAAAAAGACAAGGACACGTGGGCTGGGAGCTTCTAAGTCCCTAGGATGTTTCTATTTCTTTACAAATCTGGTAGTAGATGGGGATGTAAAATGGTGTGGCTGCTGTAAAAAACCGTAAGGAGGTTCCTCAAAAAACTAAAAATAGGCTGGATGCAGTGACTCATGTCTGAAATCCCAGTACCTTGGGAAGCTGAGATGGGAGGATCACTTGAGCCCAGGAGGCCAAGGCTGCAGTGAGCTGTGATCATGCTACTACATAGCAGCCTTGGTGACAAAACAATACCCTGTTTAAAAAAAAAAAATTAAAAGTGGAATTACTATATGATCTGGTCTGGACAGGGTGGTTCATGCCTATAATCCCAGCACTTTGGGAGGCTGAGGCAGGTGGATCGCCTGAGGTCAGGAGTTCAAGACCAGCCTGACCAACATGGTGAAACCCCGTCTCTACTAAAAATACAAAAAAATTAGCTGGGCGTGGTGGCGCACACCTGTAATCCCAGCTACTCAGGAGGCTGAGGCAGGAGAATTGCTTGAACCTGGGAGGCGGAGGTTGCAGTCAGCTGAGATCATGCCATTGCACTCCAGTCTGGGCAACAAGAGTGAAATTCTGTCTCAAAAAATAAACAAACAAAACAAAACCATATGATCCAGCAATTCCATTTTGGGGCAAGAATTCAAAAAGATATTTACACATCCATGTTCATTACAGCATTATTCAAAATATCCAAGAGGTGAAAACCACAAAAACGTCCATCTAAAGGTGAGTACATGAAGATGTGGTATAAACATACAAAGGAATATTATGCAGCCTTTTTAAAAGAAGATTCTTTCACATGCTACAACATGGCTGAACCTCGAGGACGTCACACTGAGTGAAATAAGCCAGTCACACAAGGACAAATACTGTATCCGTCCATTCACATGAGGTATCTGGAATAGTTAAAAAATCACAGAAACAAGTTGGGTACGGTGGCTCATGCCTGTAATCCCAGCACTTTGGGAGGCCGAGGCGGGCAGATCCTTTGAGGTCAGGAGTTCAAGACCAGCCTGGCCAACATGGTGAAACCCAGTCTCTACTAAAAATACAAAAATTAGCTGGGCAGTAGTGGCATGAGGCTGTAATTCTCTGCTACTCAGGAGGCTGAGGCAGGAGAGTCGTTTGAACCCAGGAGACGGAGGTTGCGGTAAGCTGAGATCATGCCACTATACTCCAGTCTGGGAGATGGAGTGAAACTCTCTCCCTAAAAAAAAAAAAGAAAAATCATAGAAACAGAAAGTAAAAAGGTGATTGCTAGAAGTAGGGGGAAGGAGGAATTAGTGTTTAATGGGCATAGAGTTTCAGTTTTGCAAGATGAAAAAGTTGTAGAGATTTGTTGCACAATAATATGAATATACTTAGCACACTACTGAACCGTACACTTAAAATGTTTAAGGTGTCGGCCAGGCACAGTGGCTCACGCTTGTAATCCCAGCACTTTGGGAGGCCGAGGCGGGTGGATCATGAGGTCAGGAGATCGAGACCATCCTGGCTAACAAGGTGAAACCCCGTCTCTACTAAAAATACAAAAAATTAGCCGGGCGCGGTGGCGGGTGCCTGTAGTCCCAGCTACTCAGGAGGCTGAGGCAGGAGAATGGCGTGAACCCGGGAAGCGGAGCTTGCAGTGAGCCGAGATTGCGCCACTGCAGTCCGCAGTCCGGCCTGGGCGACAGAGCGAGACTCCGTCTCAAAAAAAAAAAAAAAAAAAAAAAAAAAAAATTAGCTGGGCGTGGTGGCGGGCGCCTGTAGTCCCAGCTACTCGGGAGGCTGAAGCAAGAGAATGGCGTGAACCTGGGAGGCGGAGCTTGCAGTGAGCCAAGATAGCGCCACTGCACTCCAGCCTGGGCGACAGAGCAAGACTCCGTCTCAAAAAAAAAAAAATGTTTAAGATGTCGAGTTAAATCTTATGTGATTGCAAGCACAATTAAAAATAAAAATTTTTAAAAAACACCTGAAGGCAATACACGAAAATACAAATAACGTAAGTTTGAAAAACACAGATGAACCATTTGAAATTTAAGATCACTGACCGGGCCCTGGCGCAGTGGCTCACACCTGTAATCCCAGCACTTTCGGAGAATGAGGTGGGTGGATCACGAGGTCTGGAGTTCGAGACCATCCTGACCAACATGGTGAAACCCCATCTCTACTAAAAATACAAAAAATGAGCCGGGCACGGTGGCACGTGCCTGTAGTCCCAGCTACTCGGGAGGCTGAGGCAGGAGAATTGCTTGAACCCGGGAGGCAGAGGTTGCAGTGAGCCCAGATCGCGCCATTGCACTCACGCCTGGCAACAGAGCGAGACTCCGTCTCAAAAAAAAAGATCATTGACCGGGCTCAGTGGCTCACGCCTCTAATCCCAGCACTTTGGGAGGCCGAGATTGGTGGATCACAAGGTCAGGAGTTCAAGACCAGCCTGGCTAACATGGTGAATTGCTACTAAAAATACAAAAATTAGCTGGGCGTGATGACACACACCTGTAATCCCAGCTACTCAGGAGGCTGAGGCAGGAGAATTGCTTGAACCGAGGAGGTGGAGGCTGCAGTGAACCGAGATCCCACCACTGCATCCCAGCCTGGGCAACAGAGCGAGACTCGTCTCAGAAAAAAGAAAAATAAAATAAAAACAATAAAAAAAAATGGGATTACTACCCAGATATATGAGGAACTTCTGCAAACTAGCAATAAAAAGAAAAGAGGTGTTTGTTTTTGAAATTGATGAAAGAACATTGATGGTGGCTCATGCCTATAATTCCAGCACGTTGGGAGACCGAGGCAGGTGGATCACCTGAGGTCAAGAGTTTGAGACCAGCCTGGTCAACATGGAGAAACCCCATCTCTACTAAAAATACAAAAATTTTCGGGCCGCGCACGGTGGCTCACGCCTGTAATCCCAGCACTTTGGGAGGCCGAAGCAGGCAGATCACCTAAGGTCAGGAGTTTGAGACCAGCCTGGCCAACATGGCGAAACCCCATGCCTACTAAAAATACAAAAATTATCCAGGCATGGTGGCACATGCCTGTAATCCCAGCTACTAGGGGGGCTGAGGCAGGAGGATCGCTTGAACCCGGGAGGCGGAGGTTGCAGTGAGCCGAGATCGTGCCACTACACTCCAGCCTGGGCAACAGAGCCAGACTCTGTCTCAAAGAAAAAACAAACAAAAAAATCAGCTGGGCATGGTGGCTGGCGCCTGTAATCCCAGCTACTAGGGAGGCTGAGGCAGTAGAATTGTGTGAACCTGCCAGGAGGCGGAGGCTGTGGTGAACCAAGGTCGTGCCACTGCACTCCAGCCTGGGCAACAGCATAAGACTCCATCTCAAAATAAATAAATAAATAAATAAAAGATATTAATCAGCAATTCACAGAAGACAAACTCTAAATGGCTGAAAAATATATGAAGAGATTCTCAACTTCACTAATCAGAGAAGGGATATGGTTTTGTGGTGGTAAAAATGAGAATGCAAGGGAGGATACAGGGAAAATACATATTTCATCCTAGGCCTTCAGGTGGAAGAGACTCAATATACAAACATACAATGGCCAAAGCATACTTGACAACAGAACTCTCACCAACAACTTCTGCAGCAATCACTGGGGAAGCCAAACCACAACCTTTGCAGCAACTGGCCCAGAACGGTCAGAGTTGGTCAGCGACGGCCAATTTCCCTATTTTTGCTCCAAACTCAGGACCAAGCAGAGAAAAAGATATATTCCTCAAAGCCATCACATAAGAAGTCCTGCTTCTAGTTAGCCTCTCCATGCCAACAACTTCCAATCAGAGGACACACATACCTGAGGCCATCCCTTTTTATTTCACTATGAAGCTTTTCTGCTCCCCCTGACTGCCTCTGCCTCTGAGTCTTTGTCAAACACTAGTGATGGTGGCTGCCTCCTTTGCCAGACCAAGGTCTGAATTATTTGTTTGTTTGTTTGTTTGTTTGAGATGGAGTTTCGCTCTTTTTGCCCAGGCTGGAATGCAATGGCACGATCTCAGCTCGCTGCAACCTCTGCCTCCTGGGTTCAAGCGATTCTCCCGCCTCAGCCTCCCAAGTAGCTGGGATTACAGGCATGCACCACCACGCCCGACTAATTTTGTATTTTTTAGTAGAGACGGGGTTTCTCCATGTTGGTCAAGCTGGTCTCGAACTCCCAACCTCAGGTGATCCACCTGCCTCAGCCTCCCAAAGTGCTGGGATTACAGGTGTGAGCCACCGCACCCGGCCATTTGTTTGTTTTTGAGACTGACTGTCGCTGTATCGCCCAGGCTGAAGTGCAGTGGCGCAATCTTGGCTCGCTGCAACTTCCACTTCCTGGGTTCAAGCAATTCTCCTGCCTCAGCCTCCCAAGAAGCTGGGATTACAGGTGCACACCACCACACCTGGCTAGTTTTTGTATTTTTAGGAAAGACGGGGTTTCACCATGTTGGCCAGGCTGGTCTCAAACTCCAGGCCTCCAATGATCCACCCACCTCGGCCTCCCAAATTGCGGGTAGGCGTGAGCCACTGTGCCCGGCAGAGCAAGGTCTGAATATATAGCCTAAGTTTCTCCCCATTTGCATGGTCTTCATTCACTATCACAGTACTACAATCACTTCCATACATTAAGAACACACTCACAAAATGATGTATTTTAGAAGAAATCCATGTCTCCAAGGATTTACATGACACATGGAGTAGGTGAACACTGGGAGGCAGGGGAAGAATGAGTGAGGACTGAGGATAAAGGGGAAAATCAAGAGAGGGACCCTGCCTAGACTTGATCGAGTAGCAGGGACAGGAGATTCTCAATTCTATCTACTTTCTGCACTGGAATTCTCTTTTCCTTTCCCTCAGCCTTGGAAAAAAGTGGCTTAATTACTATACTCAAATAAACCCCACAAGATAAGACAAGTCTTGACTTTGTATAAATATGTCAAAGTGCTCAGGCAAGGTGGCTCAACGCTTATAATCCCAGCACTTTGGGACGTTAAGGTGGTGCTGATCACTTGAGCCCAGGAGTTTGAGACCAGCCTGGGCAACATGGTGAAACTCTGTCTCTACAAAAAACACCAAAAAATTAGCTGGGCATGGTGGTGCATGCCTGTGATTCCAGCTATTTGGGAGGCTGAGGCAGGAGGATCACTTGAGCCTGGGAGGTTGATGCTGCAGTGAGCCCTGATGATTGTGCCACTGCACTCCAGCCTGGGCGAGAGTGAGACCTTGTCTCAAAAATAAATGTCAATGTAAGCATCCATGTTGAGGCTACTGCAGAGGTGCAGACTTCTCTCTCAACCTGGCTGCTGCAAATAAATCAGTAAGCAGATTCCTGTGGTTTGGCCTCTTCTAATCTTCCACCCACCAATATCTCTGCAGCAACCGGCTATGAGTCTAGGGGACAGCGGTGTTTGAGAGGTGAATTGGGTTTGTGACTACTGCATTCATTTTGTAGGCCTGCCATCACAAAGTACCACAAGCTAGGTGACTTAAAATAAGAATGTATTCCCTTGTGGTTCTGGAGGCTAGAAGTCTGAGATCAAGGTATTGGCAGGATCATGCTCACACCAGAAGATCTAGGGAAGATTCCTTCCTTACCTCCTTTAGCTTCTGAGAAGCTAAAGTTGCTGAGAACACATGGTGTTCCTTGGCTTGCAGAAGTATCACTCCAATCTCTGCCTCATCTTTGCAGACAGGGATTATGGGATTGAGCCATCACGCCTGGCCTGATTTCTTTTGAGACGAATTTCACTCATTCTGTCTCCCAAGCTGGAGTGCAGTGGCACAATTTTGGCTCACTGCAACCTCCACTTCCTAGGTTCAAGCGGTTATCATGCCTAGCTTCCCAAGTAGCTGGGATTACAGGTGCCCACCACCACACCCAAGTAATTTTTGTTATTTTTAGTAGAGATGGGGTTTCACCAAGTTGGCCAGGCTGGTCTCGAACTCCTGACCTCAGGTGATTCGCCCGTCTCAGCCTCCCAAAGCACTGGGATTACAGGCATGAGCCACCATGCCCAGCCTTTTTATATTATACCAGTTATGCCAAAATGCTATTGTTTGGGGTTAAAAAAAAATGGAATATACTGAATTAGTCCTAGTAGCAGTCTAAATGACTAGACCACTCCCTCTCCTTAATTTCTTCACTACTCATCCATTGCAAGTGGATTTTTTTTTTTTTAGACGGAGTCTCGCTGTCACCAGGATGGAGTACCGTGGTGCCATCTCAGCTCACTGCAACCTCCGCCTCCCAGGTTCAAGGAATTCTCCTGCCTCAGCATCTTGAATAGCTGGGACTACAGGCAAGCACCACCATGTCCGACTAATTTTGTTGTATTTTTAGTAGAGATGGGGTTTCACCATGTTGGCCATGATGGTCTTGATCTCTTGACCTCCTAATCCACCTACCTTGGCCTCCCAAAGTGCTTGGATTACAGGTGTGAGCAATGGCACCTGGCTGCCTCATTTCATTCTTAAATAATTAAATGAAAACCTAAGTGTCACATGCTATGGAAGAGATTTCATCTCTCCAGGAATGGGTTCGTGCAGTAAAATTTAACTTATCACACTACGTATGACAAAGTACTTCAGAAAATGTAAGATCAAAATTTTTAAGCAAACAGTATACAGTATTCAAAGGAAAAAGATTTAATATATTCGAGTCACATCATGACAAATGATACAAACTTGTGAAATATCATTTCTTCCTCTTTTTGTATTTTTTTGTAGACACTTTCGCCACATTGCCCAGGATGGCCTTGAACTCTTGGGCTCAAGTGACCCACCTGCCTTGGCCCCCTAAACTGCTGGGATTACAGGTATGAGGAACTGAGCACTTTTCTATTTTAACTAACCTTGCCATCTTTTCCCGTGCTTTTCTGTTACTGTCCCCTCCTGTTTTCCTACTACATTGACAGGTTATCTTGACAGGTGCAGCCCTCCCCCAACAGTATAGAAGTTTATTCTTAGACAAGCTAGCACAATATACTTTTTTTTGAGACGGAGTGTCGCTCTGTGGCTCCGGCTGGAGTGCAGTGGTGTGATCTCGGCTCACTGCAAGCTCCGCCTCCTGGGTTCACGCCATTCTCCTGCCTCAGCCTCCCAAGTAGCTGGGACTACAGGCGCCCGCCACCATGCCCGGCTAATTTTTTTTATTTTTAGTAGAGACGGGGTTTCACTGTGTTAGCCAGGATGGTCTCGATCTCCTGACCTCGTGATCCACCCGCCTCGGCCTCCCAAAGTGCTGGGATTACAGGTGTGAGCCACCGTGCCCAGCCAGATAATATAAATTCTAAAAAGACTAGTCAACTGCAGTAGGGAGGTGGTGGGGGGGAAGTAAAACAAGGAATTCTATCTGTAACTGACTGTGATCAACTGAAATAACTCACTACATTGAGACCAGCCTATTTTTTTTAAACATACCCTTTATTAACATCTAGGTAATATCTGTAATATTCCTTGCTCCTCATCCCCAAGTACGCTATTAGCTGTCCATCCTTCTGGGTAGAAGTGTATTTTCGTTTTACTTGTTGATTTTTGGATGCATGCTGGGGGAGGAAAGCATATTGTTTGTAGTCACCCTGGCGTGCTAAGGTATATTATTCCCCAGTAATTCTCTCAAGGTGGGCATATGCAAAACATAATCTCTAAATTCTTCAATACTAAGAAATACCTTTGTTTTACCCCTAAAATCAAATGCCATTTTGGCTGGATATAGGATTCTAGGATTAAAGCCTTTTTCCAGCAGAACTTTGAAGACATTGCTCCATTTACTTCTAGCATCCAGTGTGTCCAGTGATAAGTCTGCTGTCAACCTGATTCTTGTTCCTTGGTAGGTAATTTCTCTTCTCTCTCTAGAAGCCCTTATTATTTTCTCTTTATCACTAGAATTCCAAAATTTCACCAAGATGTGTCTAGGAGTCAGTCTCTTTTCATCAATTTTACTAGGTACTCGACAAGCACTGACAATCTCAAGACTTGAACCTTTCTTTAGTTCTGCAAAGTTTTCATCAATTATTTCTTTAATTATGTCCTCTGCCCTATTCTCATAACTCTCCTTTTCTGGAATTCCTATCAAACGAATGTTGCAACTTCTAGATCTCTCCTCTATATCTCTTTGCCTTTCTTTACTAATTATCTGTTTGGTCATTTGCATTGTATCCTTAGAGAATTCTTCAATTTGATCTTCTAGACTGTCTATTCTTTCTTCAAGTATGTCCATTCTGCTACTCAGATCATCTACTGAATTTTCAATTTCCAAGACACCTGAATGGGAACTTTTCAAATTTCCAATCTCCTCTTTTATCTCTCTGATGCTATTAATCACACTACTTCTCAAGTTTTCTTCTGTTTCCTCTGTTAAGTCTGCTTCTTTGGATGTTAGTTCTTCTGTGTGCAGAGTTCTGTGTTTCTTTTCTTCTGTTTTCTTAAGTTTGGTGACTCCTGTTGAAATACTCAAATTTGTATGTGAATGCTTTTTATGCTCATCATGACTCATCTCTAGTGACTTTGAGGGAGAGGCCAAACATAAGGTCAGACAGGGTGTGCCAGTTCCTTGACTTGTGGGCACAGCTGTTTCCTCTTCCTCCTGGGTTTTGTGCACCACCTGGTGTTTCACCAACTTTTTCTTCCCAGAGTCCCCAACCAAATAACTAAAGGGAATTTCTTTTTGTCTACGTGAGGCTTTTTTCTCAGTCAGGGAGGTAGTCTTTACCTTTCCTGTTTCAGAGCTCTTTCCTTCTTCTTCCTCCTCTGATTCAGAATCCTCTACAGAGTCAATGAAAGTAGTTTCCATGCCATCACTGGTTATCTCAACTTCATGCTTTGCATCTACCAAAGTATGACCCTGAAAGGTTGAGTCCTGTTCTGAAGTCTGTTCCTCTTCCTCCTCTAGCCCTGAGGCCTCATCCTCCTCCAACCCTGAAGCCTCTTCTTCTTCTTCCTCCTCCAGCCCTGAGGGCTCTTCCTCCTCCTCCTCCAGCCCTGAGGTATCTTCATCATCCTCCATCCCTGAGGCCTCTTCATCCAGCTCCTCTAGCTCGGAAAACTCTTCCTCTTGAGTCTCTAAGTTTTTCATCTCCTCTGGCTTAGCAACTTTTACTTCTTTAAGAAATAGGAAGCTCAAGCCATCACTGGTTATTTCTCCAGCTCTATGCTTTGAGTCTATTAGGGTTTTATCCTGAAAGTTAAACAAAGAAGAAAAAAAAGAGTTATTTGTTTAAATCATTTGTCTTTTAAAGAATTAAAATTTCAATTTCACTAATTTTAATATGGCTTCAATTCTGACAGAAAATATCTGAAAAAGTGCTTAAATATTAATTGTTCTTGAAGGCCTAGGTCCCCAAACAAGTCAAGTCTCCCTATGATCATCTCAAGATATTTGTCATTTCTTGTGTAATCTTGAAACAAATTCTGAGGTCATAATGTCTACTTTCTTCCTTCTAGATCCCTGAACACTTACTGCTGTGTATGTGATTGATCCTCAGTAATTACCTATTTTAATCAATTGTCTGCTTATTGTATGTGAGAGTCCTATGGTAAATAGGCATTGTAATCTGGCTAAAGTTTACAATCTGCTTTAGGAAGATCATAAGCACACACAAACAAAAACCCCAGGCTCACATTTACCTTTCTCCACAGACAACAAACCCAATTAAAAAAAAAAAAAAAAAGACCCCAATTGCAGTTTACACTCTAGCCTTAGGACTTTAAAGACAAGCAGGCTTTGGTTAGGAATACAACAAGCTCAGTTCAAAACTATTCAAACCCTGGCCCGATTGCCACATTTGCTACTAGTGCCTCAATTTTCCTTATAAAGCAGGGTCTAATGGCAGCATCACTCCAGGATTTTTGTAATATAAAGTAAGCAAGGTATTGAGCTTCTGATGATGTCTGCAATATAAATGTTGGCTCCTAATATTCCTTGAAGCCCTTAGTCTGCCACTGAGCTTTTCAACCTTCCCAAACCCACCAGACAGGTTAGGTGCCTCATCTGTGAAACACTGGAAGGCAGCTAATTTCTGAGATTAAATACTGATTCTTAAATAATTTGTTGATTCAAGTGTACCTTTTCCTTATGGATTCTCACTTTGCAGAGGTTACACTTGGAAATGTTGGAAAGGCAGAGGAGAAGCGTTCATTTGAAAACATGTAAAAAAATATTGGCTTACGAATATAGACCTTGGCTGGGCATGGTGGCTCACACCTGTAATTCCAGCACTTTGGGAGGCCAAGGCATGTAGACTGCTTGAGCCCAGGAGTTCGAGACCAGCATGGGCAACATGGCAAAACCTCGTCTCTATAAAAAGTACAAAAATTAGCTGGGTGTGGTAGTGCATGCATGTGGTCCCAGCTATCAGGAGGCTGGAGTAGGAGGATTACTTGAGCCTGGGAGGTGGAGGGTGCAGTGAGCCCAGATTGAGCCACTGCACCCCCACCAGGGCAATAGAGCAAGACTTTATCTCAAAAAAAAAAAAAAAAGCCCCTTCCAGCACAGCAGCCATTGGAGAACAGCAGCCACTGCTCTGTGTGACCCCAAGGCTTTGGGTCTCAACAAGGGCAACAAGGTGATCAAGAACATGAGCAAAAGCCCAGGCACTGCCGCTGTTTCAGGCACCTGACCAAACACACTAAGTTAGTGTGGGACATGATCTGAGAGGTGTGTTGCTTCGCCACGTAGAGTATCACACCACGGAGTTGTTCAAGGTCTCAAAGGACAAACAGGCCCTCAAGTTCATCAAGAAAAGGGTGAGGTCACACATTCACACCAACAGGGAGAGGAGCTGAGTGCCGTCTTGGCCACCATGATGAAACCAGCTGCCAAGAAGGACTAAGGCCCCCTTGCCCTCTGCCCATAATAAAACCTTCACAGAAAAAAAAAGTGCCCTTTAAATCATTACTTTTAATATCATGCTTTTACTTTTAAGGAATCATTTTTTAAAATTTGATTTAACCGGCTGGGCCCAGTGGCTCACGCCTGTAATCCCAGCACTTTGGGTAGCCGAGGTGGATCACCTGAGGTCGGGAGTTTGAGACCAGCCTGACCAACATGGAGAAACCCCGTCTCTACTGAAAATACAAAATTATCTGGGCGTGGTGGTGCATGCCTGTAATCCCAGCTACTTGGGAGGCCAAGGCAGGAGAATCACTTGAACCTGGGAGGCAGAGGTTGTAGCGAGCCGAGATCGTGCCACTGCACTCCCACCTGGCCGACAAGAGCGAAACTCCATCTCAAGAAAAAAAAAATTGATTTATCCTTCAAAATAACCATGCCTACTATTACATTTATACATAAGCTTTATACATTTATACATTTGTATGCTTACCCTTTTTTCTTGAATTCCATATTTTCTTCCTCCTTGATTTATTTCTTCCTTTTGTGGGAGTACATCTTTCAGTAATTCTTTCACAGAAGATTTTTGGCTGGCAAATTTTCTAAGGCTTTGCAGATCTGAAAATGTCTTTATTTCACCATCACATTTAAATGCTAATTTAACTTCACACAGAAATTTAGGTTCAAAATCATTTTCTCTCAGAATGTTGAAGACATTACTCCATTGCTTACTAATATCCAGTGTTGCTGATGAAAGGTCGGCTACCAGGGTAAGTACTGCTCCTTCATCCATCAACACTTTTTCTTCTCTGGAGGCTTTTAAAACCTCCTCTTTATTCTTCAATTTCTGAAATTTTCTTTCCTCTCTCATTTCTTTGACAAATTCATCCTCTCCATCCTTCCTACTCTCTCTTTCTGTAAATTCTAAATGGACATTGCGATTTCCATCTCTGTCATCTATATTGCATAAGGTTTCTTCCATACTTCCCATGACTTCGTAACTTCGTGATTCACCCTGGGGTAATTTCTTACCATCATTACTATTGTATTCGTTAGTGTTGTCTAATTTACCACTCAGCTCATTTACTTCTAATTTAAAGGTTAAATTTTCATTATCATCACCTATTTTAGAGTTTTCTCCTTCTATTTTCCCTACCATCCCTGTTTTTTGTAATGCTAAATTGATTATTTGCTGAAACTCTGTCCTACTACTGGAGTTCTCTGAATTCTTTACCTCAGGTATTGTAGCTTTTCCCCCTAAAACTGCTTTTAGGTCATTTTTAAGAGTTTCCCTCATCTCCTCAAACATCAGGTCTTGAATTTCCATTAAGACCTTAAACTTATTCATAATTGCTGATACGTCCTTGCATTTTAAATCTAATACCGGAGCTATGTCCTTATCAGTTTCTGTTAACTGCTCTCTTTTCATATAGGTGATATTTTCCTTTTTCTTTGCAAGTCTAGCAAATTTTGATTGTACACTAGTAGATACATCAGACATTGTGGATATGTTGTCAAGACTGGATTCTGTTTTTAATTCCTACAGAATGATTTTTGTTCTTACAGGCCTGCTAGACTTCAGAAGTTAAAAAAATCTTAAAATACGTCAATCTGAAATACAAAAAAATGAAAAATTACTTACTAAAGAATTCTCTTGAGAAACTTGGTAAGAATATGAGCTTAGTTAAGAAAACTATGCTGGGTGCACTCCATAATAAATTAATAAAAAGTTCACTAGCAAAATGGGTAAGATTAGAAAATTAGAATTCAAAATTTATAAATTATCATGAAAATTCCCTTTACATAGTGATTTGAATGCAATAAATTAACCAAAGAGCAGATAACTAAGAATGAAGCTGTCTGATTTGCCATACTATTAACTTTGTTGTCTGTGTTCTCTATAATGAGATTAATTATAATAGATGTTATTCTTTAAGAAACCAACATATGTATCATACCAAATCATCCAAATCTAAGCTAACTTGAATAGAATCTTACGCAAAATTGAGAAATAGTTGTCCCTTTTGAATTGCAGAGATTGTTAACATTAAGACTTTTTCTGAAAACCAATTATCAAGTCAATTCAAAATGACTTTCTTGGCCAGGCATGGTGGCTCACACCTGCAATCCCAGCACTTTGAGAGGTTGAGGTGGGAGGATCACTTGACCCCAGGAGTTCGAGACCAGCCTGGGCAACATAGGGTGACCTGTCTCTACAAAAAAATAAAAAATTAGCTGGGCATAGTGACACACGCCTGTGGTCCCAGCTACTTGGGAGGTTCAGATGCAAGGATGACTTGAGCCTGGAAAGTTAAGACTGCAGTGAGCTGTGATTGTGCCCCTGCACTCCACACCTTGGGTGACAGAGTGAGACCTTGTCTCAACAGAATAATATTGTTAGGCAGGCACAGTGGCTCACGCCTGTAATCCCAGCACTTTGGGAGGCTGAGGTGGGTGGATCATTTGAGGTCAGGAGTTCAAGACCAGCCTGGCCAACGTGGCAAAACCCCGTCTCTACAAAAATACAAAAATTAGCCAGGTATGGTGGCACGTGCCTGTAATACCAGCTACTCAGGAGGCTGAGGCATAAGAATTGCTTGAACCTGGGAGGCAGAGGTTTCAGTGAGCCAAGTTCAAGCCACTGAACTGCAGGCTGGGCAACACAGCAAGACTGTCTAAAAAAAAATATATATATATATATATATATATATAGAGAGAGAGAGAGAGAGAGAGAGAGAGAAAGAGAGAGAGAGAGAAAGAGAGTTTTCGTTGGTTTTATTTTGTTTTTTTCTTTTGACAGTCTTGTTCTTGTCACCCAGGCTGGAGTGCAATGGCGCGATCTCGGCTCACTGCAACCTCCGCCTCCCAGCTTTAAGCAATTCTCCCGCCTCAGCCTCCCGAGTAGCTGGGATTACAGGTGCCAGGTAATTTTTTTTTGTATTTTTAGTGGAGACGAGGTTTCACCATGTTGGTGGCTGGCCTCGAATTCCTGACCTCGTGATCCGCCTGCCTCGGCCTCCAAAGTGCTGGAATTACAGGCTTGAGCCACTGCACCCAGCCAAGAATATTGATTTTTAGAGTACAGGGAGATCTAGAAAAGGCTTCCCTGGTGAAGGCAGGTGAATCACTTGAGCTCAGGAGATTGAGACCTGCCTGGGTAACATGGTGAAACTGTCTCTAACAAAAATTAGCCTGGTGTGGTGGCGTGCACTGTAGTCCCAGTAATAAGGGAGGCTGAGGTAAGAGGATCACTTGAGCCTGAGGGAGGCAGAGGATGCAGTGAGCTGACATCGCACCATTGCACTCCAGCCTGGGTGACAGTGTGAGACCCTGTCCCCTCCCCTGCAAAATAAGAATCACATAAGCAGCTAAAATGTCATTCTTGTCAGGGCAAAAGATATATGCTCAGCACCCAACCAAGAATTTCAAGCAGGGCACGGTGCCACACCTGTAATCCTAGCACTCTGGGAGGTTAAGGTGGAATGATTACTTGAGCCCAGAAGTTCAACATCAGCCTGGGCAACATAGTGAGACGCTGTTTCTAAAAAATAATTTCAGAAATTTTTCATTGCAATAAAAATTGAATCAGGAAAAAGGATAGCATAAAAGTAAAAGATAAATTAAACTTAAAAACTTCTATGTTTAATGTTTAAATACTAAAGGTTAAAGTTATTTAAATTTTAAAATGACTATTCAGTCAAACTAATGGAGAAACTTAAAATACTAAATCAAAATGATAACTACCTATCAAAACTTGGGGAATGTAGCTAAAGTGGTGCTTTGAGGAAAATGTATAGACTTAAAATTTTAGAATTTTCTAGAAAGAATAAAAATTAAAGTTAAATTACCAGATCAAGGGCAAAATCTACCCAAGAAACCAAAAGAGATGCGCGCAAATCAAAGAAATGAAAAACAGAAACTTATAGAGAATTAACAAAACCAAAATACAAATAAGGAATACTATGAATAACAAGGGGACACAACTACAGATAAAGCATGGTTCAAAAATGGGAGCACCATTCAACTTTCATAATTAAATCAGAAAATTTAGAAGCAACTATTATCTTAGCTGTGCCCAAACTCTTCTAGAGAATAGCGAAAAAAGGCCAGGCACGGCGACTCACATCTAGAATCCCAGCACCTTGGGAGGCCAAGGCAGGTGGATCCCCTGAGGTCAGGACTTTGAGACCGGCCTGGCCGAGATGGCGAAACCCCATCTCTACTAAAAATACAAAAATTAGCAGAGGCCAGGCGTGGTGGCTTACACCTGTAATCCCAACACTCTGGGAGGCCGAGGCAGGTGGATCACAAGGTCAGGAGATAAGACACCATCCTGGCTAATACGGTGAAACCCTTTCTCTACTAAAAATATAAAAACAAAAAATTAGCTGGGTGTGGTGGCAGGCACCTGCAGTCCCAGCTACTTGGGAGGCTGAGGCAGGAGAATGGCATGAACCTGGGAGGCAGAGCTTGCAGTGAGCCTAGATCGTGCCACTGCACTCCAGCCTGAGCGTCAGAGCGAGACTCCGTCTCAAAAGAAAAAAAACATTAGCCAGACGTGGTGGCACGCACCTGTAGTCCCAGCTACTCAGGAGGCTGAGGTATAAGAATCACTTGAACCTGGGAGGTGGAGGTTGCAGTGAGCCAAGATCACGCCACTGTACCGGGCGACAGAGTGAGACCCTGTCTCAAAAAAAAAAGAGAGTAGAATGATAGTTACCAGAGCCTGGGAAGGGTAGTAGGTGGGTGGATGTAGGGAATAGGGATGGTTAATGGGTACAAAAATAATCTAGTATTTGATAGCACAGCAGGGTAACTACACTCAACAATAGCTTATTGTATACTTAAACAGTATAATTGGAATGTTTGTAACAAGAAGAAATGATAAATGTTTGAGGTAGTGCATAGGATACCCCCATTTACCCTGATGTGATTATTACACATTGCATGCCTGTATGGAAATAAATATATACATCTACTATGTAACCATAAAAATTTAAAACAGGCCAAGCGCAGTGGCTCACACCTGTAATCCCAGCACTTTCGGTGGCCGAGGTGAGTGAGCGGATTGCTTGAGCCCAGGAGTTTGAGACCAGCCTCAGCAATGCAGTGAGACCTCATCTCCAGTTTTTTTAAAAAACAAATTAGGCTGGGTGAGGTGGCTCATGCCTGTAATCCCAGCACTTTGGGAGGCCGAGGTGGGCAGATCACCTGAGGTCAGGAGTTCGTGACTACCCTGGCCAACATGGTGAAACCCTGTCTCTACTACAAATACAGATTTAGCTGGGCGTGGTGGTGGGTTCCTGTAATCCCAGCTGCTCAGGAGGCTGAGGCAGGAGAATCAGTTGAAGCCAGGAGGCGGAGGTTGCAGTGAGCTGGGATCGTGCCATTGCCTCCAGCCTGGGCGACAAGAGCAAAAGAGCAAGACTCTGTCTCAAAAAAAAAAAAAAAAAAAAAAAATTAAACCCTGGATGTGGAAGTTGCAATGAGCCCAGATCACGCCTCTGGGCTACAGAGTAAGCCTCTGTCTCAAAAAAATAAAAAATAAAAAATTTTAAATGAACAGCTAAAAAAAAAAAAAAAGAAAAGAAAAAGAAAAAAGCATGATAGTTACAAAAAATTGTTTAAAAAACACGGCACTCATTTATCACAAAGTAACTTCCAAAATATGAGCAACAGGAGGTAAGGGGGACAAATGTATACAGAAAATCTTGATTACACCAGAGTAAAGGTCAAAAGAGGAAACATGTAAAACATGTAAATGATTACTAAAAAAGAGAAGGAATCAATATTAATTACACATTTCACCCTCAGCCTTTTTTTTTTTTTGAGATGAAGTTTCACTCTTGTTGTCCAGGCTGGAATGCAATGGCATGATCTCGGCTCACCGCAACCTCCACCTCCCAGGTTCAAGCGATTCTCCTGCCTAAGCCTCCCAAGTAGCTGGGATTACAGGCATGTGCCACCACGCCTGGCTAATTTTGTACTTTTAGTAGAGACAAGGTTTCTCCGTGTTGGTCAGGCTGGTCTCGAACTCCCAACCTCAGGTGATCCACCCACCTCGGCCTCCCAAAGTGCTGGGATTACAGGCGTGAGCCACCTCACCCAGCCTCATCCCTCTTAATTAAGTAAATTTTAAAAACCCAGCACCAGTAGTGTCTGAATCTAATCAAGGACTGAGAAAGCAACCAAATAGTCCACCGGACAGGTCCATAGGACCCTATACAGGACTTCAACAGGAATAAAGGGGCCCACTCTCATTCAGGAGACTAAGGGAATTCACTAGATGCAATGTACGCTCCCCCTATTTTGGATCTCTATTTGAATGAATCAACTGTAAAATGCAGGGAGTACTGAATATGGACTGATTATTAAATATTGAGGAATATATATTTTATTAACTGTAACAATACTGTATTTAGTTAAGAAAGTCTCCTTATTTTATAAGAGCTACATACTGAAGTTTTTACAGGTGAAATGGCATGATGTCTGGGATTTACTTTAAAACACAGCAAACAACTAAGAAAGAAAAAAGAGAGATTAAACAAATGGGGGAAAATATTTGTTTTTGAATCTAGGTGATGAGTTCTTACTTTTATTGATGTTTGAATATGCTAATTTTTTTTTTTTTTTTTTTTTAAGCAGGGTCTCACTCGCCGAGGTTGGAGTGCAGTGGCACCGGGTCTAGCCTGATAATGCTTCTAATATTTTTTTTTAAACTGAAAATCCTTAAGGAAAACCACTGAGCTCTCCCTGGTGAAATAGACTTCTACTTGACTTGCCAAGATGACACAGAAAGCTGAAAACAAGGGTAAACTTCTACAGGCACATAAGGACAAATTTTTCTGATAACAATTGTGCCTTTATTGTGTCCAATAAACGCTACAATAAATGTACTTGAGGCCGGTTGCAGTGGCTTATGCCTGTAATCCCAGCACTTTGGGAAGTTGAGGAGGGCAGATCACCTGAGGTCAGCAGTTCCAGACCAGCCTGGCCAACATGGTGAAACCCTGTCTCTACTAAAAATACAAAAATTAGCTGGGCATGATGGCGGGCACCTGTAATCCCAGCTATTCCAGAGGCTGAGACAGGAGAATCACTTGACCTCGGTAGACAGAGGTTGAATTAGGGTTAACGCCACTGCACTACAGCCTGGGCAACAGAGCGAGCAAGACTCCATCTCAAAAAAAAAGTAAAAATAAAAATAAAATAAAACAAATAAACTAAAACTAAATAAAATATTTTTAGGAAAGACAATGTAAATCAATAGTAAACATGTGAAAGGTGGCCCAATCCCAGGAGTTGAGTACATAATAAAAAAACAATGAGACCACTTTTACCCATCAGAAGTAGGAATAGTTATTAAACATTTCAGGAAACGAAAAGCCTATTATTAAAGTCAGAAATAATACATATACTCTCCCCTTGAGAATCTACCATTAGGAATGAAACCACCTGTACACTTAGGAATACATGAATAGAAATTTTAGTACTGAGTTTTTTCTGGCCAAAAAATACTAGAAAACAATGTCCTTTAATAAGAGAAGGGTGGAACAAATGATGATTTATGCACACGATGGGATTATATAGAATAGATATAACTATATATAAGTACATAAATACATTAATTTATAAAATATACATTATAATATACATTATGGCCAGGCACAGTGGCTCACGCCTGTAATTCCTGCACTTTGGAAGGCCAAGGCAGGCGGATCATCTGAGGTCAGGTGTTCAAGACCAGCCTGGCCAACATGGTGAAACCCCGTCTCTACTAAAAATACAAAAATTAGCCAGGCGTGGTGGCGGGCTCCACCAGCTACTCGGGAGGTTGAGGCAAGACAATTGCTTGAATGCGGGAGGCGGAGGTTGCAGTGAGCTGAGACCACGCCATTGCACTCCAACCTGGGCAACAAGAGTGAAACTCCGTCTCAAATAATCATAACCATAATATACATTGTTATATATATATACACCATGTTATGATATATATACTCTATATGGTGCATACAATATGTTCAACGTACATATAAAAATTATACCATACATAATAAGAGTATATTAGAATCATACCCATTGGTTAAGGATGTCTTTGGTATACTAGAGGGAAAAAATGGTGCAGAAAATATAGAGTACAATCCAATTTTGTAAACACATATACAAAAACCATATGTACAGTAAACACAAAAAGATTATATTAGTCAGGAGAATGCAAATCAAAACACATTCCAGTGTTTGAACACCCTGATTACAGCCAGTGCAGGGGCAAATATCCACCCTGGCCACATTCATAGTGACCCTGGGGATTTTTTGACCTTTTCAGTAATTAATCTGGCCAGTGCCCTATTATCTAACACTACCTTTTTTGGGTAATGTGTTTTCCAAGAGTCACTCTATAGTACATGACAGGTGCAATGAGAAACTCGAAATTAAGTTATTTTTTTTAAAAGAGACAGGGTCTTGCGATGTTGCCGAGGCTACACTCAAACTCCTGTCTCAGCCTCCTGAGTAGCTGGGAATACAAGCACGCACCACCATGCCTGGCTTAAAACTGAAAATTACAGCCGGGCACGGTGGGATTTATTATTTGTTGTTAACTGTATCAAATGCTGATTTTTTTTTTTTTTTGATACAAGAGTCTCACTCTGTGGATTAGGCTGGAGTGCAGTGGCACAATCTTGGCTCACTGCAAACTCTGCCTCCTGGGTTCAAGCGATTCTCCCGCCTCAGCCTCCTGAGTTGCTGGGACAACAGGCACACGCCACCATGCCCGGCTAATTTTTGTATTTTTAGTAGAGACGGGGTTTCACCATGTTGGCCAGGCTGGTTTCAAACTCCTGACCTCAGGTGATCCACCTGCCTCAGCCTCCCAAAGTGCTGAGATTACAAACATGAGCCACTGCTCCCAGCCTCAAATGCTAAATGCTAAATTATGATTAGCGTTTAATGACAATAAATATATGTGACCTTTTTCACATCCAAGATATCAGATACTCTGAATTCTAGCCAGACACTACCCAGGCACTCTGGGTTCAAAATCCCTGATCAAGAAGAAAGCAGAGGCTGGTACAAGTTTAGCAAATTTTGTCTCAGGGTTGGATGGTAGCCATCAAAAGGGCTCAGGGACCAGACGTCCTGGCTTCTGCCTGCAGTCCCAGCTACTTGGGAGGCTGAGGCGGTCAGATTATTTGAGCCCAGGAGTTCAAGGTTACTCTAAGCTATGATTGCATCACTGCATTCCAGCCTGGGTGACAGAGCAAGACCCTGCCAAAAAAAAAAAAGTGATTAGGGAGACCGGAGATTTTCACCAGTGTACTCCCAAGTTCTGCTTTGTATTTTAAGGAGGTTACTTTAAAAGTATACAATACAGGAGAGCACCGGTTGGAAAGGGCAAGAAATGTTTAGCACTTCCCTCAAGGGACTGGGGGTTGGGAGGGCGGATAAACTTCCTTTAATTTTAGGGATGGAAAAAAGCTTGTTGATTTGCATTGCCTTGGCTTGTGACTGCCATCTTTTCATATGTTTATCTGCTTGCATTTCCTTTGTGGTGTATTACCTTTTCAACACTGGCAGCCTGTTCTTATCGGCGGGGTGGGGCGGCGGCGGGGGGTCGGTGTGTGTGTTTTTCTGAATTTGCTGGGGGGATTATGGACTTCTCTTTTCTTCTTTTTTTTTTTTTTAAATAAGAACAATTACTAGTCCCTCACCTCAGTCTCTATTATCTGACCTCTGAGGCCACCCAAAGTTTGGTGTGGTATCTCTCACAACGTACAGGTGACTTTTGTGTTTTTGCTTTTTTTTTTGAGATCTCACTCTCGCCCAGCGTGGCAAGCAGTGGTGTGATCACTGTTCGCTGGTCACAAACTCCAGGGACCAAGTGATCCTCTCACCTCAGTCTCCTGAGGAGCTGGTATTACAGGCATGCTACCATACCAAGATAAAGTGCCTGGTTTTTATGGGTGCATGGGAGGACAATAAAGGAGAATGCCAACTTCGACTTCTAGTTAGTACGTCTCTCTCCTTGGGTATGGGGACATTTACTTTTTTTTAATAGCTTTATACTTTTAACACTATTTTCTTTTTTTCAATAGGCCATTTGTAATCTTCCAGTTATATATGCACACCTCACTCTTCTATGTGTGACATGCCATATTTTGAACATATTTTGGTTCAATAAGTAATTCCCTCAGCAGTGGGCATTCAAGTAATTTACAGGGTTTTGTTTTGTTTTGTTTTGTTTTCTTCTGTTTTTGAGACAGAGTCTCACTGTCGCCCAGGCTGAAGTGCAGGTGGCACAATCTCAGCTCACTGCAACCCCCGCTTCCCAGGTTCAAGTGATTCTCCTGCCTCAGCCTCCCGAGTAGCTGGGACTACAAGCGTGCACCACTGCACCCAGCTAATTTTTGTATTTTTAGGGATGGGGCTTCACCATGTTGGCCAGGCTGGTCTCCAGCTCCAGACCTCAGGTGATCCGCCCACCTCGGCCTCCCAAAGTGCTGGGCTGGGTGCGGTGGCTCAAGCCTGTAATCCCAGCACCTTTCGGGGCAGCAGGAGCACTTGAGGCCAGGAATTTGAGACCAGCCTGTGCAACATAGCAAAACCATCTCTAAAAAACTTTTTTAGATAATAAAAAATTTGGAATATATGAGCTTCTTAACCTACTACTAAACAAGATTGAGTAGCAGGACTAAACTATATATATATATATATATATATATATATATATATAATTTATTTTTTTTGAGAGGGCGTCTCACTCTTGCCCAGGCTGGAGTGAAATGGCAGGATCTCGGCTCACTGCAACCTCCACCTCCCAGGTTCAAGCGATTCTCCTGCCTCAGCCTCCCACGTAGCTGGGACTACAGGAGCGTGCCACCATGCCCAGCTAATTTTGGTACTTTTTAGTAGAGATGGGGTTTCGCCATGTTGGCCAGACTGGTCTCGAACTGCTGACCTTAAGTGATCTGGCCTCCTCAACCTCCCAAAGTGCTGGGATTACAGGTGTGAGCCACCACACCTGGCCCTACCTTTTAATCTTGAAGTAGTGAGAATGCAAAACCTGCAACAACTGTTATGTGAAACAAAATGTGGTTTCTAGCGATGACGAACTGTGGGTTCTGCTAATAGCACCAGACTGCAAAAGGGTCCTGACCCACACTAGATTATAAGTAGGGCTCATTTCTTTATCAGACCCAAGGTCATTTCCCTTGTTTCACTCTAAAATACCCCTCCCCAGTCCAGGCGCAGTGACTCACGCCTGTAATCCCATCACTTTAGGAGATGGAGGTGGAAGGATCACCTGAGGTCAGGAGCTCGAGACCACCCTGGCCGAATGGCAAAACCCCGTCTCTACTAAAAATACAAAAATTAGCCGGGTATAATGGCAGGCGCCTGTAATCCCAGCTACTTGGGAGGCTGAGGGAGTAGAATCGCTTGAACCCAGGAGGCGTAGGTTGCAGTGAGCGGAGATGGCACCATTGCACTCCAGCCTGGGCGACAAGAGCGAAACTCCGTCTCAAAAAATGAAATACCCCACCCCAACCCCACCCGCACACTTACCCGCCACTAATCCTACCCCTAATCCACTAAACTACTTACCAAGTCTCAGCAGTTCATCCGCCTCTGTACCTTCGCTGGGAAGACGAACTCCGCAGAGCAGGACTCGGGTCTACTCTAAGCTGTGCCTTGGTGCCTAGAATTCAAGTCAAGTTCATAACACCAAAGTTTAAGGTTTATTTAATGTAGAAAATCACCTTATATTGAAGACTGGGAAAAAAAAGCACTTATCTATGCATGTGTTTGCTTAAAAAGGCACACACAATTAGCAGAGTCTGGGGTGTAAGTCGGGAGAGGGCTGCAGGGAATGGGAGGACCCAGAGGTGGATCTGAGGAGGCCAGGGAGGGGCCGGAGAGAATGGTTTCTTCTTTGTGAGAGTTGGGGTCTATTATTATGGAAGGCACGCTTTCCTTTTGCAATTTGAACAAGAATTCGATTTGCCTAACAATCGGAGGAAATTGAAGAAAATGCAAAAGTTATTACTTCCAAATCAATTTTTCCAGTCACATAATTAAACACTTTTTTTTTTTTTTGAGACGGAGTTTCGCTCTGCCGCCCAGGCTGGAGTGTAGTGGCCCGATCTCGGCTCACTGCAACCTCCGCCTCCCCGGTTCAAGCGATTCTCCTGCCTCGGCCTCCCTAGTAGCTGGGACTACAGGCGCGAGCCAACACACCCGGCTAATTTTGTATTTTTGGTAGAGACGGGGTTTCCCAAGTTGGCCAGGATGGTCTCGATCTCCTGACCTCGTGATCCGCCCCCGCCTCGGCCTCCCAAAGTGCTGGAAAATAACACGCCCGGCCCTCCATCTTTTTTTATTTGAGACAGTTTCGCCCCTGTTGCCCAGTCTGGAGCGCAATGGCGCGATCTCGTCTCAGTGCAACCTCTGCCTCTCGGGTTCAAGCGATTCTCCTGCCTCAGCCTCCTGAGTAGCTAGGATTACAGGCATGCGCCACCACGCCTGGCTAATTTTGTATTTTTAGTAGAGACGAGGTTTCTCCATGTTGGTCAGGATGGTCTCGAACTCCGACCTCAGGTGATCCGCCCGCCTCGGCTTCCCAAAGTGCTGGGATTACAGGCGTGAGCCACTGCTCCCGGCCCCTCCATCCTTTTTCTAAAGCTAGGACTTGTCAAGCACCACCTCATTTTCTTGACTTTATTTTTTCTTCACAGAACTACTTTCATGTTTCCAATTTGGGGATAGATAAGTCTTAGGAGAGTTTTTTTCTCATTGCGCCACGGACAGTAAGGGAAAGAGCAGGGAGTCAAGTGAGGGGGCCAACTGCCTGCCCCTACCCGGGCCCCACGCACGCACCCGGATCAGCCTTGCCTGGGGCACCTCGGGCCTCACGTACCTGGGCCAGCCTTACCCGGGGCACCCCGCGCCCTTCGCGCCTGGACCAGCCTTATCCGGGGCACCCTGGACCTCACGCTCCTGGACCAGCCTTACTTGGGGCGCTGCGGACCCCACGCGCCTAGACCAGCCTTACCCGGGGCACCCCGGACCCCACGCCCCTGGACCAGCCTTACCCGGGGCACCCCGGACCCCACGCGCCTGGCCCAGCCTTACCCGGCGCGCCCCGGACCCCACGCGCCTGGGCCAGCCTTACCCAGGGCACGCCGGGCCCCATGCACCCGGGCCAGCCTTACCTGGCGAAAAAGGAATCCGCCTGGACGACTGAGGAGCGAACAAAGTGAGGATGGAGCCTTGTAACTAAGGACTGAGAGGATTCCCGATCTCTGGGGCTGGCTCCTCCCCTCCTGGTGTGTCCCAACCCCCTCTGTCTACATACCCGCGCCTCCTCCCCGGAAATCGCATTCCGCCCTAAGCAATTGCTGACTTCCATTGCTGCCCCCCGACTGAGTCCAATTCCCTCTGTCTCCACCGTGCCTCCGCTTGAACGAGCCCCACCCCTCAGACCCGACTCCAGACTCAAATCTGAATAAAGGCACCACTAAAGCGCCTCATCACCCAGGCCTGAACCCCAAGGTCACCTCATTCCTTTTCTTCAACCCTCGCAGTTAATCCATTCCTAAGTCCTTGAATTTGCCGGCGTCTCTCCAACTCCACAGCTCCAGCCCAGTCCAAGCCCCCGTTGTCTCTCACCTGGATCACTGAAATCACCTCCAACTGCTCCCTGGCCTCTCCCACGACCCCTCTGTAATCCTTCTCCCCCTCCAATACTGTTCAGTGGCTTCCTGTTTCGGTTAAATTTCTACCTTCTCATTCTATCCGGACTGCCCCTTCAACATTGTCTTAGCACTACTCTTACAACAGAAACACTCTCTTTCTGTTCCTCAAAAAACACGGAACTACCTGCCTCAGGGCCCTTGCACTGGCTGTTTCCTCTGCGAGTTATTTTTTTCTTTTTCTTTCTTTCTTTCTTTCTTTTTTTTTTTTTTTGAGACAGTCTCTGTTGCCACAGCTGGAGTGCAGTGGCATGATCTTGGCTCACTGCAACCCCGGCCTCCTGGGTTCAAGCAATTCTCCTGCCTTAGCCTCCCAAGTAGCTGGGATTACAGGAGCACGCCACCACTCCCGGAAAATTTTTGTATTTTTTTTTTTTCTTTTTGAGACAGAGTTTTCTTATGTCACCCAGGCTGGAGTGCAGTGGCGCAATCTCGGCTCACTGCAACCTCTGCCTCCTGGATTCAAGCGATTTCTCCTGCCTCAGCCTCCTGAGTAGCTGAGATTACAGGCCCATGCCACCACGCCTGGCTAGTTTTTGTATTTTTAGTAGAGGGGGGTTTCACCATGTTGGTCAGGCTGGTCTTGAACTTCTGACCTGGTGATCCGCCCACCTCAGCTTCCCAAAGTGATGGGATTACAGGCGTGCGCCACCACGCCTGGCCACCTCTTTATTTTCCCAGTTCTTTCAGGATGGCTTCTGTTCATCCTCAGGTCTCAGGTCCAATGTTAACTCCTCTAACAGGCCTCCCAGACTACCCTTTCTACAGGAGCCAAACTCCCCATATCCCAATACTCTTTTTTTGTTTTATTTTTGTTTCTTAAGAGAGGGTCTTGCTCTCTAACAGAGACTCAAAGGTTCTGGGTGGTTGGACTCCCCAGGCCTGACTTGCAAGGCTCAGGTGGAACTTGACTTGCCCAAAGTCATGCAGCTAATAAGCAAAGAAGCCTCAATATCTGGTAGTTCAGTCAATACACAGCATATGAATAAACAAAGAGAATTCGGTCTTTTGCTTTTAATCCCTTATTTCTTCTTACTGCCTAAAATCCCAGCACTTTGGGAGGCTGAGGTGGGAGGATCACTTGTTCATAGTTTAAAACAAAGATGATAACAGCCCTTTCCCGAAACAAACCCTGGGGATTTAGACTGCCTTTGCAGTACTAACAAATTAGCCACAGGATTAGAAATTATGGTTTAGGAGTCATGCAGCTGGAGGCTACAAGACTCTGACTCTCCCCAAATGGCTTCTGGGGATAAGACCACTACTGCAAAACCTAAGACCAGGGAGATATTCCACAGATATTTTGCAGATCCTGCACTTGACGGATCAGCTGGTACCACCCAGATCAATAAACTGGCTGATATGATCTTGGTGGCCCCCACCCAGGAATTGATTCAGCGCAAGAAGACAGCTTTGACTCCCTATGATTTCATCTCTGATCTGACCAATCAGCACTCCCAGCTCACTGGCTTCCCCCCTCCCACCAAGTTGTCCTTAAAAACTCTGATCCCTGAATGCTTGGGGAGATTGATTTGAGTAATAAAACTCTGGTCTCCCACACAGCCCACTCTGTGTGAATTACTCTTTCTCTATTGCAATTCCCCTGTCTTGATAAATGGGCTCTGTGTAGGCAGTGGGCAAGGTGAACCCATTGGGCAGTTACAATCACACCACTACACTCCAGCCTGGGTGACAGAGCAAGACCTTGTCTAAAAAAAAAAAAAAAAAAAACTGGGCAAGGTGGCTCAAGCCTGTAATCCCAGCACTTTGGGAGTCCAAGGCAGGTGGATCACCTGAGGTCAGGAGTTTAAGACCTGAGGTAAGCCTGGCCAATATGGTGAAACCCCATCTCTTATAAAAGTACAAATATTAGCCAGGCGTTGTGGTGTGTGCCTGTAATCCCAGCTACTCAGGAGGTTGAGGCAGGCGAATCGCTTGAACCTGGGAAACGGAGGTTGCAGTGAGCTGAGATCGTGCCACTGCACTCCAGCCTGGGTGACAGAGCAAGACCCTGTCTCAAACAAACAAAAAAAACGAAAATTTGAACACTGACTGGATATTTGATGATATTAAGAATAACTGTTGGGCTGGGCGCGGTGGCTCACGCCTGTAATCCCAGCACTTTGGGAGGCCGAGGCGGGGCGGATCACGAGGTCAGGAGATCGAGACCATCCTGGCTAAAACGGTGAAACCCCGTCTCTACTAAAAAATACAAAAAAATTAGCCGGGCGTGGTGGCCGGCGCCTGTAGTCCCAGCTACTCCGGAGGCTGAGGCAGGAGAATGGCGTGATCCCGGGAGGTGGGGCTTGCAGTGAGCCGAGATCATGACACTGCACTCCGGCGTGGGCGACAGAGCGAGACTCCGTCTCGAAAAAGAAAAAGAATAACTGTTAATTTCAGTGTAATAAGATTACTGTGATTAGATTTTTTAAAGGTTAAAGCCTTCTGTTACTTAAGATCACGTGTTCTTGGGCTCTCAGTGCAATAGAAATTGACATGAGGCTGAAGGAGTGTTCCCATACAAGGCTTGTTAGAGCTTATGCACAGACATAACGGAGAGGACTACCTGACTAACTCTGCTTTATTAGACAATCAGGGGTAGAGTATGCAGGTTGGGCTGGGCAAAGCACATGAGGGGTAGAGTATGCGGGTCAGCCTTATCTGGTTTTGATGGCTTTATTGAGTAATGGATCACCCACCTGGTGGTCTGGCGAACAGCAACAAGGCTGTAAATCAATTGTTCAGCATTTCTTCCTGAGGTGGGACACTCCACAACCTTAGTTTAATATTTAGATTTCCTAAAGCCAGTTCCCGGAATTCTTTTAAGTAAAAGGCAAGGTTAAACATTATGGGCGGGGTGCGGTGGCTCACGCCTGTAATCCCAGCACTTTGGGAGGCGGAGGCGGGCAGATCACGAGCTCAGAAGATCGAGAACATCCTGGTTAACACGGTGAAACCCCGTCTCTACTAAAAATATAAAAAAATTAGCCAGGCTTGGTGGCTGGCCCCTGTAGTCCCAGCTACTCAGGAAGCCGAGGCAGGAGAATGGCATAGAACCCGTAAGAGCCAAGATTGCACCACTGCACTCCAGCCTGGGCGACAGAGCAAGACTCCATCTCAAAAAAAAAAAAAATTATGAAAGAGGTGCTGTGCCCCATCCTTATTATATTTCACTTCCAGCCCTATGCTACTAGATTTGGGGTAAAAAGACTGGGTTCTGGGTTCCAATGGGCCAATCAAGGCCTATTTATATGAAGAAGTGGAGCTGGCTGGTGGCAAAGGGAATAGGCTAGTGAGGTGGTGGTGTCCTACAGCAGAGGCCTTGATGCTGGTGCATGCTGCCTCTACGGTACTTGGAGAACTTCCAGCAGATAAGTTGGCCTAAACAGTTGCTTTGTTTTGTTTTGTTTGTCCACTGAAGCATTTTATTTGTACATGTGTATTACATCCCTAGAAAAAGAATTCCAGGATTTTACTCGCTGTGTGTTTTCATTTTGCTTCTTCATGGCCCATGATGTCAGGTGAGGTTGTCAGTACAATGAAACCAAACAGAGGGGAAGGGAAGAGATTATTCTGCCATTTTTCTAGATCTTTGAGTTATATGTCGAATCTGGGCCTGATCACTGCACACTTGTGTAACCTTGTCTGAGAGATTCTCAACAATTTTCCCAGCTCTGTGATCATCGATGACCTCAAATTTGCCAATGTTCAAATTTGAACATTTGAACATGCTTCATCATCAGAGTGAGAAACCAGATGTTGTCTTTGGAGCAAAGCCTAATAAGAACCTAGCCTTTGCCTCTCTCTTCAGCATTGTTGATGCTCTTGAGAACATCTGCCAGGACATTTATGTGCACCATTATGGTGGCACAGTAAGACGGCAGAAAGAGCTTGTTGTTGTTGTTTTTAATTATTATTATTTTTTTTGAGACGGAGTTTTGATTTTGTTGCCCAGGCTGGAGTGCGATGGTGCAATCTCGGCTCACTGCAACCTCCACCTCCCGGGTTCCAGCGATTCTCCTGCCTCAGCCTCCCAAGTAGCTTGGACTACAGGCATGCACCACCATGCCCAGCTAATTTTTGTATTTTTGGTACAGTTGGGGTTTCACCATGTTGGCCAGGGTGGTCTCAAACTCCTGACCCCAGGTGATCCACGCACCTCGGCCTCCCAAAGTGCTGGAGTTACAGGCGTGAGTCAACATGCCTGGCCTTTTTAAAAAATATTCATGAAGTATTGTAAAATTCTGTCCATTAGTAACTAATATTTGAGAACATTTACAATATTAATGGAATTTAAAGATAAGTTAGATGTATGTTTTATTTTACATTTCAATACATCTTAATAGGAGATAAAAATAATTACGGTCACAATTATAATGGCAAAAACATATAAATGTTTGGTGTTAGAATATCTATATACAATTCAGTTTTTGGTATAAAGTTCTTGGTTGCCAAAAAGAACATTAGGTTAACTTCATTAACAGGAATATGTGTTAATGCTGGTATGGCTTCTTGGTATTTTTTTCGTTTGTTTTGTTTTGTTTTGTTTGAGACGGAGTCTCGCTGTGTCGCCCAGGCTGGAGTGCAGTGGCGGGATCTCGGCTCACTGCAAGCTCCGCCTCCCGGGTTCACGCCATTCTCCTGCCTCAGCCTCCCCAGTGGCTGGGACTACAGGCGCCCGCCACCACGCCCGGCTAATTTTTTGTATTTTTAGTAGAGACGGGGTTTCACCATGTTAGCCAGGATGGTCTCAATCTCTTGACCTCGTGATCCGCCCGCCTCGGCCTCCCAAAGTGCTGAGATTACAGCGCCTCGGCCTCCCAAAGTGCTGAGATTACAGGCCTGAGCCACCGCGCCCGGCCCTTGGTATTTTTTTCGCTGTTAATTTTTGGAATAGTTGCGTATGATTTTACGAATGGAGTTGAGTGGAGAGAGAGATACTCATTACTTTAGTGCCAAAAAAGAGTACATAACTGGTTACTATAGTACTAAGGAGGTAGACAGGTAATGCAACTGCCCAGTATTTTTGAAGCCAATAATTTAAGCATGAAGAATTTTGCCAAGATTCAGGAGCCAAAGTCCATAGTAGACAAGGCATGAAGCCAAATTGGGAGTTTAAGAAAAGAACAGAGCCATACATTGCTCTTTCTGGCAGATGTAATGGTGAATTCTCCATGACTATCCTACGGCTTTAGACAGTCTCAGCGCTGGGTCCTCTGTGCTAGTGATCAGGAAGCTGCAGGAGGGGGAGACAAGAAAAAATGAGGGAGGCCGGGCGCGGTGGCTCACGCCTGTAATCCCAGCACTTTGGGAGGCCGAGGCAGGCGGATCACGAGGTCAGGAGATCGACCCATCCTGGCTAACACGGTGAAACCCCGTCTCTACTAAAAATACAAAAATTAGCTGGGCGTGGTGGCGGGCGCCTGCAGTCCCAGCTACTTGGGAGGCTGAGGCAGGAGAATGGCCTGAACCCGGGAGGCGGAGCTTACAGTGAGCTGAGATTGCGCCACTGCACTCCAGCCTGAGTGACAGTGCGAGACTCCGTCTCAAAAAAAAAAAAAAAGAAAAATTGAGGGAAAGGTGAACATGCCATGGTGCCCCAACTCCATCCCAGTCACCCTAAGGCGACCAGTTTTCTGAGCCTCAACTTAAACATATATCTATTTTTAAGCGAATCTCCCTAAAAAGGCGACTGAGGTCTGAGAGATTCCCTTTTCTTACCCTTACCTGCCTTTTCCTCAATCTTTCTTTTCCCACTGTGTAAAAAGATGACATTTCTGAACTCATTTTTTTTAAAAGGAGTTTCACTCTTGTTGCCCAGGCTGGAGTCCAATAGCGTGATCTCGGCTCACTGCAACCTCCGCCCCCAAGGTTCAAGCGATTCTTCTGCCTCAGCCTCCCAAGTTGCTAGGATTATAGGTGCCCACCACCACACCTACGTAATTTTTTGTATTTTTAGTAGAGATTGGGTTTCACCATATTGGCCAGGCTGGCCTGGAACTCCAGACCTCAGGCGAGCCACCTCGGCCTCCCAAAGTGTTGGGATTACAAGCGTGAGCCACCGCACCCGGACTTCTTAACTCATAGGGGTATTTCTGCTGGGAAAAATCTGGTTGAGCGCAGGAGTTTGAGACCATCCTGGGCAACAAAGTGAGACCTTGTCTTTACTAAAAAGTAAAGACCCAATTAGCTGGGTGTGATGGCACACACCTGTAGTCCCAGCTACCTGGGGGGCTGAGGTGGGAGGATCACTTGAATCCAGGAGTTTGAGGTTGTAGCAAGCTGTGATTGTGCTACTGCACTCCAGTCCAGCCTGGGCAATGCAGTGAGACTCTGTTATTAAAAAACAAACAAAGCTGGGCGCAGTGGCTCATGCCTGTAATCCCAGCACTTTGGGAGGCCGAGGCGGGTGGATCACCTGAAGTCAGGAGTTCGAGACCAGCCTGACCAACATGGAGAAACCCTGACTCTACTAAAAATTAGCTGTGTGTGGTGATGGATGCCTGTAATCGCAGCTACTTGGGAGGCTGAGACAGGAGAGTCGCTTGAACCCAGGAAGTGGAGGTGGCGATGAGCTGAGATCGCACCATTGCACTCCAGCCTGGGCAACAAGACCAAAACTCCATCTCACAAACAACAACAACAACAACAAAAACAAACAAACAACAACAAAAAACAAGCCAGGTGCAGTGGCTCATTCCTGTAATCCCAGCATTTGGGAGGCCTAGGCAGGCGGATCACTTGAAGTCAGTTCAATACCAGCCTGGCCAACATGGCAAAACCCTGTCTCTGCCAAAAAATACAAAAGTTAGCTGGACATGGTGGCAGGCACCTATAATCCCAGCTACTCGGGAGGCTGAGGCAGGAGAATTGCTTGAACCTGGGAGGCGGAGTTGCAGTGAGCTGAGATCTCGCCACTGCACTCCAGCCTGGGTGAGGAGTGAGACTCTGTCTGAAAAACAAAAACAAAAAAAAACAAAAAAAAAAAACAAGAAAAAACAAACAAACAAACAAACGCCCGGGGGTGTGGTGGTTCACATCTGTAATCTCAGCACTTTGGGAGGCCGAAGTGGGCGGATCACCTGAGATCAGAAGTTCGAGACCAGCCTGGCTAACATGGTGAAACACCGTCCCTACTAAAAATACAAAATTAGCCAGGTGTGGTGGTGCAGGCTGTAATTCAAGGTACTTGGGAGGCTGAGGCAGGAAATCTCTTGAACCTGGGAGGCAGAGGTTGCAGTCAGCCGAGATGGCGCCACTGCACTTTTGTTTTTTGTTTTTTAAAGAAAAGTATATAGAAGCAGGCCTGGCATGGTGGATCATGTCTGTAATCCCAGCACTTTGGGAGGCTAAGGCAGGCAGATCACCTGAGGTCAGGAGTTTGAAACCAGCCTGGCCAACATGGTGAAACCCCGTCTCTACTAAAAATAAAAAAATTAGCCGGGTGTTGTGGTGGGCACCTGTAATTCCAGCTACTCAGGAGGCTGAGGCAGGAGAATCCTTGGAACTCGGGAGGCGGAGGCTGCAGTGAGCTGAGATCGTGCCACTGCGCTCCAGCCTGGGTGACTGAGGGAGACTCCATCTCAAGAAAAAAAAAAAAAAGAAAAATATAGAGAAGCAAACATAAATCACCTCAAATACTTTGACGTACATTCTTCCAGATTTTTCAGATTTTTTTCTATGTACATATGTGCTTATATAAAATATGAATTGTTTACATCTGTGAACTTTCTTTCTTTGAGGATTTTTTTTTTTTTTTTTTTGACAGGGTTTTGCCCTGTCGCCCAGGCTGGAGTGCAGTGGCGCAGTATCGGCTCACTGCAACCTCCACCTCCCAGGTTCAAGCAATTCTCCTGCCTTGGCCTCCAGAGTAGCTGGGATTACAGGTGTCCACCATAATGCCCGGCTAATTTTTGTCTTTTTAGTAGAGACGGGGTTTCACCATGTTGGCCAGGCTGGTCTCAAACTCCTGACCTCAGGTGATCTGCTCACCTTGGCCTCCCAAAGTGCTGGGATTACAGGTGTGAGCCACCGTGCCTGGCCTCTTTGGGAATTTTAATCAAAGTTGAGTTATATAAAAATTAATTGGGGAAGAATTACGTATTATTCAAGCTTTACAGCAATGAAGATGAAATCTCAGGCAAGTTACTTAACTTGCTTTGTGCCTATTTCCTGTAAAATGAGAAATACTATGGTATCAGCCTCATAGAATTGTTGATTAAATAAAGTCAAACATGCAAAGGTGCTTAAAATTGTGCCTATGGCATAGTAAGCCTTCCATAATTTTTTTTTTAATTTTTATTTTTTATACAAGGTCTCACTGTGTTACCCAGGCTGAAGTGCAGTGGCACAATCTCAGCTTGCTGCAACCTTTGCCTCCCAGGTTGAAGTAATTCTTTTGCCTCAGCCACCCTGAGTAGCTTGGATTACAGGAATGCACCGCCACAGCTGGCTAATTTTTGTATTTTTAGTAGTGATAGGGTTTTGGCATGTTGACCAGGCTTGTGTTGAACTCCTGACCTCAAGCAATCCACCCACCTCTGCTTACCAGTGTTGGGATTACGGATGTGAGCCACCGTGCCCAGCCCATAAATGTTTACTATTAACATTGTTAATGCCATCATTTGTTTAAAGTTTTTAAAAATTTTTATTATTTATTTATTAATTTTGAGATGGAGTCTTACTCTGTTGCCCAGGGTGGAGTGCAGTGGCACCATCTCAGCTGACTGAAACTTCTGCCTCCCAGACTCGAGAGATTCTCCTGCTTCAGTCTCCCAAGTAGCTGGGATTACAGGTACGTGCTACCATGCACAGCTAATTTTTGTAGTTTTGGTAGAGACGGGGTTTCACCATGTTGGCCAGGATGGTCTCGAACTCCTGACCTCAAGTGATCCACCTGCCTTGGCATCCCAAAGTGCTAGGAATACAAATGTGAGCCACCGTGCCTGGCCTCATTCTTTAAATTAGAGATGAGGTCTCACTATGTTGCCCAGTCTAGTCTTGAACTTCTGGGCTCAAGGGATCCTCCCATCTCAGGCTCCCTGGGATTACAGGTATGAGTCACCACGCCCAGCTGTTTAAACTTTTTGCATGTTTTTTTTTCTCTGAAATAGATCTTACACATTTTTTTTTTGTAGATATTATTCTTGAATAGCTGGGTGCAGTGGCTCATGCCTGTAAGCCCAGCACTTTGGGAGGTCGAGACTAGAGGATGGCTTGAGTCCAGGGGTTCAAGACCAACCTGGACAACATGACGAAACCCTATCTCTATAAAAAGTGTAAAAATTACCCAGGCATGGTGGTACGCACCTGTAGTCCCAGCTACTCAGGAGGCTGTGGTGGGTGGATCACGTGAGCCCAGGAAGTTGAGGCTGCAGTGAGCTGAGAATGCACCACTGCACTCCAACCTGGGTGTTGGAGTGAGACCCTGTTTAAAATATATATATTATATATATATATATTATTCCTGAGTAAAATTGTAAAATTGATGTTCATTACTATTGTGAATGATACTTTTCCCCTAGTCTATTCCTGATATGTAGGAAAGCAGTAGCTGATAGCCTATGGCTCATGTAGTAGCTCATAGCCTGGCAGTAGTTCATAGTCTAGCATTGAAACCGCCTTTGCAAAATTATGACTGAGACAGTGAAAGAGATCTAACCTAATCAGCTCTATCTTGCTTCTAACCTCCAAGCTGTCCCTGTTCATTCCTGGGCATAGGCTGAACTAACTTTGAGAGAAACTTAATTTATAGTTTAAAACAAAGACAATGACAGCCCTTTCTCAAAGCAGACCTCCTTCTTGCCGGGGGCCTAGATTGCCTTTGTAAGACGAATGCTAGCCACAAGATTAGAAACTATGGTTTAGAAGCCGGGCACGGTGGCTCATGCCTGTAATCCCAGCTCTTTGGGAGGCTGAGGCTCTTTGGGATCATTTGAGGTCAGGAGTTCCAGACCAGCCTGGCCAACATGGTGAAAGCCCGTCTCTACTAAAAATACAAAAATTACCCGGGGGTGGTGGCGCATGCCTGTAGTCCCAGCTACCAGGGAGGCCAAGGCAGGAGAATTGCTTGAACCCGGGGGGTGGAAGTTGCAGTGAGCTGAAATCGTGCCACTGCATTCCAGCCTGGGCAACAGAGCAAGACTCCATTTCAAAAAAAAAAAAAAAAAAAAAGAAACTATGGTTTAGGAGTCACGCAGCTGGAGGCTACCGAGTTCTGACCCTCCCTGAACTGCTCCTAAGATCAGTGCTTGAGATATTTTGCAGACCTTGCAATTGATGGATCAGCAGGTACCACCCAGATCAATACACTGGCTCATTTGATCTTGTGGCCCCCACCCAGGAACTGACTCAGTGCAAGAAGACAGCTTCAGCTCCTTATGTTTTCATCCCTGACCAATCAGCACTCCTGGCTCATTGGCTTCCCCCAACCCACCAAGTTATCCTTAAAAACTCTGCTTCCCGAATGCTCGGGGAGACTGATTAGAGTAATAAGAAAAGTCCGGTCTCCCACACAGCCGGCTCTGCATGAATTACTCTTTCTCTATTGCAATTCCCCTGTCTTGATAAATGTGCTCTGTCTAGGCAGTTGTTGGGAGAAAAGCTGAGTGTTGGGAGAGAAGCTGAGGCAGGGCTTGCATGTGTCCTAGACTTGCTGGCTCCTTGCTTCTAGCACTGCCATTATGTCAAGCAGCCATATGTTTCTCATTCACTTGATACACTGTTTCCTTTCAACCCCCACATCCTCACCACCTGTTTCTTTGTTGGATTACCAATAAATAGTGTGGGCTCCCAGAGCTTGGGGCCTTAGCAGCCTCCACAATAGCAATGGACCTCTGGTCCCACTTCTCTCTCTCAAACTGTCTTTTTCTCAATCCTTTGACTCTGCCGACTTCGTTGCCCCCACGACCTGGTGTTGGGTCTGATCACCCCAACATTCCTGGCTGCCCAACGTGGGGTGACAAAGACCCCAGTGAAGCAACGCTAGAGCATGGGGTCTAAAAGAAGCTTGACAGGAAAGCTGAGCACTTGGAAGAACCAGAGTAACAATGGGACAAAGTGAAAGCAGACATTCCGCTTATTTACATTTCTTAAGGCATTTATTACGAAGAGGGGGAGTAAGTTAGTACTCAGAATTTGTTATCACTCTTTAGTACAGTAAAGCAGTTTTGTCCATGGTTTCCTGAACAAGGGACTGTGGAGTTGGATGAATGGGAGAGAATTGGAAGAGATTTTAAAAAGGCATATAAAGAGGGAGCAGAAATTCCAGTTTTCATTTGGTCAGTGTGGGTGCTAATAAAGACGGCTCTTGAGCCATTTCAAACAGATGATGAGGCAGATTCAGATGAGAAAGAGGACAAGTGTAAAAAACTAACTTCAGATTCTGAGTGTGAGCAACAGCTACCAGAGGAGATTAAAGAAAAGAAAGGAAAATAAAAATATGTTTTACTAGCCCATCGCTTCCACCTGCTGAATTAAGTGAATGGCCACCTCCTGTCTCTCCCCTTAATGGGCAAGAAAAGAAATTAGCTGAAAAACTTACTGCTTCTGTAGTTGCAACATTAAAACCTGGAGCGATTGGTGGTACTATACAAAATTCTATTCAAAAAGCTACAGCCAAGGGAGACCTTGAAGCATGGCAATTTCCCATTACTATAATCCAGCAAGGAGGACAGAATATAACTAATTGGGCCGCTTTTCCTTTTAAGTTACTAAAGGAATTTAAGCAAACCATTAATACGGACCGAACCCTCCTTTTGTGCAAACTTTATTTAAAAATATGACTCTTGATAACAGGTTAACACTGTATGATTGGGATACTTTGACAAAATCTGTTCTCACTCTATCTCAGTACTTGCAGTTTAAAACCTGGTGGGCTGATGAAGCTCAAACTCAGACAAGGGAAAACATACAAGCACAGCCACCTGTGCCTGTTTCCTTTGAACAGTTAATGGGAGTTGGCCCTAATTGGGGTCGGTTAGAGAATCAAGCAGTAATGGAGGATGTTGCCATTGTTCAGCTGCGCTTTGTGTGCTTACAGGCGTGGGAAAGGATAAATGTTACGAGGGAAAAATATCCTTCTTTCAGTTCTGTCCGACAAGGACGTAAAGAACCATATGTTGATTTTATTGCTTGGTTCCAAGAGGCTGTGTATAAAGCCATAACTGATAAAACGGCTCAGGATGTTGTAATACAGCTTCTTGCATACGATAATGCTAATGCAGAGTGTCAAACTGCTATTAGACCCCTGAGAGGGAAGGCTCATTTAGCTGAATATATTAAGGCTTGTGATGGCATTGAAGGTAACTTACATAAGGCTACTGTTTTAGCTTGGGCTATGGCTGGATTAAGAGTAGGAAGGAGTATGCCCCATTTCTCAGGCTCTTGCTTTAATTGTGGGCAATTTGGACATACAAGAAAGGAATGTAGAAAAGGAAATCAAAAGGCAAAAACTACTGCCATCAATCAACAGAAAAGTCCCGGTATATGTCCCTGGTATAAGAAAGGCAATCACTGGGGAAATCATTGTCATTCTAAATTTAGCAAAGATGGACAACCTATTTCAGGAAACGGGAAGAGGGGCCCACCTCAAGCCCCTCAACAAACCGAGGCATACCCGGCACAGCCAGTGCCCTTACAAATGTAAAACAATTGTCCCCCGCCTCAGCAGGCAGTGCTGCTGCCTGTAGACCTCTACAGCACAATTCCCATCTCCTTACTTCTTGGGGAGCCACCAGAGAAGGTCCCCATGGGAGTTAGGGGACCCTTACCGTCAGGAACAGTCGGTCTATTACTTGGAAGATCTAGTCTAAATTTAAAAGGTGTTACTGTACATAGAGGAATAATTGACTCTGATTATACTGGAGAAATTAAATTAGTTATTAGTTCCTCGACTCTGTGGTCTGCCTCCCCAGGAGAGAGAATTGCTCAGTTGTTGCTGTTAACCTTACATAAAGCTAGGAAGCAGCACAGTGAAAAGAATAGGAGGCTTTGGTAATACTAATCCAGCAGGAAAGGCTGTGTATTGGGTTAATCAAGTGTCTGACAAAAGACCTATTTGCACAGTAACCATTCAGGGAAAAGATTCTGAAGGACTAGTAGATACTGGAGCTGATGTCTCTATTATTGCTGTAAATCAATGGCCCTGGCACTGGCCTAAGCGAAAGGCATCCATTGGTATTGTTGGAGTAGGAGCTGCCTCGGAAGTTTTTCAGAGTTCTTTGATTTTACCATGTCAAGGGCTGGATGGTCAGGAAGGGACAATTCAGCCTATCATTACACCTCTTCCTGTCAATATATGGGGTAGAGACTTATTGCAACAATGGGATGCTGAAATATCTATTCCTACGGATCAATATAGTAATAATAGTAGACAAATGATGAAAAATATGGGATATCGCCTGGGAAAAGGACTAGAAAAAGATAAATGACCAATCAGAACCTTTAGAATTAAAAGGGCAAACAGGTCGGACCAGATTGTGGTGCCATTTTTAGGAGCGGCCATTGTTGAGCCTCCGGCTCCCATTCCTCTTGTTTGGCTAACTGCCAAACTGGTTTGGGTGGAGCAATGGCTGCGGAAACAGGAAAAACTGGAGGCTTTAAAAGAACTGTTGCAGGAACAATTGCAAGAGGGACATATAGAGCCTACTTTCTCCCCTTGGAATTCTCCTGTATTTGTCATTAAGAAAAAAGCTGGTAAGTGGAGAATGTTAACAGATTTAAGGGCTGTTAATGCTGTGATTCAACCCATGGGCACACTATAACCAGGGCTGCTCTCCCCAACAATGATCCCAAAATACTGGATTGAATGTGCCTTAACTCGAAATGTGACTGATGAACAACTTTATCTTTTATTTCATTCTTTACAGCAAACAATACAATAAAGGCATTCACCTTTCTGTATCACTCATATGAGAGCACATACTAACCTCCTCGGCCCTTTAACTAAACTTAATCAAAGGGCGGATGCATTGTTGTCTGCAGCCTTTGCTGATGCACAAACATTTCATTCTTTAACCCATCTTAATGCCGCAGGCATTAGAAAAAGATATGGTCTATCATGGAAACAAGCTAAAGAAATTGTGCAACACTGTTCTGCCTGCTAAGTCCTGCATCTGCCACATCAAGGACCAGGAGTTAACCGTAGAGGTTTATCTCCAAATTCCATCTGGCAGATGGATGTAACACATATTCCTGCTTTTGGAAAATTGTCCTTTGTTCATGTTTCAGTAGGTACCTATTCACATTTTATCTGGGCCACATGTCAAACAGGGTAAGCTACAGCTCATGTTAAAGGACATCTTTTATCTTGCTTTTCAGTTATGGGAATCCCCGAAAAAATCAAAACTGGTAACAGCCCAGGATACTATAGTAAAGCCATGGCTACATTTTTTCAACAATGGAATATTACCCATACTGCAGGTATTCCGTATAACTCACGAGGACAAGCAATAGTGGAAAGAGCTAATATAGTACTTTAAAAACTCAAATACAAAAGCAAAAGGGGACCAGGAATATAAGACACCGCATATGCAATTGCATTTAGCTTTATTAACATTAAATTTTTTAAGTTTACAAAAAGATCAACCCATTACGGCAGCTGAACAACTCCTGACAGGACAAAAGGAAAATAAAAAGGCTGGACAAGATATATGGTAGAGGGATGCACATACAAAGAACTGGGAAAAAGGAAAGATAATTTTATGGGGAAGAGGATTTGCTTGTGTCTCTCCAGGTGACAATCAGGTGCCTGTGTGGGTGCCCACCAAACATCTAAAGTTCTATCATGAACCACAACATCTAGTGGACCCACCTGTACAGTGCAAATTGAAGGTTTAAGGATTGCTTTTAAGCCTTGATTTGCTTTCTCTGTGCCTTCTGTTAGAAGGGGCCTGCTTCTCGTTATCAACAGTAAGTTTTGCCCCATGGTAATTAACCAAAGAGGCAGAAGCTGAGTTACAAATGCTTCAGCAATAGCATGCCTCCCAGCTACAGCCACAAACGTTTTTGCTTCTGTTTCAGTAGATTTACTAACATGGGGGTGAAGGTATGCTTGTGTTTTTGCAGGAGATGAACAAACCACGTAGGTGCCCTCAAGATGTGTACGACCATGGAACAGGAGACTGGAAGGACCCATGGATCCCAACCATGGACTGGGTTCCCCTAGTATGAGCCATGCTGAGAAAGTGCTGGAGTGCCAGGGTTTTACCTATAGATACTTAACGAACCAATGCTTTCTGACTGAACTCCTCTCTACCCTGAATACAAGAGACCCTAATAGGTAGGCAGGAGTATCATCGCCCCTATTCAGCATGAAGTTACAGAAGGTGGACCTTCATCCTTCTGCAACCCCTAGGATTAAGGGTCCTCTGTAAAAGGGAAAGGGGAAATATGTAGGAAGCATTCAAACCAGAGCGACTCCATTTTGAATAAGGGCTAAGAAAAATGAAGCTGGATCACCAACTGGCAATTAAGGGCTGCACAGCCTGTGATTGCCTTGCTCAATTAATTTTAGAAAGAGGCCACCTTATGCTAGTAATAATGATAGCTGTGGCGGTTTTTACAAAAAAGAGAAGGGGGGCATGTTGGGAGAAAAGCTGAGTGTTGGGAGAGAAGCTGAGGCAGAGCTTGCATGTGTGCTAGACTTGCTGGCTCCTTGCTTCCAGCACTGCCATTATCTCAAGTAGCCATATGTCTCTCATTCACTTGATACACTGTTTCTTTTCAAACCCCACATCCTCACCACCTGTTTCTTTGAGCACCAATAAATAGCGTGGGCTCCCAGAGCTTGGGGCCTTCGCAGCCTCACACGATGGCCCCCTGGGCCCACTTCTCTCAAACTGTCTTTTTAATCATTCCTTTGACTCCGCCGGACTTCGTCGTCCCCATGACCTGGTGTTGGGTCTGATCACCCCAACAGCAGTGGGCAAGGTGAATCCATTGGGCAATTACAGCATCTCCTGGGAAAGATAGATTCTGTAAACAGGTAATTTTAACACAACATGTTAATTGAAAAGGTAAAAATAAGCAAGCAACAGGTTTCATGGAATGGCAGAGGAAGTTGCATTAGCAAAACTTGCAGAGGATGTCTGGGGAAAAGTTTCTTGGAAGTTGTAATAGGGAACTGAGTCTTGAAGAACAAGGCATTTTGCACAATGTGTGGATGCTGTGCTCTCATAAGTCAGGGAAAACAAACCTTGTAAACAATTTGAAGAGATTTATTCTGAGCCAAGTATGAGTGACCAAGGCCCAAGGCAAAATCTCAAGAGGTCCTGAGAACATGTGCCCAAGGTGTTGGGTTACAGGTTGGTTTTACACGTTTTAGGGAGACATAAGCATCAATCTAGACACGTAAGGTATGCATTGGTTTGGTTCAGAAAGATGGGATAGGTGGATACAAAGATTTTCTGATTGGCATTTGGTTGAAAGAGTTATTATCTAAAGGCTAGGAATCAATAGAAAGGAGTATCTGGGTTAAGATAAGGGGTTGTGGAAACCAAGGTTCTTATTATGTAGAACAGATGGTAAATGTCTCTTATCAAGCCTTAAAAGGTGCCAGACTCTAGTTAATCTCTCTGGATCAGGAAAAGACCTGGAAAGGGAAGGTGATTCTCTACAGAATGTAGATTTCCCCACTAGAATGTAGATTTGCCCACCAGGGCCATTTTAAAATATGTCAGAAGAATATATTTTGGGGTAAAATACTTTGGATTTCTTTCAGGGCCTGCTCTCTGTCATGTGAAACTATACTAGAGTCACGTTGGAATTTGGTATCTTATTGCTACAAAGAGTGGGCTTTGTCAGTCTTAGGATCTCTATTTTAATGGTTTGTTTTTGTTTTTGTTTTTGTTTTGAGACAGAGTCTCGCTCTGTCGCCCAGGCTGGAGTGCAGTGGTGCCATCTTGGCTCACTGCAACCTCTGCCTCCCAGGTTCAAGTGATTCTCCTGCCTCAGCCTCCTGAGTAGGTGGAATTACAAGCGTGTGCCACCACGCCTGGCTATTTTTTGTATTTTTAGTAGAGACGGGGTTTCACCATGTTGGTTAGGTTGTTCTTGAACTCCTGACCTCCTAATCCACCTGGCTTAGCCTCCCGAAGTGCTGGGATTACAGGCATGAGCCACCGCATCTGACTTTTTCTTTTTTTCATTTCTTTTGAGAGGAGGGCTTGCTTTGTTGCCCAGGCCGGTCTTGAACTCCTGGGCTCAAGCGATCCTCTCAAAGTGCCGGGATTACAGGCGTGAGCACCACACCAGGCCTAAAATCTCTTATTTTAATGTTAATGCTGGTCAGTTGTGCCTGAATTCCAAAAGGAGAATGGTATAATGAGGCTTGTCTGATCCCCTCTTCCCATGATGGCCTGAACTGGTTTTTCAGGCTTGCTTTAGAATGGGGGTGGGGGTCTCCATTCAGTTGGTTGGGGGGCTTAGAATTTCATTTTGATTCACACAAAACTAACTCTCAGTGGAGGTCCCAACGTGGTGGGCTCTGCATCTAGCCCTCACTGATGCCAGGACTCAAACTAGGAGCAAAGGAAGAGAACCAGCAAGATGGGTTCAACAATCTAGGGAACCTGGTGCATCCCCGTCCACTAGCCCTGGGACTAGAGGTGATTTTTTTTTTTTTTTTTTGATGGAATCTCGCTCTGTCACCCAGGCTGGAATGCAGTGGCGCGATCTTGGCTCACTACAACCTCTGCCTCCTGGATTCAACTGATTCTCCTGCCTCCGCCTCCCGAGTAGCTGGGACTACAGGTGCGTGCCACCACACCTGGCTAATTTTTTTGTATTTTTAGTAGAGATGGGGTTTCACCGTGTTAGCCAGGATGGTATCTATCTCCTGACCTCATGATCTGCCCACCTTGGCCTCCCAAAGTGCTGGGATTACCAGAGTAAGCCACTGTACCCGGCTGGGACTAGAGGTCTTCTCTCACTTGCACCTGGGGATGGAGGCTAGTTGCTGTTTTTCCTAAATTAAGGCCTACCCTCTTATAATGGCTGGCCCTAACTCTGCAGCCAATATATTAAAAAAAAAAAAAAAGGCGGAGGGATTAATTAGAGCTTTTTTATTTTTTATTTTTTGACATGGAGTCTTGCTTTGTCACCCAGGCTGGAGTGTAGTGGCACAATCTCAGCTCACTGCAACCTCCACCTCCCAGTTTCATTCCTGCCTCAGTCTCCTGAGTAGCTGGGATTACAGGCACCTGCCAACATGCCCGGCTAATTTTTGTACTTTTAGTAGAGACGGAGTTTCACCATGTTGGCCAGGCTGGTCTTGAACTCCTGACCTCCTGATCCGCCCACCTCAGCCTCCCAAAGTGCTGAGACTACAGGCGTGAGCCACCGCACCTGATGCTTAGAGCTTTCTTTTTGGGAGTGTAGTACTCTTCTAGCCTTGTGGACATGTCCTAATTTGCTATGCTTTCTGGAGAGAAGGGTGGCATCTATGGAGATGGGATGCCTATTCCCACCTGTTATAAGTCTTTCTCATTTCTCACTTGCCATCATAATTTCTGGGGAGCCCTCTTCTGACTTAAGTAATGAGATCAAGCAATTTCTTTTGAACAAGATTTCCATCTTTCTAGCCAGGCAGGAGCCAGGTAAATGGAAAACCTGCGCCATCTTCTGGCTAAGATGTGAGTAGCTTTCTGAAGAGTCATTGTTCTTTAATATTAGATACAGGTTTTCCTCTGCTTTTCTAGCTGTTAAATTGGAGGTTCTTCAAAGAACTTTAGAGTATGTACGCCTGTGCGTGTTCAGTGACGAATCAGGGAAGAAACTAGGTTGAAATACAGACTCTGATTTGTACATGTATACCTGCAGCGATCCAGGGTTCTGATGTAAACTGTTCATGGGCCACACTCTGAGAAACAGTAAAAATGTTGCAGTGAAGGCCAAAACTTCATTTCATTAAAGGGAAAATCTGATCACAAAACTCTCCAGATTAAAACAGCTCAGTTGTCCAGGTGGGGTAGCTCATGCCCATACTCCCAGCACTTTGAGAGCCCAAGGCAGGAGGATCACTTGAGGCCAGTAGTTTGAGACCAGCCTGGGTAACATAGTGAGACCCCATCTCTACAATAAATAAGTTAGTTGGGCATAGTGGCATGCCTGTAGTCCCAGCTACTAGGGACACTGAAATAGGAGGATTACTTGAACTCAGGAGGTGAAAGCTGCAGTGAGACGTGATCGTATCACTGCACTGTGGCCTGGGCAACAGAGAGAAACCCTGTCTCAAAAAAAAAAACAAAACAAAAAAACACAAGATCAGTGACTGCATAATGCTGAAAGGATAAATTCCACACTCCGTCAAGTGGCTTAGAGGGCCCTTCCTGAGCGGGACCCTGCCTGTCTGCCTGGTTGCCTGTCTTTCCACTTCTCTCGTCTTATGTTCCAGTCATACTTGATCCAGGAGTTTTTGGAATTCACTATTCTGGCATCCCACTTTGAAATGTTGCTGCTCTCCCTGGCCACCGTGCCATAGTACTCCTCATTGTTCCTTCACCTGACCACCTGGCTAACTCTTACTGTTCTGCAGCCTCTGCAGGTGGTTTTCCTGACCCTTCTTGTACCTCTCATGTCTTTTTTTTTTTTTTTTTTTTTTTTTCCCCGACATGGAGTCTTGCTTTGTTGTGTAGGCTGCAGTGTAGTGGCGGGATCTTGGCTCATTGCAACCTCCGCCTCCTGGGTTCAAGCGATTCTCCTGCCTCAGCCTCCCTAGTAGTTGGGATTACAGGCACCCACCACAATGCGTGGCTAGCTTTTGTATTTTTAGTAGAGATGGGATTTCACCATGTTGGCCAGGCTGGTCTAGAACACCTGACCTCAAGCGATCCACCCCTTTGGAGTCCCAAAGTGCTGGGATTACAGGCATGAGCCACTGCACCCAGCCCTCAGCTCATATTTTTGTTGTTGTTGTTGTTGTTTTTGAGATGGAGTTTCACTCTTGTTGCCCAGGCTGCAGTGGCTCAATCTCAGCTCACTGCAACCTCCACCTCCTGAGTTCAAGTGATTCTCCTGCCTCAGCCTCCCAAGTAGCTGGGATTACAGGCATGCGCCACCACACCCAGCTAATTTTGCATTTTTAATAGAGACGGGATTGCTCCACGTTGGTCAGGGTGGTCTTGAACTCCCAACCTCAAGTGATCTGCCCACTTCGGCCTCCCAAAGTGCTGGGGATTTACAGGCGTGAACCACCTTGCCTGGCCTCATGTCATTTTTTAATAAGAGACAGTTTCACTATGCTGCTGAGGCTGGGGTACAGTGGTTTTTCACAGGTGTGATCACAGCACACTACAGCCTCAAACTCCTGGACTCATTCAGTCCTCCCGCCTCGGCCTCCAAAGTGCTAGGATTACAGGCATGAGCCACTGTTCCTGACCAGTAAGTTGTTTTTGTTTGTTTGTTTGTTTGTTTTTTGAGACAGAGTCTTGCTCTGTCACCCAGGCTACAGTGCAATGGCATGATCTCGGCTCACTGCAATCTCTGCCTCCTGACTTCAAGTGATTCTCCTGCCTTGGCCTCCCGAGTAGCTGGGATTATAGGCATGCACCACCATGCCCAGCTAATTTTGTATTTTTAGTAGAGGCGAGTTTCTCCATGTTGGTCAGGCTGGTCTTGAACTCCCGATCTTAAGTGATCTGCCTGCCTTGGCCTCCCAAAGTGCTGGGATTACAGGCATGAGCCACCACGCCTGGCCTACAAATCAATTTTAATTACTGTCAGGGCCGGGCACGGTGGCCTACGCCTGTAATCCCAGCACTTTGGGAGGCCGAGGCGGGTGGATCACTTGAGGTCAGGAGTTCGAGACCAGCCTGACCAACATGGTGAAACGCCATCTCTACTAAAAATACAAAAAAATTTAGCTGGGGATGGTGGTGGGTGCCTGTAATCCTAGCTACTCGAGAGGCTGAAGCAGGAAAATCATTTGAAACCGGGAGGTGGAGGTTGCACTGAGCCGAGATTGCACCATCACACTCCAGCCCGGGCAACAAGAGGGAAACTCCATCTCAAAAAAAAAAAAAAAAAAAACGACCACTAAATCTGCTAGTGTTTTCCTTTTTTTTTTTGAGACGGAGTCTTGCTCTGTCACCCAGGCTGGAGTGCAGTGGCTCGATCTCAGCTCACTGCAAGCTCCACCTCCTGGGTTCACACCATTCCCCTGCCTCAGCCACCCGAGTAGCTGGGACTACAGGCGCCCGCTACCACGCCCAGCTAATTTTTTGTATTTTTTAGTAGAGACGGGGTTTCACCATGTTAGCCAGGATGATTTCGATCTCCTGATCTCATGATCTGCTCGCCTCGGCCTCCCAAAGTGCTGGGATTACAGGCGTGAGCCACCGTGCCCGGCCTCTGCTAGCATTTTCTAAGTGTATCCTATAATAGCAATCTTACTTAGAGTACTCAAAATGATAAATTCTAGCAACAAGTCTCCTTCAGAGTGCAGACATTGGAAAGGAGCAGGATATGGGCAGGGTGGGGGCGGGGGGGCACCCGAGGACTGAAATCCATGGCCAAACCCTGAAACCCTCACATCTGTATCTTGTTGCTCAATGTCCAGGCCAGGCAAATGGATCTAACTGGCCAATGGAAAAGCTGGGATTAGAAGGCAATGGAACCTGGTCATAGTCAGAGACAAAGCACCAACAGGTATGAGGATCACGTCCACCTTCCCGTACTGTCAGTTAATAACCTGGCTGGGGTTGAAACTGACCTTCTGAGGCTCTGGCCACACTGGAGGTCAGGAATGCTTGCACTACAGCCAGGCCTTTTCTGCCTTCCCTCCCCTCCTGTCTGGTTCCTACTGAGGACTCAGCTAAATGAACATGTTTTTCTCCATTGGTCTGGATGGTTCCAGAGACAATCAGCTGCAGTGCTACAGTGGAAAGTTGGAAGGAAGAGAGTGAGTTTGGGAGGATGTGGCCCAAGCCTGGACTGACTTCATTTCTAGCCTATGAAGATGATTAAACAGCGACTTAGGGTCTAAAGACCAGTACCTTCCAGGTAGCTCTTTAGGTCTGGAATTCTCAGCTCTGCATTCCCTCTCTCAAGGTCTCATCTCTTCCGGAAGAGTTAGTTGGTTATCTGATGGGATAGAAAATCTGAATATTGGGCCAGGTGCTGGTGGCTCACGCCTGTAATCCCAGCACTTTGGGAGGCTGAGGCCCCTGAGGTCGGGAGTTCGAGACCAGCCTGACCAACATGGAGAAACCCTATCTCTACTAAAAATACAAAATTAGCCGGGCATGGTGGTGCATGCCTGTAATCCCAGCTACTCGGGAGGCTGAGGCAGGAGAATCGCTTGAACCCAGGAGGCGGAGGTTGCAGTGAGCAGAAGTCGTGCCATTGCACTTCAGCGTAGGCAACAAGAGCGAAAGACTCCATCTCAAAAAAAAAAAAAAAAAAAGCAAAAAGGTCTTATAGGGAAAAGAGAGATCAGACTGTTAGTGTGTCTATGTAGAAAGGGAAGATATAAGAAATTTCATTTTGACCTTACCCTGAACAATTGCTTTGCCCTGAGATGCTGTTAATCTGTAACTTTGCCCCAACCTTAAGCTCACAAAAACCTGTGTTGTATGAAATCAAGGTTTAAGGGATCTAGGGCTGTGCAGAATGTGCCTTGTTAACAAAATGTTTACAAGCAGTATGCTTGGTAAAAGTCATCGCCATTCTCTAGTCTCGATAAACCAGGGGCACAATGCACTGCGGAAAGCCGCAGAGACCTCTGCCCTGGAAGGTTGGGTATTGTCCAAGGTTTCTCCCCATGTGATAGTCTGAAATATGGCCTCGTGGGATGAGAAAGATCTGACCATCCCCCAGCCCGACACTCGTAAAGGGTCTGTGCTGAGGTGGATTAGTAAAAGAGGAAAGCCTCTTATAGTTGAGATAGAGGAAGGCCACTGTCTCCTGCCTTTTCCCTGGGAACTGAATGTCTCGGTATAAAACCCGATGGTACATTTGTTCAATTCTGAGATAGGAGAAAAACCACCCTATGGCGGGAAGCGAGACATGTTGGCAGCAATGCTGCTTTGTTATTCTTTACTCCACTGAGATGTTTGGGCAGAGGGAAACATCAATCTAGCCTACTTGCACATCCAGGCATAGTACCTCCCTTTGAACTTAATTATGACACAGATTCTTCTGCTCACATGTTTTGTTGCTGACCTTCTCCCTATTATCACCCTGCTCTCCTACCACATTCTTCTTGCTGAGATAGTGAAAATAATAATCAATAAAAACTGAGGGAACTCAGAGACCGGTGCCGGTGCAGGTCTTTGGTATGCTGAGCGCCGGTCCCCTGGGCTCACTTTTCTTTCTCTATACTTTGACTCTGTGTCTTACTTTTCTCAGTCTCTCGTCCCACCCAACTAGAAATACCCACAGGTGTGGAGGGACTGGCCACCCCTTCAAGTCTGAATGTTGTTTGCCTGGGAGTGAAATTTCCTGTAACTCCTTGAGGAGCTTTAAAAAAAAAAATACCGGTTCTTAGATTTCTCCCTTTCTCCCCCTACTCTGGGGTGTGCTTGGGCATTGAGCCTTTAAAATATCCCCAGGTGATTTGAATGAATAGCCCAGGTTAAGAACCACTGCCCTAAAAAGAGCAGCAGGTTTGTGCTATTTCTTTTTTTTTTTTTTGAGACCGAGTCTCACTCTGTCATCCAGGCTGGAGTGCAGTGGTGCAATCTCAGCTCACTGGAACCTCTGCCTTCCGGGTTCAAGATCCTCCTGCCTCAGCTTCCCGAATAGCTGGGATTTACAGGCGCCCCCAAGCCCGGCTAATTTTTGTATTTTTAGTACAGACGAGGTTTCACCATGTTGGCCTGGCGGGTCTGAAACTCCTGACCTCAAGTGATCCACCCGCCTCGGCCCCAAAGTGCTGAGATTACAGGCATGAGCCACCGCACCCTGTCAGGTTTGTGCTTTTTGGACAGGTGGGGCTGTGTGTTGTACCTGTCTGCTAACAAATGTTCATACACCTGGGCATGGTGGCTCATAACTGTAATCCTGGCACTTTGGGAGGTTGAGTGGGAGGATCGCTTGAGGCCAGGAGTTTTAGACCAGCCTGAGCAACATAGTAAGACCTCGTCTCTACAAAAAATTTTAAAAAGCCCACTGTGGTGGTGTGTACCTGTAGTCCTAGCTACTCAGCAGGCTGAGGCAGGAGTGTTATTTGAGCCAAGGAGGTCGAGGGTGCAATGAATCCTAGTCTCACCACTGCACACTAGCCTGGGTGGCAGAGTGAGACCCTGTTTTAATAAAAAAAAAAGAAAGAAGTTCAGTCTGGGTGTGCTGGCTCACGCCTGTAATCCCAGCACTTTGGGAGGCTGATGTAGGAAGATCACTGGAGCCCAGGAGTTCAAGACCAGCCTGAGCAACATGGCGAAATCCTGTCTCTACTAAAAGTACAAAAAATTTGGTGGGTGTGGTGGCATGCACTTGTAGTTCCAGCTACTGGGGAGGCTGAGGTGGGAGGATCACCTAAGCCTGGGAGGTCAAGGCTGTGGTGAGCCATGATCGCGCCACTGCACTCCAGCCCAAGCAATAGAGTGAGACCCTGTCTCAAGAAAAAAAAAAAGTTCGTACAGGTGCAGACTCAGTCTGAGACTGGTTCTAACAGGTAAAATACCTCCAGTGGCAAGGCAGCAAGGAAGGAGCCTTGTGTTTCTTTCTGCCTTTAGCCACTGGAGGCAGAAAAGAACTCGGCAATTTGTGAATGACCACAGACTGGAAAAAAAGGGGAGTGTTCTCCAGGCTTTCAAAGTTTAGTGTTTAGAATCACCAGAAGAGCTTGTTAAAACTCAGATTTTTTGGCCCTACCCCAGAGATTCTGATGCAGTTGGTCTAGGCTAGGGCATACATTTGCACCTCTCCTAGGTGATGCTGATGATGGTGGTCTGCAGTCACATCTTGAGCAGCAGTGCTGTCTATGCCAATGGATAGTGTGCGCAAAGGCCTAAGGGTGTGAGAGTCCGGCTTATCCTGGGATAAGTGCTTAGTGAGACGAGAGTTAACACGACTGCTGGAGGTTAAGGTGGAAGCTAAATTATGAAGAGCCTAACATCCATGCTGAGTTTAGACTTGACCCTGAGTCCACTGAGAAGCCACCTAATTAGGTATACAAATACTTAGGGTCCTTGGGTGGTGGGGTGGCAGAGGCAAGATCTCAAGCCATCTGCTCCTGAGGGTTCTGGGATGGTAGAAGTGATGATGGTGACTGCACCACAGTTGTGGACACCAGAGGGGGCGGGAGGCTGGAAAGGGGTTGTAAACAAGGATAGTGGACACTTCTGCACTTTCCCTAAGGCAAGGCCGTCCCTAGAGGGGTCTGTTCAAGGTCTCATGATGTCTGATGCTTGATCTGTGAATTTGGAGGGTGTTTTTGGATGAGATCAATGTTCCTTTTTTTGTTTGCTTTGTTTGTTGTTGAGATAGGGTCTCGATCTTTCTCCCAGGCTGGGGTACAGTGGCGCCATCTCAGATCACTGCAGCTTCTGCCTCCTGGGCTCAAGTGATCCTCCCACCCTCAGCCTCTGGAGTAGCTGGGACTTCGGGCACGTGCCACCATGCCCAGCTGTGAAACATTCTTCACAGAAAATTATCTTCTGGGTCTTGAGCCTGCTGGCCCACAGTGTAGATTTTGGACTTGCCCACATCCGTAACTGCAAAAGCTAATTCCTTATGATAAATCTTTCTGAATACATACAAATCCTCTCGGTTCAGTTTCTCTGGAGAACACTAACTAATACAATGTTGGACAGGAAGTTTCTGCTCTCAGTCTTTAAGAACAGGTGAATCTTATTCCTCATGGCATGGGGGCCACTGGAGTATGTTTCTTTTCTTTTTGGGGGGAGTGGGAGAGGAGGAACAGGGTCTCACTCTGTTGCCCAGGCTGGAGTGCAGTGTGTGATCATCGCTTACTGCAGCCTCGACTTCCAGGCTCAAGCGATCCTCTCACCTCAGCCTCCAAAGTAGGTGGGGCTGCAGGTGCGTGCCACTGTGCCAGGCTGATTTTTTAAGTAATTTATTATTTTTCAGATAGGGGCCTTACTGTGTCACCCAGGCTGTAGTGCACGATCAAGGCTCACTGCAGCCTCAATATCCCTGGGCTGAGGTGATTCTACCACCTTAGCCTCCGGAGTAGCTGGGACTACAGGTGTGCCACCAGGCCCAGCTCATTTTTGTGTTTTTTGTAGAGACAGGGTCTTGCCATGTTGCCTAAGCTGGTCTCAAACTCCTGTGCTCAAGCAATCCGTCCACCTCAGTCTCCCAAAGTGTTGGGATTACACATGTGAGCTACTGAGCCCAGCCTAATTTACTTTTTGTGGAGATCAGGTCTCACTATGTTGCCCTAGCTGATCTCGAACTCCTGGGTTCAAGTGATCCTCCACTTTAGCCTCCCTGGACTGTTTTCAGACAGCTATCCTGAAGTTCCCCAAAGAGTAACACATGGCTCTGGGGTTGAGAGGAGTTGAATGATGGAGTCCCTTTAAGACATTACCGTTTCTTCTGTTCTCCTGGGAGAGTAATGCTGGGGGCATGCCCAGTAAAGCCATTAGGCAGGAGGAGCCATTGAAACACCTCATCTGTCATCAACTATGTCTATCTAGAGAAGAAGAAGGTTTAAACCATGAGGGGGGAGGGTATCCAGAGTGCCTGGCCTTGGAAATTCTTCCCAGGATGTGGAGATATACGGTGAGTGGATAGACTAGGTCTTCTTTGTCTACATCCAAAAGATGTGTCCTTTTTTCATTTGTTTGTTTTCTTCTACTCTTTATTTTAATCTTTTTTAAATCTTGTGCTTGTATTGTGGAACCAAATCTTGTGGTTGTGTTGAGGGAAAACTGAAATAAACTTACAAATTCAGGCTGTGCACACACATGTTTATAGTGGCTTTATTCCTAATTGCCAAAACTTGGAAGCAACCAAAATGTTCTTTAGTAGGTAAATGGATAAACTGTGGTACATCCACACAACGGAGTATAACTCAGTGCTAAAAAGAAATCAGCTATCAAGTCATGAAAAGACATGGAAGACGGGCTGGGTGCCGTGACTCACGCCTGTAATCCCAGCATTTTGGGAGGCCGAGGCAGGTGGATCACCTGAGGCCAGGAGTTCATCACCAGCCTGGCCAACATGGCAAAACTCCGTCTCTACTAGAAATACAAAAATTAGTTGGGTGTGGTTGCGCACGCCTGTAATCCCAGCTACTCAGGAGGCTGAGGTAGGAGAATCGCTTGAACCTGAGAGGCGGAGGTTGCAGTGAGCAAAGATTGTGCCACTGCACTCTAGCCTCTGAGACAGAGAGAGACTCCATCTCAAAAAAAAAAAAAAAAATTGGTTTCCATGGTTGGGAAGGGGGTTGGAGAAGAATAGGGAGCACACAAAGGACTTTTAGGGCAGTGGAAATACTCCATATACCTTTATGGTAGGCACATATCATATATTTGTCCAAACCCATAGGATGTACATCACCAAGATTCAACCCTCAGGTACTCTATGGAGTTTGGGTGAGAATGATGTGTCAATATAGGTTCATTCACTGTAGCAAATGTACCATTCTGGTGGAGGATGTTGATAATGGGAGAGGCTGTGTGAGTGAGGGCACAGGTATGTGGGAAAGCTCTGCACCTTCCTCGCAATTTTGCTGTTAACTTAAAACTGCCTTTTGAAATTTTTTCGCAGACAGGGTCTTACTTTGTGACCCAGGCTGAAGTGCAGTGGTGCAAACACAGCTCACCATAGCCTCAACCTACCAGGCTCAAGCAATCCTCCCACCTCAGCCTCCCGAGTAGCTGAGACTATAGGCACAGGCCATCATGCCTGGCTAATTTTTGTATTTTTTGTAGAGATGGGGTTTCACCATGTTAGCCAAGCTGGTCTCAAACTCCTGGGCTCAAGTGATCCTCCCACCTCGGCCTCCCAAAGTGTTGAGATTACAGGTGTGAGCCACCGTGCCTGGCCAAAACTGCCCTTAAAAATAGTCTTAACACAGCGAGAGCCCCATCTCTACAAAAAGTTTAAAAAAAAAAAAAAAAAAAATTAGCCAGACGTGGTGTCGCACACCTGTAGTCCCAGCCAGTTGGAGAACTGAGGTGGGAGGGTCACTGGAGACGGGGAGTTTGAGGCCACAGTGAGCCGTGATTGCATCACTGCACTCCAGCCTGGGTGACAGAGTGAGACCCTGACTCAAAAGAGGAAAAAAAAGCTCTCGAGAATATTTCGAACTAATTTAGTAGCCATGTGTGAGTACTCTACCGTAGTTTGCTAAGTTGGTGAATTCCCACTAAGGTTTATTGGAAAACTCTTAGGACTGCAAGCTAGTGGGGGACTGGGATAGTCACTTCCTTTCTCTGGCACGCGTCTCCCACTTGTAAAATGGGAGGAGTGGTGTAGCAGGCAGGACCGACTCCCAGTTCTGAGGTTGCCTCCATTTCAAAAAAACTGATTCTAGAAGGAGGATCAGATACATGTTTGTTCCTGTATAATTTTGCCAAGCATAGGTCCTGATACCCAACAGCAATCTCTCAGGGACCCAAGACCAAAGCAACTTTCTTGCTTCCTCCTTCACATGACTGGAAATGGATATGCTGCTCAGGCAAGGCAGGGGTGAGAGTCTTTTATACACCGTCAAACACACACACACACATGACTCTTCCAAATGTCAGTTTATCTTGGGATTGTGTAGAGAGTGAAATGTTTTTTTTTTATCTTTACTTAAATATAGAGCATCTGAAGATTGAAAGTCAAGCTGTCAAAAACTTAACATTTGCACTAGGCTGGCATACAACTGAGACTATAACCTAAATTTAAATTTTTGTGTTAAAAAAAAAACTCACTGTTCTGGTTGACTTTAATAGAAAAAATATAAATAAAACATAAAATTAAGAAAATTGGGTGCAAAAAATTTTAGTTGTGCCAGACAAGGTGGCGTGCACTTGCAGTCTCAATTACACAGGATGTTGAAGTGCAAGGATTGCTTGAGCCCAGGAGTTCAAGGCCAGCCTGGGCAACATAGCAAGATCCTTGTCTTAAAAAAAAAAAGAACAAGAAAAGAAAAAAGGAAAGGAAAGAAGGAAGGAAGGAAAGAAAGAATTAAGACTTACCTATGGTTCAGGAAACAACTGTTTCATGTGCTTACTTTGAAACTTGAAAACCAATGCTGTAAGGAAAGGAAATGTTGCTGAATCTCCCATGAAAAGAAGGCTGTAGGCCAGGCACAGTGACTCACGCCTGTAATCCTAGCACTTTTGGAGCCTGAGGTGGGCAGATCACAAGGTCAGGAGTTCCAGACCAGCCTGGCCAATATGGTGAAACCCTGTCTCTACTAAAAATTCAAAAATTAGCTGGGCATGGTGGCACGTGACTGTAGTCCCAGTTACTTAGGAGGCTAGACAGGAGAACTGCTTGAACCCGGGAGGCAGAGGTTGCAGTAAGCCAAGATCACACCACTGCACTCCAGCCTGGGCGACAGAGCAAATCTCAAAAAAAGAAAAAGAAATGGCTGTCGTTCTGATCCTGATAATGAGTATTCCTGAAGAGGGGATATCTTCCCTAGGTCACCTGGGCAGGTGTGGCTGTGAACAGGGGTTGGGGAAGGATGCCAACCACTGAGTCAAATGGGCTCTCAATTCTAGAAGTTAGGAGAAACCAGGGACCTTATTGGTAGAGCGCTCCCTTAAGTGTAAAATGCTTACATGAGATTGAATAATCATATTGTGAGACATTTATTCCCAGTAGCATCAAGGATACAGGACTTTTGCTTCCGCATGAAGGATAAGGTGCTCTGGGAATTGCCCTCCCACTGTAGTAAACAACTAGAAAAATGGACATAATATATGAAACATTTTTAGACATCAGATAACAGGCAGCATAGGATTTTGATCCCTGCAAGAAGGAAAACAAGGTAAATTCTACAACTGTCCCAGTTTTATCCCTGGAGGCAGTATCCATGTCACACTCAGGAAGGGGAAACTCACACAGAGTCCACGAGTAGAGGAGAAAGAGATTCACGTTCAGGGAGGCCAGCCAAGTTGGCTAGAACATGTAGTGTCTGGAAAGGAGGGAGCTGTAGGTTGACAGAGCCATGGAGATCGCCTCTTTGTCAAATACTCACCTGCACATGCATGAAAGGGCCAGGAAAGAAACATTAGAGGTTGGCTGGGCATGGCGGCATGGATCCTGAGCCACTGCGCCCATCCTAATTTTTGTATTTTTAGTAGAGACAGGGTTTTGCCATGTTGGCCAGGCTGGTCTTGAACTCCTGACCTAGGTGATCCATCTGCCTCGGCCTCCTAACGTGTTGGGATTACAGGCGTGAGCCACCATGGATTCCAGATTTTAACAGGACACCAAAAAACCTTGTGAAAAGTTGGACTTTTTTTTTTTTTCTATTAGGGAAGAAAATGCTGAAGAAAAAGCACAATTAGATCCAGAAAGTACACTTTTTCATATATAATAAAACTCCATTTGCTCTGTAGGCAACTACATTTATTTAGAATCTTTGGAAATATCTTACACATACAAACATTCAGCAGTTTTATTCTTCCTGGCTTACTTCCCTCTCATGCTAATTCCGATTAGTGATATCATTACTATACTGAAATGGCCCAAATGATGAGGCCAAATATAAGAGCACTACTTCTTTCACAAATTTCCATCTTCATAGCCTCTCAGCTTGTCAGTAAGTTCTGAGGCAAAAATATCTTTTTGGAAAGGCAATTACGTATTAGTCATGTGAGCGGAGACAGAACCGATTATGACAAGTACTAGTTCTATCAATTTAGTGCAGTAAGAAGTATAAAGCATCATAATTCCTTCATCAATATACTTTTACTAGCACGACCTAAAAGGATAATGTATAAAGAAACACCACAACAATGTATTATCTCAAAATGTGTATTTAATGGCCATTCCATCAAAATAAAGCAGAATCCCATTTCAAAACTATTATATGTATATATATTTTTAAGGTGCATTTTCAAGTTTTATTTGGGTTTCATTTCTTCTTGGCTTGCCTGAGGTGTTCTTGCAGGTACAATTAACACAAAATGTTCTGAGGGTAGTAGCTTTTCATGCACTGAAGAATGAGATCCTAACAACATTGCACATCTTGGATACATTAGAAATTTTAAAAGCCATGTGTAATTTCAGAAAACTTAATACCGTCATGAAAGACATTTTCAACACAAAATTTAGGCACTCTATACTTTGGAATAGCCATAAAATATTCCAACAAGAGTTAATGCACTTTGTGATTACATCTACTCAAAGATAATTCTCAATTAAAATCTATACTTATTAAATAACATTTTAAATTAGAGCCCATTAAATTTTGATAATTACTGTGAAATATTTGCAGCATTGTGTTGTAGTTAAATAATGCTGAACTACTTCTATTACTGACTCTAGTACTCATCCTTCATGGTTTTTTTTCTTTTTCGAGACAGAGTCTTGCTCTGTCACCCAGGCTGGAGTGGAGTGGCACGAACTTGGCTCACTGCAACCTCCACCTCCCAGGTTCAAGCAATTTTCCTGCTTCAACCTCCGGAGTAGCTGGGATTACAGGCGCCTGCCACTGCACCCAGCTAATTTTTGTATTTTTAGTAGAGACAGGGTTTCACCATATTGGCCAGGCTGGTCTCGAACTCCTGACCTCATGATTCGCCTGCCCTGGCCTCCCAAAGTGCTGGGATTACAGGCGTGAGCCACTGCACCCGGCCATGGTACTTTTAAAAACAGAGGACTCTATAGCATCCACCAGTAAGCATCTCTCCCTTTTTCTTGCTAATATATGAATAAGATTGCCAATAATCAACTTAAAGGTATTCTTGTATTTTCTGCTGTAGTTGATTTCTTAGCATGCAAAACTTCAGCAAATGGGAGTCTCCTTGGAGATCAGGAAACATCAGCCATGCATTTTCATCACATATTCCTAGGCTCAATTCATTTGCTCACTTTGCAGCTAAGTATGTTGCTCCCTTAGGTTCTTGCAGTCCATGCTGCTGGCCTGACTACTATGGAGGTAAAGGGAAATATAATCAAATATGTCACCCACTTTGCATAAGGCCAAGGCCACCTAGACCTTGTCTGACTTGAGACAAAACTTGCTGATCTCTGCCGTGTGGTTCTGGGGCTTCTACCTCCTTTTCCTAAGACCGAGGGGTGGGAATGATGCCTGCCAACTGAAATGCCATTAATTCCAGGTGATCTTCCTGGACTTGAATGTAATTTAGCACTGTTAGAATTCAGAACATGTATGCTAGTTGTTCCTGCTGAGAATAAGGTTCATTTGCTCAGTGGTATGCATTTATATGGCACAGAAAACAATTAGTCTTTCAGAATTTTTAGAAGATTACAGTCTGTAAATTGACTCATCAAAATCACCAATGACTAGCATATAAAGATCTATCCAGAGAAATGAATTTGAGACTTATTTGACCATAAGTCATACAGAAGACAGCACAGTAATTTCCCATAGGAGAATCTGGTATTTCATCTTGGGGATCACTGGTAAATTAATTACACTGCTAATGTTTTCTTGCTTACTTGAAGAGACAATTAGCATAAGTAAATCATGAGTGAGATGACAAGTTGCTTAACATTTGTTTCTGTCCATTGGATGAGATCTGAGGTTGCTGTTAAGCCTCGGTGTGAGTAGGGGATAGGGAGAGAAGAGTATAAGGAAAGAGAAGTTAACTCCAGTTTTGGTAAATATAATCAGAACCAGTTGGTTAAAATCAGAATACTGGGCTGGGCGCAGTGGCTCACGCCTGGAATCCCAGCACTTTGGGAGGCCAAGGCAGGCAGATCACCTGAGGTCAGAAGTTCAAGACCAGCCTGGCCCACATGGGGAAGCTCCATCTCTACTAAAAAAACAAAAATAAACCCAGTGTGGTGATGCATGCCTGTAATCCCAGCTACTCGGGAGGCTGAGGCAGGAGAATCGCTCCAACCTGGGAGGCCGAGGTTGCAGTGAGCCAAGATTGCGCCATTGCACTCCAGCCTGGGTGACAGAGTGAGACTCCGTCTCAAAAAAAAAAAAAAAAAAAAAAAAAGAAATCGGAACACTGAAATTAAATGCAAAACAGGTAGACTCATTTAAGTTTTAGAAATCAACCTCGCCAACAGGTGACAGGAACTGGGAAACATTAGGAGATGATTGTTGATTTGGGAAATTCACATGAAACCTCAGCCATTTCTCCTGAGCAGAGAGGGCAAGAAATAAGAATGAAGGTGCATTTTAGTTGAGGGTGCTTTTCATACCCACTCAGAACTTCATCTGCCTGTGGATATTCTAAACAACAACATCTATCTTGTGATCAGGCCCGAGGCTCATGACAGCACAGTTAAGGTTACAGTCCCTCTCTGGTGTTTTAGAATGGCGACTGCTTGCTCATGAGTAACACCTTCCAGGGTCTCGCCATTAACAGCTAAAATCTGATCCCCTCGTTTTAATCGGCCGTCATCTGCAGCTGCTCCCTACAAACAAGAAACATTTCAGTTTAATCCAGGGTAAAACACAGTTTATATTAAATTGATATTAAAACCTCTAACATCTGTCTGGTGTGCATATTAAAAGAGTAACTTTAAAAACTACCAATTAAGTTTTTTCTAGGTAATGTTTTAAATTAGGAAAAAAGTAAGATATGCTGTTTGAATAATAATGGTTGAATAGTAACTATAATTATGGATAATCTAAATAACATACTAGTAGAAATGTACTGATACACTGCTTTTAATACAAGTAGAACCTTATTTCACTATTTAGTATTAAATGGAATTGGATGTCATATCATGTCCTATTCATGAAAACGTAATATACAGAAAAAGGCAGATAGAACTGAATCTGGTGTTAGTCTTACTGCAAATACCACCATTATACAGAGTTCCCATTGCATTATTAAGCTATCAGCACTGTGATCTGTCAAAAATAAGTGTAGTCTTTAAATGGGTGAATTGTATGGTAAGTGAATTATATCTCAATAAAGCTGTTATCTACATATAAATATATACGAGTGTAGCATCTCTAAAATTTTGTAATATATTCAAAACCTTCCACTTTATCTTTGATCATCTAAATAGGTTTCTAAATGACTACTTTTATTATATACTCAGTCATGCATAGTTCCTCAAAACGGCACAAAGCCAGTGAAACTTCAGGGTTTTTTCACTCTAAAGCTGCATATCTAAAAATGCCACGATATTACTAGAAACATTTTGGACTGGTAAGGGAAGAAAAGACCTTAAAAAATGATTTACAGGAGGTTTCACCATCTGTAGGGGTAACTGTTTCAGTCCCTTGAAAAGTCAGTGCCAGAAGAATCCTCTAAATGAGGTCAAACTTCAGTGGGCAACCAAAGCCCACAGGCACTTGGCCCTCGACCGACTCAATCAGAAGCCGAGCTAGGAGGCACTAACGCTCCTGAGATCTGTGTCCATGTGCAGCTTGGAGGTCCTGAGGTGCTGGGGAATCAGACAGGTTTTCTAAACCGTGAGAATGGTGGAATTTCTAAATGAATGTGCAATAAAGAATATTCAAAACCTGCTGGGTGCAGTGGCTCATGCCTGTAATCCCAGCACTTTGGGAATCTCAGGCGAGAGGATTGCTTGAGCTCAGGAGTTTGAGACCAGCCTGGGCAACATGGTGAAACTGTCTCTACAAAAAATTAGCCAGGCGTGGTGGCTTATGCCTGTGGTCCCAGCTCCTCGGGAGGCTGAGGCAGGAGGATCACTTGAACCTGCAGAGGTTGGAGTGAGCTGAGATAGTGCCACTGCACTCCAGACTGGGTGACAGAGTGAGCTCTGTCTCAGGAAAAAAAAAAAAAAAAAAAGTATTCGAAATCAGGTCTATACTGTGGGCAAAATATCAAAACTAAATATTAATAACTTGCAACTGGCTGGACATGGTGGCTCATGCCTGTAATCCCAGCACTTTGGGTGGTCAAGGCAGGAGGATCACCTGAAATCAGGAGTTCAAGATCAGACTGGCCAACATGGTGAAATCCTGTCTCTACTAAAAATACAAAAATTAGCTGGATGTGATGGCGCATGCCTGTAATCCCAGCTACTTGGGAGGCTGAGGCTGGAGAATCACTTGAACCTGGGAGGCGGAGGTTGCAGTGAGCTGAGATCATCCCATTGCACTCAGCCTGGGCAAAAAGAGTAAACTCTGTCTCAAAAATAAACCCCAAAACTTGCAACTTCACTCAAATCTTTTAAGAAAGTAATGTGTCAACTGTATTAAAGACAAAATTAAACAAGTAATTTTACTGGATAAAATCAGAATTACTAGGCAAAGTTGATTTTATTAAATTTTACATGCTAAGATTTAAGGGCTTCAGTAAATCTCAGATATCTGTGTAAATTAATTTTTTAAAAACTATGTTAAGCTATTTATCTTTTTTAGTAATGCAAGGAAAGAATTTTTAAATTTTTTTGAGAAGGAGTTTCACTCTTGTCGCCCAGGCTGGAGTGCAATGGTGCGATCTCGGTTCACTGCAAACTCCACCTCCCAGGTTCAAGCGATTCTCCTGCCTCAGCCTCCCAAGTAGTTGGTATTACAGGCGTCTGCCACCAGGCCCGGCTAATTTTTGTATTTTTAGTAGAAACAGAGTTTCACTATGTTGGCCAAGCTGGTCTCGAACTCTTTTTTTTTGTTTTTTTTTTGAGACAGAGTCTCGCTCTGTCGCCCAGGCTGGAATGCAGTGGTGCAATCTCGGCTCACTGCAAGCTCTGCCTCGCCGGTTCACACCATTCTCCTGCCTCAGCCTCCCGAGTAGCTGGGACTACAGGCGCCCGCCACCACGCCTGGCTAATTTTTTGTATTTTTAGTAGAGACGGAGTTTTTTACCGTGTTAGCCAGGATGGTCTCAATCTCCTGACCTCGTGATCCGCCCACCTTGGCCTCCCAAAGTGCTGGGATTACAGGTGTGAGCCACCGTGACCGGCCTGGTCTCGAACTCTTGACCTCAGGTGATCCACCTGCCTCAGCCTCCCAAAGTGCTGGGATTACAGGCATGAGTCCGTGCCCAGCCAGGATGATTTTTTAACTTTCTAGGATTTGGACTTCTTCCAGTGTTGCAGTGCTTGGTTGATGAGCACTTACTGATATGTATCTACTCTCCTACTTTACCAATGCCGCATTTGTAGACTACAGGGAAAAAGGTAAAAAAGAAATAAATGCATGGCTTGAAAACCTCTACCTACTTTGTAATTGTGGCTCTTTACTCACTTGCTATTTGTCCCAAGTTGGTCACTTAGTCTTCTCAGATGCCGTAAAATGGGCATCTACTATCTACCTTGTGGCCTGTTCTAAGGATTAAATGTATGACATATGGCATTTACTCAACGTGGTGGTAATATAATAAAATAAAACACTAGTGACAACCAAGTTCATGGCTCAGATTTCATAGGCTCTGAAAAACTGCTCCTGAAATTTTTAGAGTTGCTGAAGTGTTTAGGTCAATCTCTTATTGGCTTAGGGTAACATTCAGCTGCTGAAGGGACTAAGACCTAAGGCTGGCTTGGATTATTTTTTTTTTTTTTTTTTTTTTTTGGAGACAGAGTCTCACTCTGTTGCCCAGGCTGGACTGCAATGGCATGATCTTGGCTAACTGCAACCTCCGCCTTCCAGGTTCAAGCCTTTCTCCTGCCTCAGCCTCCTGAGTAGCTGGGATTGGAGGCACCTGCCACCATGCCCGGCTAATTTTTGTATATTTTGTAGAGATGGGGTTTTGCCATGTTGGCCAGGCTGGTCTTTAACTCCTGACCTCAGGTGATCCACCTGCCTTGGCCTCCCACAGTGCTGGGATTACAGGCATGAGCCATCATCCCCCTCCTGGCTTGGATTTTTAAGTTTTCAACCGGATACCTGAAAGAAAACGGAAGGACTTGACAGCCTATTAGTCATATTGACTAAGTCTCTCAACTTCTATACGCCCAAAGTGCCAGTGATCATTCGCAGGCACTTTGGGTGTGTAGGAGTTATAAGGGGCTGAATTAAATAATTTCTGGAGGGGTTGAATTAAATAATTTCTTAGTTGAGCAAGATAACTTTTTTTTTTGAGATGGAGTCTTGCTCTGTCATCCAGGCTGGAGTGCAATGGTGTAATCTCCGCTCACTGCAACCTCCACCTCTCAGGTTCAAGCGATTCTCCCACCTCAGCCTCCCGAGTAGCTTGGATTACAGGCACCTGCCACTATGCCCAGCTAATTTTTGTGTTTTTAGTAGAGACTGGGTTTCACCATGTTGGCCAGGATGGTCTTGAACTCCTGACCTCACGTGATCTGCCTGCCTCTGTCTCCCAAAGTGCTGGGATTACAGGCGTGAGCCACCGTGCCCGGCCTAATGAAGTCTTTCTAAAATGAATTCTGATACTGAGTTACACATTTCCCCCACAGGAATTTTGAAAGGTATAGATTTTCATGTGATCTTTTTGGTATCCTAAGTTTCTTTTAATTTTTTTTTTTTTTTGACAGGGACTTATTCTGTTGCCCAGGCTGGAGTGCAGTGGTGTGATCACAGCTCACTGCAGATTTCACCTCCTGGGCTCAAGCCATCCTCCCACCTCAGCCTCCCAAGTAGCTGGGACCACAGATGTGTGCCACCATGACCAGCTAATTTTTAAATGTTTGGTAGAGACAGGGTCTCTCAATGTTGCCCAGGCTGGTCTCAAACTCCTGGGCTCAAGCCATCCTCCTACCTCAGCTTCCCAAGGTGCTGGGATTACAGGCGTGAACCACTGTGCCCAGTCACACAGATTTTTTTAAAACTCACCAAAGTAAATCTTATAATAAATCCTTTGGGACTATTTAAATAATAATAATAACTATTATTTACATTGGAGGTTTTTTTTTTGAGACTGAGTCTCACTCTGTTGCCCAGGCTGGAGTACAGTGGTGTGATCTCAGCTCACTGCAACCCCCGCCTCCCAGGTTCAAGTGATTCTCGTGCCTCAGCCTCCCGAGTAGCTGGGATTACAGGTGCCTGTCATTACGAATGGCTAATTTTTGTATTCTTAGTAGAGATAGGGTTTCACCATGTTGGCCAGGCTGGTCCTAAACTCCTGACCTCAAGTGATCAGCCTGCCTCGGCCTCCCAAAGTGCTAGGGATTACAGGCGTGAGCCACCATGCCTGGCCTACATTGGAGTCTAAAAAAAAATTTTTTTATTTTTAGAGATGGGGATCTCATTTTGTTGTCCAGGCTGATCTTGAACTCCTGGGCTCAAGTTATTCTCCTGCCTCAGCCTCTCAAAGTGCTGGGATTACAGGTGGAGCCACCATGTCCTGCCCTATTGGAATATTCTTTTTTTTTTTTTTTTTTTTTTTTTTACAGAGTCTTGCTCTGTCACCCAGGCTGGAGTGCAGTGGCGCAATCTCGGCTCACTGCAAGCTCCGCCTCCCGGGTTCACGCCATTCTCCTGCCTCAGCCTCCCGAGTAGCTGGGACTACAGGCGCCTACCACCATGCCCGGCTAATTTTTTTATATTTTTAGTAGAGACGGGATTTCACTGTGTTAGCCAGGATGGTCTTGATCTCCGGACCTCGTGATCTGCCTGCCTCGGCCTCCCAAAGTGCTGGGATTACAGGCATGAGCCACCGCACCCGGCCTGGAATATTCTTTTAGTAAGACTGACTGCGCTAAGTGGGCCACTGGATAAGGCTTAGAAATTTGTCTTTTTTTTTTTTTTTTTAAATTCAGAGCTTTTCATTTTTAGGTGTGCCATTCTGTAAGTAACGAAATACATGAAGAATATTCAATATCTATTCCTTACAATGTTTCTACTTCTATGGGTGCTTCCTAAAGGACCTCTTTCAATGGGACCTTTGAGAGGGCATTCTGTGTGAGCCACAGTCCATTCTTTATTCCCACTACTCTTGTCCCACTGTGTGGATGCTGGTGGGTTCTTTTAAAAATTCACCAGCAATGCACAGCCATTTTACTCTTAGCTGTATGTTCTGGTGCCCCGTCAGGGTGTCTGGCTCCCAGCTGTATGTTCTGGTGCCATCAAAAGGTGTCTGGGTCCCAGCCCACCAGTCTATTGAAAGTGCAAACAGCTGGGGCAGTCTGCTAAGCTCTGGGTCCAGGTCAAAAGGCCTTAGAAGCTGACCCATGTTCTGTCTGTATCCAGTTATCATGAAGTGAACGGGTGACTGCAAACATTCTGGAGGAGCTTTGTGGAGGCAACAGCAGGCCAGCAGAACGTGTTAAAACATGGGGGCTAACTCTGCAGCCTTCCCACTGTCCTTATCTACATAGCTGGCTATTTCAAAAGCAAAGTATAATAATGCCCTCCAAAGAATAATTATCCCAAGAACTTAGGGTGTTAAATGTGTCATAGGAGAAGGATGGTCAGTTTATGGTTTATCTACCTTGGGGATAAGCATTCTGCTACCCAGAATGTTTCTGTGCTGCCTTTCCGCTCCTCTTTTGCCTATCACCAGTTTAACAGGTTGTTTGGGAATAACATGCCTTATTAGGCATTCTAGCAAGATGCAGGAAGGGGGTAAATGTGCAGCTGCTCAATGTGGTCCAAAAGTAAATGCCAAATGACTAAAGGGTTTTATGGCAGGTCACTGGGCCCAATTAACAGGTGATAAGATCTAAGATCTGCACAGGTAAAAGCAAGCTTGTATTTAATGTATAGTTTAGCTTTCTGGAAAGAGACAGATTCCTTCTTATTTCTCCTTTCAAAGACCTTTATCTCTCTCTCTCTCTTTTCTTTTTTTTTTTTTTGAGATGGATTGCCCAGGCTGGAGTGTAGTGGCATCATCTGGGATCATGGCAACCTCTGCCTCCCAGATTTAAGGGATTTTCATGTCTCAGCCTCCCAAGTAGCTGGGATCACAGGCATGTGCCACCATGCCCGGCTAATTTTTGTGTTTTTTAGTAAAGACGGGTTTTGCCATGTTGACCAGGCTGGTCTTGCACTCAGGTGATCCACCCACCTCAGGCTCCCAAAGTGTTGGGATTACAGACGTGAGCCACTATGCCCAGCCTCGAAGACCTTTATTTCTTTAGGAAAACAAAGCAGTTCAACAAGATCTGTTCATAAACAAATGACTATGATAAAACCAAAGAAGAAAAAAAAACTGTAGTATCAATTTGAAATACTTCTCAGAGATCTTCAAAATTTATAAAAAATTAAATTCCAATTAAAAAAATCAGTGAAGTTAAAAATAATTACTCAGGCTGGGCACAGTGGCATACACCTATAATCCCAGCACTTTAGATGGCCGAGGCAGGTGGATCGCCTGAGCTCAGTAGTTTGAGACCAGCCTGGGCAACATGGCGAAACCCCGTCTCTACCAAAAATACAAAAATTAGCCAGGCGTGGTGGCATGCGCCTGTAGTCCTAGCTACTGAGGCAGGAGAATTGCTTGAACCCGGGGAGGCAGAGGTTGCAGTGAGCTGAGATCAAGCCATTGCACTCCAGCCTGGGCGACAAGAGCGAAACTCCCTCTCAAAAAATAAAATAAAGAATGCACTGATTCGAGGCTTGCACAGCACAAACCTTTCTGCCTCAGCCCCCTGGTGCCTGTTATTTTCAAGAAGAAAGCCAAATCTTTTTTTTGTTCTAGCTCAGAACAATACTTCCAAGGACACCTTCTAAAGAGTGGCACTGCTCCTTATGCTGTGTTGCTGAAAGAAGACACTCTAAAAATCTGTGAGCATCTGCTTCTGTCACAGAATCCAAAGGAGACTGCACTTCTTGTGACTCCGCCATTGTAAAAGAACTCTTCTCCCACTATTCCTGTGTGAGAATTTCCTATAAGATTCAAATGAAATGAGCATACATGCACACATCCAGGTTTGACCCAAAGTAAAGCAAAGCAAAGCACTTAAAAGAAATCTCACCTAGGTTTAATTTTTTTAAAAAAGTACATTAAAAAAGAAGATATACCTTTGCAAATACAGTCTTGACATAAATTGGCAGGTCTCCATGGGGACTTCCATAACCCCCTACAATACTAAACCCCAAGCCTTCAGAGCCTTTCTCCAAAGTAATAATCTTAGGTGGAGGTGTTCTGAAAACACAATGCATGCTGTTTAATTCGAGAATAGATATTGAGAGGGAATTTCATTTAATTGGAAGAATACAGATTTGAGAGAGACTTTCATACTGCAAAACTATGAAGTTTGGTTTATCAGATCAAACTCTCAGAAAGCAATCTAGAAAGTTATTTTCTAACTTCTCATGTCATGCTAATTAATCACCAATATTCTTGATGTTTTAGAGGTTTCTCTTTCATAAAACTCACTGATTGCTAATTAAAGATAAAGTCATGATGCTGAAATTGTCAAAGCACTCTTCTATATGCTTAGTTTTTAACTCTTTTTTTTTTCTTTTTTTGAGACGGAGCTGGGACTATGGGTGTGTGCCATACCTGGCTAATTTTTGTATTTTTAGTAGAGATGGGGTTTCACCATGTTGGCCAGGCTGATCTCGAACTCCTGACCTCAAGTGATCTGCCTGCCTCTACCTCCCAAAGTGCTGGGATTACAGGCATGAGCCACTGCACCCGGCCAGTTTTTAACTTTTAAACTTACTGCTGACAGCTGAAGGAAGCTGTCGTCACATCCTTGAAGCATGTGCATGGAGACAGAGGTAGCGTGTCTCCTAGTGTGGTGGGAGACTGCCAGTCTTCACATAAACTCTTGTCCATAACAGATAACATCAGCTCGCAGCTCAGGAAACTGCTGCTCCTTTTCTTTTACCTTTTTTTTTTCTTTTGAGACAGAGTCTTGCTCTGTCACCCAGGCTGGAGTGCAGTGGCACAATCTTGGCTCACTGCAACCTCCACCTCCCGGATTCAAGCAATTCTCCTGCCTTAGCCTCCTAGTAGCTGGGATTACACACGTGTACTACCATGCCCAGCTAAGTTTTGTATTTTTAGTAGAGATGAGGTTTCGCCATGTTGACCAGGCTGGTCTCGAACTCCTGACCTCAGGTGATCCACCTGACGCCTCCCAAAGTGCTGGGATTCCAGGCGTGAGCTGCCGCACTCAGACTGCTGCTCCTTTTCTGCCGGAACGCCCTGGCCACTTCCACCTAAGGCAGGAACTCATTCTCCAAACTCACTTCCAATGTGAGGCTCTCCTGCCTCCCTTGGGAGGATGGGTCCCACAGCCTTTTCTGTGCTTCCCCTACATTGAGTCCAAATTTCCATTTTGGCACTGACTGTATCATATTGTAATTACTTAGCCATCCATTTCCTCTACCAGACTATAACCTCTTTGTCTTAGTCATCTGAGACTTCCCAGTACCATGTGTGGTGCTTGTCAGAAACTCAGGATCATGACTGTGTAGATGAGAACTGAAATCCAGGAGAGAAGAGAGAAACCAAGGTGAAACAAAATGGAGAAAGAAAATCTGTTTCAAATGTAAAATTTAGCTTTTCAAAGCTTCATCCAGTGTGGAAGTCTTCTCTCTTAGAAACAACATGGCTAAAAATTAAATTACCTATGTGGGCTCCCAGTAATTTAATCTTAATCTAAGTTTAGGTGATGCCAATTTCTTATTCCCAAATGCTATTGCTCAAAAGGCAGAAACCCAGACCCTGTCTTATTTATGATAGGTAGTTCATATTCGTGTACTGGCAGCATCCTTTGTTTTGTGGCAACATGCATGTCTGAGAGGCGAAGTCATCTCATATAAACTCAGCCATTCATGTACTTAGAGAAATTTGCAAAATGGGGACACAAGCAATCTTTGAATATGTTGTTCTATTTAACTAGAATATTCTTCCCTCTCTCCCTCCTCAATTTTGCTGGGTTTATTTATTTATTTTTTTGAGACGGAGTCTCGCTCTGTCACCCAGGCTGCAGTGCAGTGGCGCTATCTCGGCTCACTGCAAGCTCTGCCTCCTGGGTTTATGCCATTCTCCTGCCTCAGCCTCCCGAGTAGCTGGGACTACAGGCGCCTGCCACCACTCCTGGCTAATTTTTTTGTATTTTTAGTAGAGACGGGGTTTTTCACCATGTTAGCCAGGGTGGTCTCGATCTCCTGACCTCATGATCTGCCCGCCTCAGCCTCCCAAAGTGCTGGGATTACAGGCGTGAGCCACCGCCTGGCCAATTTTGCTGGGTTTATTAAAGGGTTTTCAGCTGGTTCACATTGTTACCAGTTGTTTGTTGATGTACTTACTGTTTGTTTACAGCAGACATCCATAGTTACTGCTGACGATCTATGCTATATAAATTGTTAACTGATTTCTTTTTCTTGTTGTTGTTGTTTTGTTTTTTGAGACAGAGTTCCACTCTTGTTGCCCAGGCTGGAGTGCAATGGCGTGATCTTGGCTCACCGCAACCTCTGCCTCCCGGGTTCAAGTGATTCTCCTGCCTCAGCCTCCCGAGTAGCTGGGATTACAGGCATGTGCCACCACGTCTGGCTAATTTTGTATTTTTAGTAGAGATGGGGTTTCTCCATGGTCAGGCTGGTCTTGAACTCCTGACCTCAGGCGATCTGCCCACCTCGGCCTCCCGAAGTGCTGGGATTACAGGCGTAAGCCACCACGCCCGGCCTTGTTAACTGTTTTTAACTGTTTTGTTTGTCTTTACATTTTTTTATAAACACAGGGTCTGACCATGTTGCCCAGGCCTTGGCCTCTCAAAGTGCTGGGATTACAGGAGTGAGCCACCACACTTAACTATTTTGAATGCCACCTGTTTATTCCAATTCTTTTTTTTTTTTTTTTTTTTTTTTCTTGAGACAGGGTCTTGTTCTGTCTCCTAGGCTGGAGTACAGTGGCACAACTGCAGCCCGTTGCAGCCTCAAACTCCTGGGTTCAAGTGATCCTCCTGCCTCAGCCTCCTTAGTAGCTGAGATTACAAGCATGCACCACTATGCTGGATCCAGTTCTCTTAAAACTGGCTCCAGTTCTCTTAAGCTTAAGCATCAGCTTCTCCAACTACACTCCTTAACTGAGTTATGCCCCATATCCATGGTTTCACAGGACCCTCTCTCAATGAATTTAGCTCTCCTACAGTTATCTTTTATAACTATGGATTTATGGGTCTGTTTTTCCACTTCTCTGGCAGCTCTCTGGGGACTGGGGCAATATCTTTACTTACATTTCTAAGTTTGAGTCCTCAGGACCTAGCACTTGTATCTAAGTGTCTGGCCTTAGAATGGTGCTCAATAAATATCTGTTGAGATACTGATGAATTGCCCCCTATAGGTGAATGATTATGACTCATGAATAAGGCTCTACTTTTCCCCACTTTGTGGCCTTACAAGCACTCTCAGTAACAGCTCACCAGCTGGATACAAATTCGATTCATGTTTCTTCTTTCAAACACAGCCCCCATTTCCAAAGATACTGGAATGAGAAGCTAGATGCCCAAAGCCATTGCTTTAGAGCTACCTCCTGTGGCCATCAAATCATTAAAGACCCTTATAATTGTGCCTATCTATACTCAGGGACATGTTTTCAGGGGAAGAGGGAGGAGTGTGGCTCTACTCCTCAACTGGCAACATCAGATGGAATTTGCCTCTATTGATCTCACAATATCATAACATTTTCAACCAATTAGTTTAAATTTACTTTCATATAGAAGGCTAGTAAAAAAAAAAAAAAATCCCAGTGTTAGCAGTGGTGGGATTATGAGTGATTTTTAAATTCCTTTAAGCTTGTGGTTCCCAGCCTGCCAGAGGCATGGAATTATAGCAAAGGAATTAAGATTACAAGGGGATCTCTGTATTTCCATAGCCACATCAAAGGATGCTAAAGGTACGCTGTACTTCCTATAAAGGTCCTGATTTTTTTTTTTTTTTAAGGAAAAGGCCACCGTAATTTGAAAAATGTTATATTTCTATGTGTTGTCATATGTTCATGGCATGCATGTATTAACTTTTATAATGAGAAAAAGGTAGAATGAGCTTAATTTAATATTCTTTCCTCAAGAAAAATAAACTCAAAGATGTCATTTAGGTGGGGAACTACCAGGAAAAAATTGGGACGGGCTATGACCATGAGATCCTTCAAATGAACCATCCAGATTTGTCAACAAACATTTATTGAGCACCTACTAGTGACCAGGCACTGCTGGTACCTGAGAGGAATAGCTTTAGGCAGCATTTCTCAAAGTGTAGATCCTTTGCCCATCTGTAGCAGAATCACTCTGGGAAACTTGTTAACATCAGGTTTCTGGAATCCACCACAGACCACCTAGTCAGAATTTTGGGATGTGGCCTGGGAATTCGCATCTTTAAACATGCTCCCTAGATTACTCCTCTTTTTTTTTTTTTTTTTTTGAGATGGAGTTTCCCTCTTGTTGCCCAGGCTGGAGTGCAGTAGTGCAATCTTGGCTCACTGCAACTTCCACCTCCCGGGTTCAAGCAATTCTCCTGCCTCAGCCTCCCAAGTAGCTGGGATTACAGGTGCCCGCTACTACGCCTGGCTAATTTTTTGTATTTTTAATAGAGACAGGGTTTCATCATGTTGGCCAGGCTGGTCTCGAACTCCTGACCTCAGGCGATCCACCCGTCTCGGCCTCCCAAAACGCAGGGATTACAGGCATGAGCCACTGAGCCCGGCCCTTAGATTACTCTTATGCATATTCTAGTTTGAGAAACCCTGCTTTAATGAACAACTTTAACTGCGATGACTGGTTTTAATGAAACATGTCAGCAAGTATAACAACAAGATTTCATCTCAGAACAAGATTTTAGCCTAGAAGTTCAGGAAACGTGGTTCCTTGCACAATAAAGCAGCGTGCACCTGGGCTATACATCCGTGGTTTCTTAGGGAAGCAGGCATAGGCACTGTGTCAAAGTGACCAGATGCAGTGTGTGTGCAGGCCCTGCAACAATGGTCTTTCAAGAACTCATGTGGTGGAATTAAGCCTTGTGAGAAATAAGGATTCCCTAGAATTTAGAAAAAGTCACGGGCGCTTTGGCCACTTCTCCTTTAGAGTGCACTTGAGTGTCTGGAAAAGTTCTTCCGAGCTTTGCCCACATGCATAATAGGCCCTCTGCATCTGAAATACTCACTCTGTGTCTTCTGGATGGTGTTCAGCAGTGGGCGAACCAAGGTGGTAGCCTGTAGACATGTTTTCAAGCTGAGCTGCTATGGCGCTTATATTGGTATCTGCTACAACCTGGGGAAAAAGTGAAAAAAAGGTATTTCATTATAAAGAAGGGGAGAATTAGAGAAACCATGCTGTATCCAAGGGTCAGTTCTCAATCCTAATCTTATTCAATTTATCTAGACCATTTGACACAAGGACTATTCTCTCAAACTTTTTTTTTTTTTTTTTTTTAAAGACAGTGTCTCACTCTGTTGCTCAGGTTGGAGTGCAGTGACATGATTTTGGCTCTCTGTAGCCTTGACCTCCCAGGCTCAAGCAGTCCTCCCACCTCAGCCTCCCACGTAGCTGGGACCACAGGCATGCACCACCAGGCCCTGCTAATTTTTTTTTTGAGACAGTTTCACTCTTGTCACCCAGGCTGGAGTGCAATGGCGCGATCTCAGCTCACTGCAAACTCTGCCTCCCGGGTTCAAATGATTCTCCTGCCTGAGCCTCCTGAGTAACTGGGATTACAGGCACCCACCACCATGCCTGGCTAATTTTTTTTTTTTTTTTTAGTCGGAGTCTCGCTCTGTCACCAGGCTGGAGTGCAGTGGCACGATCTCGGCTCACTACAACCTCTGCTTCCTGGGTTCAAGTGATTCTCCTGCCTCAGCCTCCCGAGTAGCTGGGACTACAGGCGAGTGCCAGTACGCCCAGCTAATTTTTATATTTTCAGTAGAGGCGGGGTTTCACCATGTTGGCCAGGCTGGTCTTGAACTCCTGACCTCAGGTGATCCGCCCACCTTGGCCTCCCAAAGTGCTGGGATTACAGGCGTGAGCCACCAAGCCCAGCCCTGGCTAATTTTTTTGTATTTGTAGAGGGAGTTTTTGCCATGTTGCTCAGGCTGGTCTCCAACATCTGAGCTCAAGTGATCCGCCCGTCTCGATATCCCAAAGTGTTGGGATTATAGATAGGCATGTGCTCCTGTGCCCGGCCTTCAACTATTTTCTTCATTTCTTCGTTTGGCTTCCATGACACCACAATTCACTAGTTTATTTTCCACACTTCTGGCCATTCCTTCTATTATTTAAACCTCTAACTGAGGGCCACAGGGCTTAGTCCTTGAGCTTCTTATCTTTTCCATTAAACATATTATCCCATCCCATTGTCTCCCATTCCATCCCATCCCATATCCCATCCCATCCATCTCATGAATGTAAATGCCATCTAAGTGATGATAATCCCTGAATCTGTACCTCTAGCTCCAATGCTTACCTAACACCAGATCCATATATCCAGTCACCCACTGGATGTCACAACTGGATATATGGATCCAGTTGTCACTGGGTCCATAGACATCTATGGGACGTCTCCAGGAATCTCAAAGCTAACATGTCTAAAATGGAGGCTTTGCTCCCTGCAACCTTTGCTCCTGGAGCCTTCTTCATCTTGGGCAACTGTAGCTTGATTTTTCCAGTTTCAAGGATGGTGTCATCCTTGGCTCATCTCTGTCTCTCACAACCCACATTCCATCCTCATGAAATTCTATTGGTTTTTCTTTTTTTTAAATTTATTTTTATTTTTATTTTTTTGAGATGGAGTTTCACTCTTGTTGCCCAGGCTGGAGTGCAATGGCGTGATCTTGGCTCACCGCAACCTCCGCCTCCCGGGTTCAAGCGAGTCTCCTGCCTCAGCCTCCCGAGTAGCTGGGATTACAGGCACCCGCCACCACGCCTGGCTAATTTTTTTGTATTTTAGTAGAGACGGGGTTTCTCCATGTTGGTCAGACTGGTCTCGAACTTCTGACCTGAGGTGATCTGCCTGCCTCGGCCTCCCAGAGTGCAGGGATTACAGGCGTGAGCCACTGCAGCCAGTAAAATTCTATTCGTTTTTCTATGAAATTATTTCTAGCCTTCTCACTGGTCTTCTCGCTTCAGCCCCTCCATCCATAGCGGCTAGGATGTTTCTGTTACAATGGAGCAGATTATTCCAATCTTTTGCTTAAAACTGTCCAAAGGAAACTCGACTCTCTTGGACCATCACTGAAGTCCTTCCTGTAACCTCTAGGGTCATCTGCAGTGATGTGTCCTGTGACATCTCTGCCTCTCCCCTAACATTCTCCTTGGCATTCTCTCCGCCCCATTGTGCCGGCCTCCTCACTGTTTCTCTCACATGCCAGACGCATCCCCACCTCAGCACTTTAACCGCTGTGCCTTCTGCCTGGCACGTTCTGTATTTGGCATCTGTGTGGTTGGCTTCTTCACTACTCTGAGGCCTTTGAGCCACCTTCCCTGGCCACTCTAACCTTTCCACACCAACATCCCAGCTCCATGTTTCATGTTCCCCTTCCCCGCTTCCTGGTTCCTTCTAAATATTTATTTCTTTCATTTATTTATTTGTTTATTTATTTTTGAGACAGAGTCTCACTCTGTCGCCCAGGCTGGAGTGCAGTGGCACGATCTCGGCTCACTGCAGCCTCTGCCTCCCGGGTTCAAGCAATTCTCGTGCCTTAGTGTCCCAAGTAGCTGGGATTACAGGCGCATGCCACCATGCCTGGCTAATTTTTTTGTATTTTTAGTAGAGACAGGGTTTCACCATGTTGTCCAGGCTGGTCTCAAACTCCTGACCTCAAGTGATCTGCCCGCCTTGGCCTCCCAAAGTGCTGAGTTACAGGCATGAGCCACTGCACCTGGCCTTTTCTTTATTTTTTGAGACAGGGACTTGCTCTGTCACCCAGGCTGGAGTGCAGTGGTATGATCTCAGCTCACTGCAGCCTTGACCTCCTGGGCTCAAGAGATCCCCTCACCTCATCCTCCAAGTAGCTGGGACTACCGGCATGCACCACCATGCCCAGCTAACTTTTTATTTTTTGTAGCGACAGTGTCTCACTGTGTTGCTCAGGCTGGTCTTAAACTCCTGGGCTCAAGTAATCCTCCCACCTTGGCTCCAAAAGTAAGGAGGATTACAGGCGTGAGCCACCTTACCTGGCCTGTTTCCTTCTTACCACCATCACTATCTAATGAACTGCATACATCTTACCTTGTTTATCTTATTTATTGTCTATCACTTCATATTAGAATGTAAGGGCAGGAAGTTTGTCTGCTTTGTTCACTCCTGTATTCCCCATCACATAGAAGAGTGCCTAGCACATAGCAGGTGCTCAGTAAATAACTGGTGAATGAAAGAATGGATGAATATCTCTGACTCCCTGAGATTTGCCTCTTAGATAGTCCTAAACAAAGGTATAGTAGAATAGGCTGTGCACGGTGGCTCGCACCTGTAATCCTAGCACTTTTGGAAGCCGAGGTGGGCGGATCACTTGAGCTCAGGAGTTCAAGACCAGCCTGGGTAACATGGCAAAACTCTGTCTCTACTAAAAGTACAAAAGAAATTAGCCGGTGTGGTGGCACAGGCCTGGAGTCCCAGCTACTTGGGAGGCAGAGGTTGCAATAAGCAGAGATCGTATCACTGCACTCCAGAGTAAAACTGTCTCAAAAATAAAATAAGATAAAAATAAACCCACAAACAAAAACAAAGGTATAGTAGAATAATGGCACTTTGTATTCTGCTAATTATATATATATATATATATTTTTTTTTTTTGCAAATAACATTCTAGAGCATTTAGAAGAAATATAGTATAGCTCTGGGAGTCCACAACAGGACTCAGGATGGAGTTCCAGAGTTCAGTTTCAGCCTCTTATCAATGCCATATGTGAGTTTCAGCTTCCTCATCTATTAAATGGGAATCATAAAAGTCTGTTTTGCCTCCTTATCCTGGAGTTGTCTTCCACCTCAACTAGTTACCAGAGATACTTTCTCAAGAGCTCCTTGGTTACCTCTGCTTCTGGGTTATAATTCTCACTGCACAAATACAGAGGGAACTTTGTCTGCCAGCAATGCAAAGCTCGACTTGATTGCAATTTCAGAAAAGGCCAACAGAGGGCACAGCTGCCTAAAATGCTAAATTAAGCTTCATCTGTTAAGTAGAGCAGAAAAAGAAAGAAAATAGGCCTGCCCCAGAACACATTTTGGGTGAAGCATCCTATTCTGGGGAAAACACTGCTATGTCCAAGTTACAGAATCTTCTGGAAGTACCACTGTATGAAGAATGAGAACACATTTTGGGTGAAGCATCCTATTCTGGGGAAAACACTGCTATGTCCAAGTTATAGAATCTTCTGGAAATACCACTGCATGAAGAATGACGGAATGAATTGGGAAATATTTAGGACGAAAGATTAAAGGAGGAAACGATAGATTTCTCCCTGCCCCGAAAAGTCTCTCCTCTTAGCACCAGCTTTCTGCTCTCTTCCACAGCAAGTGTACTGGAAGGTTAACTTGTCCATGAACTCTTTTATCCTCCCTACTCTTGAAGTCCACCATCTTTATAAACCTACCCCACTCCAGCTTCCATCCCCATCTCCCACCCAAACTTCCATGACCCACACTCTTCTGGCTTTCCTTCTGCAGGGGCCTGTTTCTCCATCTCTTTGCTCTTCTTCCATTCATCTCTCATGGTGCAGTCCTGGGCCCATTATCCACTTGCACACTCAGGCTCAAGTGACAGCATGTACATTCCCACAGCTTTACATTCCAACGTGCTCACAATCCCAGCTTAGGCCAGCGTGGTGGCTCACGCCTGTAATCCCAGCACTTTGGGAGGCAGAGTGGGCTGGATCACCTGAGGTAAAGAGTTCAAGACCAGCCTGGCCAACATGGTGAAATCTGGTCTCTACTAAATATACAAAAATTAGCTGGCGTGGTGGTGGGCATCTGTAATCCCAGCTACTTGGGAGGCTGAGGCAGGAGAATCGCTTGAACCCAGGAGGCAGAGGTTGCAGTGAGCCGAGATCAAGCCATGGCACTTCAGCCTGGGTGACAGAGGGAGACGCTGTCTCAAAAAAAAAAAAAAAAAAAAAAAAAAAAAATTCCCAGCTTAGTCTGTGATATCCAATTGCCAACTTGACATCTGCATTTTAATATCTCAAAGATGTATCAAAATTAACACAATATTCAAACTTTTGATCTAACAATTCATCTCCTTCAATTCACTTTTCTTCTAGTTTTCCTCATTTTAGTAAATGGCACCTCCAGATGCCAAGTTAGAAATATACTGGGTGAAATAGTGAAAATACTGGTGTGCTGGCTGGTGCCTGTCTAACTGGAAAGGATGCTAGGATGCCAGCCATATAGCTGATCGCTCTCTGAATATCTGATCCCTCCACTCCTGCTTGCTGTACGTAATCCATCAAGTCCCCTGGATTCTACCTCCAAAATCCTTCTCAAAACTTTACTTTCCATCTACAGGTGACCATCCTAATTCAGTTCATCATCAAGTGCCTGTTAGCTGGAATCCCCATTCACCTTTGTCTCACCTCATTCCCACACGTTAGCCAGTTACCTTTTCAAATATAAAACGGGTATCCGCACTCCCCTGCTTAAAACCTTGTAGTGTTTTCCCTTTGGACTTGGAATAAAATTCAGACTTTAATTATGCATATAAAGTTCCCTCCATAGCCTACTCCTCTAATCCTGTCTCTCTCTCGACTCCACCCCACATTCCAGTTCCCTCTCCAGGCGGGGAATTCCCCCCATCCCCCAAACCAGCGTGCCTGGCATCAGCTTAAATGTCACTTCCCTTCTACAAGCCTGCTTTGACCATCCGTGTTTAATTTCTCCTGTTTTCCTCTCCATAGCACTCTCCAAGTATTTCTCACAAATTATGGTGATTAGCATCTATGTGCATGTTGACTGTATTTCCCACCCAATCACAGGATCCATGAGGATCAGGACTGCTTCTCCTCAGCACAATGCTAATGTGTCTAGCACATAACAATTGCTTAATAATTGTGGAGTGAATGAGCGAATCTAAAACTGTCATAAGGAATAGGGATTATGGGACTCAATTTTCTGTGGTTGCTTTTTGGGACTCAATTTTCTGAATTTCCACAGAGCAGGGTGAGACTGATGGAGGTTACAAGGAGATAGGTGTTGGGTTCTTAAAGGAGAAAAAAAAAAAGTAACAAGGCAGTTATGGAATGGAATGGCACAGTTTGCTAGGACATGAGCACCTCAGTGGAGCAAGCATTCAGATAGAGGCTTGAAATTAATCAATTCAGGATGTAGTGGAGGGGAGTCCTATGCTTTGTGGGAAGTTACACGGGTACTGTTGTCAGCTGTCCATGAAACAGACTGTCCTTATGGGGCTGAGGAAGAAAGTCACTAAAATAGTGTTTTTTTTTAAGGTATCGTCAAATGCCAAGATGTGACAGCAGCCTGCTCCTTCCTTTACTCGCTCATTTATTCAACATAATACAGCATCACTATGGCTGAATATAAAATGAGCACTTACTTTATGCTTATTTTTATTTATTTGTTTATTTAATTATTTATTTTTGAGACAGAGGCTTGCTCTGTTGCCCAGGCTGCAGTGCAATGGCACAATCTCGGCTCACTGCAACCTCTGCCTCCCGTGGTCAAGCAATTCTCTTGCCTCCGCCTCCCAAGTAGCTGGTATTACAGGTGTGTGTCACCACGCCCAGCTAATTTTTTGTATTTTTAGTAGAGATGGGGTTTCACCACGTTGGCCAGCCTGTTCTCAAACTCGACCTCAGGTGATCAACCTGCCTTGGCCTCCCAAAGTGCTGGCCTCCCAAAATACGGGCGTGAGTCACCGTATTTTTTTTTTTTTTGAGACAGAGTCTCACTCTGTTGCCCAGGCTGGAGTGCAGTGGCACAATCTTACCTCACTGTAACCTCCACCTCCCAGGTTCAAGCAATTCTTGTGCCTCAGCCTCCCGAGTAGCTGGGATTACGGGTGCATGCCACCATGCCTGGCTAATTTTTGTATTTTTAGTACAGATGGGGTTTTACCATGTTGCCCAGGCTGGTCTTGAACTCCTGGCCTCAAGTGATCTGGCCATCTCGGCCTCCCAAAGTGCTGGGATTACAGGCATGAGCCAACGCGCCCGGCTATGCTCATTTTACATTCAGCCGTGGTGGTGCTGCATTATGTATGTCTTTAAGCATCCTTCTGAGTCCCTGCTATTATTTCCATATTACAGATGAGGAACCTGAAGCAGGGAGGTTAAGTCACACAGGTAGTAAGGGGTAAAGCCAGGATTTAAATCCAAATCTAGAATCTTGTACTCCTAACTGTGGTGTGAGGCAAATCACCTTGTGTGAGGCAACAGAGTTTATAGGCCATATTTGGAGCATGGGAAGGGGAGGGGCAGAGGGACAGTGGGACAAGAAGATGCAAGTAGAGCAGACCATCATGATGGCATGTGCTTGGCACCAGGGGGTACTTCACTCTCCGGGGTACTTCACTCTCCAGGGTACTGCAGGGAGACAGCCTGAGGGGTGGGAGGCATAACACACCCACCACCTCACCCCCACTTCCTAGAAACCTTCCTAGCTTTCTAGGAAGAAAGCTGTCTAGCTTTTATTTTATTTTTAGAGATGAGGTCTTGCTCTCTCACCCAGGGTGGAGTGCAGTGGTGCGATCATAGCTCACTGCAGCCTTGAACTCCTGGACTCAAGTGATCCTCCCACTTCAGCCTTCTCAGTAGCTGGGAATACAGGCGTGAACCACCGAGACCAGCTCATTGCCTTTTAGAAAGAGATTATCCTTTCAAGAGTCCATGAAATCCACCATACAAATGGTAAAACCAAAGTCATAGTTTTATTTGGGTAAAAATCAATTTTTTTTTTTGAGGTGGTGTCTCGCTCTGTTGCCCAGGCTGGAGTGCAGTGACATGACCTCGGCTCACTGCAACCTCTGCCTCCCAGGTTCAAGTGATTCTAGTGCCTCAGCCTCCCCAGTAGCTAGGATTATAGGCACCTGCCACCACACACAGCTAATTTTTGTATTTTTAGTAGAGACGGGGTTTCACCATGTTGGCCAGGCCGGTCTCAAACTCCTGACCTCAAGTAATCCGCCTGCCTCGGCCTCCCAAAGTGCTGGGATTACTGGCGTGAGCCACCACGCTCGGCCAAAAATCAATTTTTAAAAAGTCTAGCTGCAAAGTATAAAAACACTTCTGTAGCATCGTCTTATGGAAAAACTCACATCCCTCTAAAACCTGAAGTCATTTTGTTCACTCCTCCACCCCGAAATGAAAAAAACTGATAATACTGAATCTTAGAGACCCACCCAGGACACTTGGGGTTGTCCACGCTTCTGCCTATTTTGTAGAAGTGGAATCCAAGGGGCTGAATGAGAAACGTGATGGACTTTCACTGACAGCTTGGTCTTTTGCAGGAAGACAAGGAGAGCACAAATATGTCACCTTAAGAATGACTTTAGGCTGGGCAAGGTGGCTCATGCCTGTAATCCTAACACTTTGGGAGGCCCAGGCAGGCAGATCACATGAGCCCAGGAGTTCGAGACCACCCTGAGCAACATGGTGAGACCCTGACTCTACAAAAAATACAAAAATTAGCTGGGCGTGGTGGTTCATGACTGTAGCCCCAGCTATTTGGGAGGCTGAGGTGGGATGATCACCCGAGCCCGGGAGGTTGAGGCTACAGCACGCCATGATCGTGACACTGGATTCCAGCCTGGGCAACAGAGTGAGACCCTGTCTCAAAAAAAAAGAAAAAAAAAAAAGAATGACTTTTAGACTTTACAGCTCTAAGAAATCCCCATCAAGCCCTTCTGTCTTAAGAGGTGATTGGCAAGTAACTTGATAGGCAGCAGAGTTAAACCTTCCTGGGGCTTTGACTTGTGAAAGGGGATAATCTGATCTCCAAAGGGTGTGTTCAGCTTTGAGTTCATGTAAGTTCAACTCTGAGATATGGTCTGTGAGCTGGCTCAGCCCCGCCACTGAAGAGCTCTTCCACCATCACCATCAGGGACTGACTGAACAACACAGAGGTAAGGCTGGGAGATGTTTGTGTGCTTTGGGGAAGGCAAAGAGTCTAATGAGAAGTTTGCTCTTTTTTTTTTTTTTTTTTTTTTTTTTTGAGATGGAGTCTCGCTGTGTCGCCCAGGCTGGAGTGCCGTGGCGCAATCTCGGCTCACTGCAATCTCTGCCTCCCGGATTCAGGCAATTCTCTGCCTCAGCCACCCAAGTAGCTGGGACTACAGGCGCCCGCCACCACGCCCGGCTATTTTTTGAATTTTTGGTAGAGACGGGGTTTCACCATCTTGGCCAGGCTGGTCTTAAACTCCCAACCTCACGTGATCCGCCTGCCTCGGCCTCTCAAAGTGCTGGGATTACAGGTGTGAGCCACCGTGCCCGGCCAGTTTGCTCTTTTTTAAAAGTAAATCTTACACTCCTGGCTGTAAACTTCTGCGAAAGGTTCTGAGAATAGAGATGGGGGCAGAGGAAACCCAGTGGGAGCAAAGGTTCCCTGCCCTCCAGAGAGCTTGCAGCCAATGTCATCTAGTGTGGGAGGCAGATATGAATACATGCAGGTCAGAGTGGATAGAGGAGAGGGGAAGGAAAGGGATTCCTTCTGGGGAAGGCACAGGGACTCTGAGGTCCTTACCCGGACAATAGGCATTAAAGTATCTGTAACTTGAATGTGCTTCAGAGCTGTAGTGTTTGGAGTCCTTTCACCTGGGTGGGGCCAGCTCCAATCCTAAGATCTGCAGCTGTGGTCTTGCATTTTGCATTACTCAGATCAGCAAACTTTTCTCTCATGTCCCGCTAGACCCAGAGGCCTGGAAATGTGTCTGGTGCCCCGGCCCTCCAACATGGGGGAGGTGGGTTAAATTTATGCTTGCAGGTCCTTTAAACTTATGCTCCTTCTTGGCTGGGTGCAGTGGCTCACACCTGTAATCCCAGCACTTTGGGAGGCTGAGGCGGGTGGATCACCTGAGGTCAGGAGTTTGTGACGAGCCTGGCCAACATGGTGAAACCCCTTCCTACTAAAAATACAAAAATTAGCTGGGCATGGTGGCACACACCTGTAATCCCAGTTACTAGGGAGGCTGAGGCAGGAGAATCACTTGAACCCAGGAGGCGGAGGTTGCAGTGAATTGAGATTGTGCCACTGCATTCCAACCTGGGTGACAGAGTGAGACTCTGTCTCAAACAAACAAACAGAAAACTTAGGCTCCTTCTTGTTAGGCACAGTGCTGCTGTAGACATCTTGAGTGGTTGTTTAAGGGCAGGTAACTAGATCTGGAATTGCTGGTGATGGGTATTGCATCACCATTAAAGTTACTAGAACTTCCTAAGTCGCCAAATGGTTGTGTTTACTTAAAGTCTCACTAGGCATTTAATGAACTACTTGGTTTCCCCTCATCCTCCCCAACTCTTATGATCAAATATTTAGTAATTGCCGACCTGAGGTGGAGGAGACCCCTGGTCTGAAGGAAGAGAAGGAACTCTCCCAACCCAAAGAGGGGGAGGCCACAGACCTGAAGAAAGAGGTGGAGAAAATCTCCTCATCCGAGGAAGAGGAGACTGTGAACCTGAAGGAAGAGGTGGAGAAAATCCCCCCACCTGAGGAGGAGACTATGGACCTGAAGGAAGAGAAGGAGGAGATCCCCCCACCTGAGGTGAGGGAGGCCACTGGCCTGAAGAAAAAGCAGGAAGAAATCCTCCCACCAGAGGACGGGGAGGCTGCAGCCTTGTCCTCTGCGCCTACGGAACAGTTAGAGACGTTTGCATCTGTGGAAGAACAGACAAGCCTGCTTCCCTCTCAATCTGTGTTCCCCCCACAAACTGCTATCCCCCCTCATTCTGTGTTCCCCCCTCCAGAGGTATTTCCCCCTCAGGCCTCTGTCCCCCCTCACTCTGTGTCCCCCCCTCCGGAGGCATTTCCCCCTCAGGCCTCTGTCCCCCCTCACTCTGTGTTCCCCCCTCCAGAGGCATTTCCCCCTCAGACTGCTGTGCCCCCTCACTCTGTGTTCCCCCCTCCAGAGGCATTTCCCCCTCAGGCTGCTGTGCCCCCTCACTCTGTGTTCCCCCCTCCAGAGGCATTTACCCCTCAGGCTGCTGTTCCCCCTCATTCTATGTTCCCCCCTCCGACGAAACTCACTTATTCCATGTTTCCTTCTGCCAATGGGTTTCCCCCTCACTGTTTCTCCAACAGGGTTCTCCCTCTGATGTGAATTTCCTTAATTTGTGCCACCTTCCCCACTGTTTTCCTTTAAGAAGATATTTATTTTCATGTACTCTCTTGTGCTTTGCCTCCATGTTGCATTTAATAACTTAGGGTAAAAGGAACATTAAACTTAATTAGAACTATATGTTCTACAGTGAAATATTGTGTATTTATTAAGCTTTCGAAATGAGTAATAAAGTAGAGGTCTTTACTGCATGGACCTAGGTTGAGTATCTTTCTTTAAAAACAGGTTTAGGTATTATGTTTTGGAGAATTGAGAAGTCAAAATAATTTCCAGATAAGAAAGATATTACAATGCATAAAAGCTTGAGCTCCTTGCTTAGAACTCTCCTAAAGGTTCCTGCGAAAGAAGATGATTAGCCCTTAGACTTATTAGGACCCAAGCCTTTCAGTACCAAATCTGAAATTTAGCACTGGCTGGGTGTGGCGGCTCATGCCTGTAATCCCAGCACTTTGGGAGGCTGAGGTTGGAGGATTGCTTGAGCCTGGCAGATCAAGGCTGCTGTGAGCCATGATTGTGCCACTGCACTCCAGCCTGGGGGACAGAGTGAGACCCTGTCTCAAAAAAACAACACACCACACACACACACAGACACACACACACACACACACACACACAGACACACACACACACACGCAAAACATAAAAATCCTCAGCACTTACATGCAGCTGGACCCTCAAACTATGGGTGCACACATGTTGAAAACAAACAGGAAGGCTGTAAAGTTAAGGTGATCCCTGAGAAAGCTGGCATCTTAAGATGGGGACACATTACAGAAAAACACACACACACACACACACACACAAGAAAAGCCCATGCCTGGCCTTTGGTGTAACTTACTGAAATAGAAAGCACAGCTGCTTAAAGTTTTTGTCCAGAATCTAGTGACCCTGATTTTAGTGACACCAGAATATATTGATTTTTATGTGTCTGTTAAAAATTTAATGATCGGGCTGGGCGTGGCGGCTCACACCTGTAATCCCAGCACTTTGGGAGGCCGAGATGGGCGGATCACTTGAGGTCAGGAGTTCAAAACCAGCCTGACCAACATGGAGAAACCCCATCTCTACAAAAAACACAAAATTAGCCGGGCGTGGCGGTGTGAGCCTGTAATCCCAGCTCAGCTACTCAGGAGGCTGAGGCAGGAGAATTGCTTAAACCCAGGAGGCAGAGGTTGCAGTGAGCTGAGATTGCACCATTGCATTCCAGTCTGGGTAACAAGAGCGAAACTCTGTCTCAAAAAAAAAAAAAAAAAAAAAAAAAAAAATCTAATGGTCTGAAGAAGTGTGAAGCACTTGGAGTAAAATTCGAAAAGGGCAAACTGACTTCCAGCCACATTGCCACCTAGTGGCACACACCTCAAATGCCACCTGGAAAACCACTCCACTTCCAGGATTTTATAAAGGAATTTTAGTATCCTCTAACTTCAAGCCTATGTTAGTACAATGAAAGTAATAAGATACCACTTAGTATTTATCATTTGCAACATCCTGTATTTATTAGACACTTTACATCACACTTCATCTAATCCTCAGAGCAACCTTTTTAAGAAAGGAGCTCCACAGTCCCTGTTTTAGAGGAATAGAAGGTGAGACTTTAGTAAAAGGATTCAAACTCACGACTTTCTGACACTACAGCCTACCTCTCCTACCTAACTTGGGCTAGGTGTTCATTTCAACTTTCAAACCTTGGGTCTTTGTCCTTTTCCTGCAGTTTATCACTGTCTTCATGGCATTAATTTGGCTTTTTTTTTTTTTTTTTTTTTTTGAGACGGAGTCTCGCTCTGTCACCCAGGATGGAGTGCAGTGGCGCGATCTCATCTCATTGCAACCTCTGCCTCCCGAGTTCAAGCAATTCTCCTGCCTCAGCCTCCTGAGTAGCTGGGATTACAGGTATGCATTACCATGCCTGGCTTATTTTTGTATTTTTAGTAGAGGGGGTTTCACCACGTTGGCCAGGCTGGTCTTGAACTCCTGACCTGAAGCGATCCCCCCCACCTCGGCCTCCCAAAGTGCTGGGATTACAGGCGTGAGCCACCACACCTGGCCTAAGCATTAGTTGGCTTTTTATTTGCAAACCCTGGAGACTACTTTTCTTACCCCTGGCTGCATATTAGAATCACCTGAGAAATTTTAAAATCATCTGATGTCCATGCCATATCCCAGAAAAATTAAATCTGAACCTCTGGGGTGGGGCCCAGGAACAGGTATTAAAATCAGTGATTTTATTATGCAACTAAGGTAAAGACCTAATAGCAGATCATTCCTTTAGTGATACTCACATAGGCCATGACGCGCCTGCTCTGCACCCTCAATGACACACCTTTTCCATTTCCAACCCTGGGTAAGCCATCCGTCTTCCTCCCCTCCTGGAATTTTTCTGGACTACATTGGTAACTGTGCTGATTTGTTCCCCTATTAGTTCATGTCCTTCAGCTTGATTGGAATGGCTCAGCAACTCCATGTGGGCAGCACTGAGGAGGTATCTGCTCTGGGCGAGGCCTGCGCCCGAGGCACAGACACAGATTTCTCCAGCTTTGGAGAACCATGGTCTGGAAGGACATCAACACCCAGGCACTCCCTATTCTTCGATGGAGAGTTTCTAAACAAAGGATTTTCCAATATTTATAAAGAAAAGAGGCCGGGCGTGGTGGCTCACACCAGTAATCCCAGCACTTTGGGAGGCTGAGGCGGGCGGATCACCTAAGGTCAGGAGTTTGAGACCAGGCTGACCAACATGGTGAAACCCCGTCTCTACTAAAAATACAAAATTAGCTGGGCGTGGTGGCACATGCCTGTAATCCCAGCTACTCGGGAGGCTGAGGCAGGAGAATCGCTTGAACCTGGGAGATGGAAGTTGCAGCGAGCCAGGATCACGCCATTGCACTCCAGCCTGGGCAACAAGAGCAAAACTCAGTCTCAAAAAGTAAAAAGAAAAAAAAAAAAAAAAAAAGAGAGGGCTGGGTGCGATGGCTCACACCTGTAATCCCAGCACTTTGGGAGGCTGAGGTGGGACAGTCTCTTGAGTGCAGGCCAATAATGAGACCTTGTCTCTCTCTTAAAAAAAAAAAAAAAAAAAGACGAGAGTACGGTGAGAAGGGTGTTTCAGATGAAGAGAATAACGTGGGGAGACCTTTTTCATCCCTAAATAATGCTCTACTCCACTGGGTCTGAGGCATGGGATCTGAATTAGCAGCATCACCAATACCTAGGAGCTTGTTAGAAGAAATGCAAAATTGGCTGGGCACGGTGGCTCACACCTGTAATCTCAGCACTGTGGGAGGCCAAGGCAGGCGGATCACCTGAGGTCAGGAGTTTGAGACCAGCCTGGCCAACATGGTGAAACCCTGTCTCTACTAAAATACAAAAATTAGCCGGGCATGGTGGTGGGTGCCTGTGGTCCCAGCTACTGGGGAGGCTGATGCAGGAGAATTGCTTGAACCCAGGAGGTGGAGGCTCAGTGGAGCCGAGATTGTGCCACTGCACTCCAGCCTGGGCTTCAGAGCGCAACTCTGTCTCAAAAAAAAAAAAAAAAAAAGCAAATTCTTGAATCCCACTCCACTCCTGCAAAATCAGAAAGGCTGGGGGAGCCCTCCAGGTGTTTCCAGAGCGTGCTAAAGTTTGAGAAGCACCATTCTACTCAAATCTGTTTAGCTGCTTTTCAAACAGACCTATATTCTTGGTTCTTTTCTATTCTTTTTTCTCGAGACGGTGTCTCACTCTCGACTAGGCTGGACAGCAGTGGTGCAATCTCGGCTACTGCAACCTCTACTCTCCGGGTTCAAGCTGTTCTCCTGCCTCAGCCTCCCAAGTAGCTGGGACTACAGGCATGTGCCAACACACCCGGCTAATTTTTGTATTTTCAGTAGAGATGGGATTTCACCATGTTGGCCAGGCTGGTCTCAAACTCCTGACCTCAGGTGATCCACCTGCCTTGGCCTCCCAAAATGCTGGGATTACAGGTATGAGCCACCACGCCTGGCCATATTCTATTTTTTCTAAATATTTCTTTTTTGTGTGTACATAATAAAAAATGAAATAGTACAGTACATGATAAAAAAAATTCAACACTTGCCCTCCCTAGAAGCACATTGAACTTTTCTCTTTTTAATTCTAAAGAATAAGCTAAATAATATTCTTATATGCCTATTTTGAAATGTACTATCTTGGTGTCCACTGACTCCCTACTCTAAGAGATGAAAATTTAGCTCGCCAAACTCTTCCACTTAACTGTTACATCATTTCTAAGTTCTACTTGTTTCCTGTGTTTTAAAAATCTACTCAATCCTCTGTAGTTCTAATACTTTCCAACAACTTTTTACCTCAATTAAAAAAAAATCACACCTATTCACTTACTTATGTAATTTTTTTTTTTTAATTTTGAGACAGGGTCTCACTGTCATCCAGGCCGGAGTGCAGTGGCACGATCTTGGCTCACTGCAACCTCTGCCCCCCGGGCTCAAGCAATCCTCCCACCCCAGCCTCGCCAGTAGCTGGGACTACAAGTGCATGCCACTATGCACGACTAATTTTTGTATTTTTTTGTAGAGACGGGGTCTCACCATGTTGCCCAAGCTGGTCTCAAACTTCTGGGCTCAAGCGATCTGCCAGCCTCGACCTCCCAAATTGCTGGGATTATAGGTGTGAACCACTGCACCCGGCCCATTTATATAATTTAAAAAGTCAAAATGATTCTATAGTATTTAATGAAAGAGTCCTTGCTCCTTTACCCCCATTACAGATTCTTACTCCCTAAAAGCAACTACTTTCAGCTGTTTCTCCTAGTATTTGCTTCCATATTCACGTTGCCCAGGCCAGAATGCAGTGGCGAGATCTTGGCTCACTACAACCTCTGCCCCTGGGGTTCAAGCGATTCTCCCGCCTCAGCCTCCTGAGCAGCCAGGATTACAGAGGTGCACCGCCAATCCGGCTACTTTTTTGTATTTTTAGTAGAGACAAGGTTTCTCTATGTTGGCCAGGCTGTGCTTCCATATTCTTAAATAACAGTTTTACTTCTATTTCTTGATTTTAAAATTTTTGATATCTAATCACTTCTTATTGTGGAAGATAAAGATTTAACTCACATTTTCCTTCTACCAAAACACCACAAATCCCCATGCTACTAATAATTCATTCAGCTGGGCGTGGTGGCTCATGCCTGTACTCCCAGAACTTTGGGAGGCCAAGGCGGGCAGATCACTTGAGGTCAGGAGTTTGAGACCAGCCTGGCCAACATGGTGAAATCCCATCTCTACTGAAAATATAAAATTAGCCAGGTATGGTGGTGCATGCTTGTAGTCCCAGCTACTTGGGAGGCTGAGGCAGGAGACTTGCTTGAACCCGGGAGGGGGAGGTTGCAGTGCACTCCAGCCTAGACAACAGAGCGAGACTCCATCTCAAAAAAAAAAAAATAATAATTCATTCATCCTAATATTTGGTTATATTGGTTTTTATTATTATGACATTATAGTTAAATAATGTTATTATTTACTTATTTAGAGCTGGGATCTCACTCTGTCACCCAAGCTGAGTGCAGTGCTATAATCATAGCTCACTGCAGCCTCAAACTCTTGGGCTCAAGTGATCTTCCTGCCTCATCCTCCGAGCAGCTAGTTTCTATGTGCCTTTTTTTTTTGAGACGGAGTCTGACTCTTGTAGCCCATGCTGGGGTGCAATGGGGTGATCTTGGCTCATTGCAACCTCCGCCTCCTGAGTTCAAGCAATTCTCCTGCCTTAGCCTCCTGAGTAGCTGGGATTACAGGCATGCGCTACCACACCTGGCTAATTGTGTCTTCTTATTTATTTGTGAGGAAGACAGAGCTGAACAAATTATATCCATGTGTGAAAATATCAATAATACTAGATTTTGCTAAGGGAGAGAGACTTTTTTCTGGTCAGTTACCATTTGAAGTAGGATCCTCCTAAGGTCTTTGTAATTCAAGGTCCTGGGCTCAGCACTGAAGAGCTGCACTGTACTGCCTCTAGGGGTCAGCATAACGTGAAGGATGAGCAAGCACAGCCACCCATTTCAGAAAGCAAAGGATTTGTAGGGTGGAGGAAGCAATGCAGTTAACTGTGTAGGTTTCCACTGAAAGTGAGGACCAGGAGTTGAGGGGAAGCAGATTCTATGCCCAGTCCGCACAGTGTTTTGGTTTGTGTTCAATAGAAAATCAGGGACCCAAATAATTTAATAATATTTGGCCTATCACATAAACTCCCTTGAAATTAATGACAGGATTTTCTTTTCTTTCTTTTAAAATTTTAACTTAAAGACTAGTGTGATAGTAAACTGACAGGATTTTCATTATACCCCTCATACATACTGAAAGCCACTTACTTTTTAAATGTCTGGACACTTTGGACTTACACCACAGAGATGTAAAACACCACAAATTGCTTCTCCCAAATGTAATGGTTTTTCTTTTTTTCTTTTGAGACGGAGTCTTGCTCTGTCGCCCAGGATGGAGTGCAGTGGTGCCATCTCGTCTCACTGCAAGCTCTGCCTCCCAGGTTCACGCCATTCTCCTGCCTCAGCCTCCCCAGTAGCTGGGACTATAGGCGCCCGCCACCATGCCCGGCTAATTTTTTGTATTTTTAGTAGAGATGGGGTTTCACCATGTTAGCCAGGATGGTCTCAATCTCTTGACCTCGTGATCCGCCCGCCTCAGCCTCCCAAAGTGCTGGGATTACAGGTGTGAGCCACCGTGCCCAGCAGTTTTTCTTTTTTTCTAATTTTTATTTTTTATTATTAAAATTAAATTTTTATTTTTATTTTTTTTGTAGAGATGGGGTATCATACCATGTTGCCCAGGCTGGTCTCAAAACTCCTGGGCTCAAGCAATTCTCCTGCCTTGGCCTCCCAGAGTGTTGGGATTATAGGCGTGAGCCACTATGCCCAGCTATGTAATGGTTTTTCAATTTGAACTTCCTATATGATTTTTATTTATTTTGAGCCAGGGTCTCACTCTGCTGCCCAGGCAGGAATGCAGTGGCACAATACTGGCTCACTGTAGCCTCCAACTCTTGGGCTCAAGCCATCCTCCTGCTTCAGTCTCTTGAGTAGCTAAGACTACAGGCACACACCACCATGCCGGGCTAACTTTTTAACTTTTTTGTAGAGACGGGATCTTGCTATGGCCTAGGCTGGTCTTGTACTGCTGGCCTCAAGTGATCCTCCTGCTTCAGCCTCCCAAAGTGCTGGGACTATAGGTGTGAGCCACTGCACTCAGCCCAAACTTCTTATTTTAAGGCTAGAATGATGAGTGGCTGGCTGGCCCTCTCTCTAAGGTAGTAAGTGGTGGGCTTTATTCTTTATACCTATAAACTAATTTATTTTATTTTATTTTTGAGACAGTCTCACTCTGTCACCCAGGCTGGAGTACAGTGGAGCAATCTTGGCTCACTGCAACCTCCTTCTCCCAGGTCCAAGTGATTCTCCTGCCTCATCCTCCTGTAGCTGAGATTACAGGCACCCACCACCATGCCTGGCTAATTTTTGTACTTTTAGCAGAGACGGGGTTTCACCATGTTGTCCAGGCTGGTCTCGAACTCCTGACCTCAGGTGATCCGCCCACCTCAGCCTCCCAAAGTGCTAGGATTACAGGCGTGGGCCACCGCGCCTAGCCACCTATAAACCACTTTATATTACCTCTGCAGACCTATGGTAAGCATACATTTCTGGGGAAACTCATTAATGAAACTCACTGCCAGTATGCTGCCTCTCAGTCACTGCATGGTGTCAATCTCAGAGACATCTGAAGGGCTAAAATATAAGCAGGGGTAATTAACAGCACACTTTGCTTTTACATCCTGGTATATTTCCTTGTGCCTCTGAACAATACAGCTGGGGACCACAGCTGATAAACAATTGTCTGCCTTGGTTGATGACTGCTACGCGTGACAATTTAACAGTGTTGGCAATCTATGCTAAAGGAAAAAGACCATTGTATTTTTCCTCTTCCTTTAAGGGGAAAAGAAGAAACAGCACTTGGGCAGTTCAGTAACAGTCTTTGGGCATAAGAAAAGAAATCATTTCTTATTCCTTACAAATTCTGATTTACAAAAGAACACTGGAAACTAAAAGCTGTGTTGATTTATCATGTGAAGCAGAGAGTAATTTTTCTCCCCTTGTTATGCTTTCATATAATCATGCTCACTACCTGTATGGGTGGCATTAAAGAATTTCTGAATAAAAATAATAATTTCTTGCTTTCAACCTTCGTAATTCACATCAGCAAGCACCCTGCTGGGTGGCGATGTCTACTGCCAGTGACGCTCAATCTTTTTTGCATGCCACTTATCTGCCTTGCACAGCTGCGTGCTCCGTTGATCGCAATACCTGCAGGATAATGCGCCCGTAGGCGTTCTTCAGCAGATTAACCACATCCGCGTGAGACAGCCCATCCAAAGGTTGCCCGTTAATGCTGACAATCCGATCTCCAACCTGGAAGTACAAAAATGACAGAAAATCACTATCATTAAGAAAAATTAAATTTGAGAAGAATGCTTAAAATTCTTTGCGAGTCCTATTTCCCATTTGTGGCTATTGTGAGGATTCTGCGTTACTACCGTGCATGCATGTTCAAGAAGCATGAGGAATTTTTTTGGCTTTCCCCAAATACAGACAAATCAGAGCAACAAGAAGGGGGTCACATTTGATTATTAAAAGGCACAGTAGGCCATTTTTGTATTTTGGTAATGGTGGTGTTTCATACAACCATTTGCCAGTAAAAGCGAAGTGTACACATCAACCGTTCAATAAAGTTCTAATGAGGAAGCCAAATATTTTCTGCTATATTTTTCTACTGAAGTTAAGATTAAGGGGCAACAAGGGGGAGAAATCATAAAAATGGTGATTCTTTTGATTGAGGGAAGACTCTAAGGTCAAATGTCTCTCAGTTGAGAGCTGATTTTGGGTGGAATGAGGTGCTTAAAAGGGTAAAGGAGGGTTTGCAAAGGGGCTGCAATTTCTTCTTTTATGGAGAAGCTTTGATACAAATAATAATATTTTTATGTGCCTGGGGACCTAATGAATTTCTAAAGGTATCAAGTTTATCTAATGCATCTTGCCCTCAGCCTGGGTCTCTGATGGCTACTGGAATTCCAACTTTAAACAAGGTGCCCAGGGCTGCAACTTCCTCTCCCACCCCAACACATATTGTTAGTCTTTCAACCAGTTCTCTCGTTTACTTTAAGCTTCTGTGTCCGTGCGGCCACTCCGCTAGCCTGAATCATGGCAATAAATACGGGGATATCTCCTAAGGGACTTCCTCTTCCTCCAGCAATACTGATTCCAAGGGCATCACTGAGCTCCTAAAAAAGGAAGAAAACATAATGCTTTTATATTTAATAAAGAGCCACAAACTGACTATCCCTAGATAGATAGCTGTTGGAACAAAATCCCTCCATGAGGTAGGAGGCCAGGATAACATAGGAGTTAAATGTGGAACCTTTGGAGTAGACAGCTCTAGCTCTTTTTTTTTCAGTTTCGCTCTTGTTATCCAGGCTGGAGTGCAATGGCACGATCTCAGGTCACTGCAACTTCCGCCTCCCAGGTTCAAGCGATTTTCCTGCCTCAGCCTCCTGAGTAGCTAGGATTACAAGTGCGCGCCACCACACTTGGCTAATTTTTTGTATTTTTAGTAGAGACAGGGCTTCACCATGTTGGCCAGGCAGGTCTCCAACTCCTGACCTCAGGTGATCCACCCGCCTTGGCCTCTCAGAGTGCTGGGATTACAGACGTGAACTACCCTACCCAGCCCCAGCTCTAGCTCTTAATTAGCTGTGGGGTCTTGGGGGAAGTTACTTAACCTTGTGAAAGTTGTCAGAATCAAAATGGAGTCATTTGTGTCAAAAAAAAAAAAAAATTCCTTACCAATAGAGCCCGGAAAGGCTATGAAGAAAGAGTTCTCAGGCTTGTATGCCTGATAACAAAAATTATCACAAAAGACTGCAAAAACCACAACCCTGCAGGAAGGACATCACAACCTTTCATAAAAAAATACTTCTACAAGTGCATCTGTCCAGCAGATGCCTGTCCAGCCTTGGGCTGTGTGTCACCCCTGTTATTAATCTTTGTAGCCAAGGATAATTATCTCAAAATAATTATATATTTCTCATTTTGTCCTCTAAAACCTTTTATTTTCCTTACCTCCCTGAATATGCACATAGTCTACTATGGCCCGCATATTCCCATTCCTGAATAAACTGGCCCGCATATTCCCATTCCTGAATAAACATCATTTTCCTTTAGAGAGCCTCTCTGTTTGTTATTTAGGCTGACTACCTCTTAAAGCCTCCATCTCTATGTATAAAATGAGAAGAATACTACATACCTGACAGTGTTGGTCTGAGCATTAAATGAGATAGTATGGCACTGTCATGGCCTACAGAAAAGGCTCAATAAAAGGCAATAGCAGGAGTAAATTAAACACACACACACACACACAACACCCTATGCAGCTCCTTAGTTTAGTGGCCAATTCCGATGCAGACTTGGCAAGTATGTTCTCATATGGTGTTTATGATTAAACTGCCACACATACTATGCTCTTCTGGGTGTGAACAAACACATTTGGCTTTAAAAGACTGCGTTAAAACAAAGGATCTGAGAGGACACCCACTGTAGTGACAACAGTTTGAAGACAGACATAAAATGTGGCTGAAAATGTTCCCCAAGACGGACTCTGGTGAAGAGACTTGGCTCTAGTCCAGTTTTTTCCCCACATTAGTATCATAGGGTTAATATTTTTAAAATCACTAAAAGAACAAATGACAAGTTCCAGTTCTGGCATGGCAGCACAGGCACGTGACAGCGTATCTCTCCTGCTGGTTACAATCAAGATGTCTAGTCAAAATGTAAAAAACAACTACCTGTGGCCTCTGAAACAAAAAGAAACCAAATAAAGTATGGTGGAGAGTCAAAACTTGGAGAAATGGCAGCAGCAGGGGAAGTTCCCAGTTTTATTTTTTTTCCTGGCAGCTGTACCCTGAAGGTGATTCCCAGTCAAGGAGCTGGAAAGGTACGGTGAATGCTAACATTCAGATAGAAATTCCATCCTTCTGGGCAGAAGAATCAAGAAAGAGGGAAAGAGAAGAAAAGCAGAGAAGAGGAAGCTGAAGAAAACGAATCCTCAATTCTGTTTGTGAACCCACAGAACTCTCAGGCTGCTTATGTGTGAGACAGACCCAAACCAGCATAGCAGAAGTTTAGAGGCTGGGTGTGGTGGCTCACTCCTGTAATCCCAGCATTTTGGGAGGATGAGGTGGGTGGAACACTCGAGGTCAGGAGTTTGAGACCAGCCAGGCCAGCATGGCGAAACCCTGTCTCTACTGAAAATACAAAAAATTAGCTGGATGTGGTGGCACGCACCTGTAATCCCAATTACCTGGGAGGCTGAGGGAGGAGAATGACTTGAACCTGGGAGGTGGAGGTTTCAGTGAGCCGAGATTGCACCACTGCACTCCAGCCTGGGTAACAGAGTGAGACTCTGTCTCAGGAAAAAAAAAGAAAGAAATTTATGCTTGGATCACGTGTGGTAGAATAGGGTAGGTAGGAGCAGGCTTTATTACAAAAGCCTGTAAAAACAAGTGGCTGAAATGACTAAGGAAATATAAAAGAATATTATTTTTGAAATCTTAGAGGAGAAATTTATGCAATAATGTTTTGGCTTTGTTTAAATCCATCATGATGTTTCCTTAATTTATCTATAATTATATATACTGTTGGTACATTTAACTTCCCCATCATAGGAACATTTGAGTTGCTACTCTGGTGGAAAAATACCGGGAACAAATAAGGCAGATTTAGTCAAAGCTGTAGCTAATAACAACAGAAGCCACTTCCTGGGCATTCCTGATGCACTAGGTGCTATGCTAAAGACATTACATTCATGACCTCATGTAATCCACACAATAATATTTACCTTTGAGGTGAGTTAGTGTTATCACCCCCATTCTACAGATGAGAAAATTGAGGTTGAGTTGCTAACTATTATAGAGCTAATGGCGTTTTTTTTTTGTTTTTTTTTGTTTTTTTTTTTTTTTTTGAGACAGGGTTTTACTCTGTCACCCAGGCTGGAGTGCAGTGGCATGATCACGGCTCACTGCAGCCTCAACCTCCTGAGCTCAAGCGATCTTCCCACTTCAGCCTCCCAAATAGCTGGGAGCTGGAACCACAGGCATGCACCACCACGCCTGTCTAATTTTAAAAGAAATTATTTGTAGAGACGGAGTTTCCCCATGTTGCCCAGGCTGGTCTCAAACTCCTGGGCTCAGTGATCCTCCCACCTCGGCCTCCCACAATGCTGGGATTACAGGTATGAGCCACCGCACCCAGCTGTACAGCTAATGTACAGGCTGAATTGGGTCCCCCTAAGATTCACATGTTGAAGCCCCAAGTACCAGGGCCTCAGAATGTGACTGTATTTGGAGATAGGGCCTTTAAAATGAGGCCAGGGTGTGCCCTAGTCCAATGTGACTGGTGTCCTTATAAGAAAAGATTAGGACATAGGAGAGACACCAGGGATGATGAGTGACACACAAAAAAGGCCACGTGTGGCTACAGCAAGAAAGTGGACATCTGCAAGCCAAGGAGGGGGGCCTCAGGAAAAGTCAAACCTGCAGACACCTTCATCTTGGATCTAGCCTTCAGAACTGTGAGAAAATAAATTCCCACTGTTTAAGCCACCCAGTCTGTGGTGTTTTATAACTGCAGATCTAGCAAACTAATGCAGCTAATAAATGGTAGAATGCCTTCAAACAGAGGTATCATTAAATCTAGAGAAGTAAGTTATGCTGGATATCACTTTACTGCAGTGGATTACCATGATTACAACAGGGTCATTATTTCTTCTTGAACCCCTCATTTAGGTCAAAGTGAGCAAAATAAAAGTCTACTTTTGGCCGGGCCTGGTGGCTCATGCCTGTAATCCTAGCACTTCAGAAGGCTGAGGTGGTCGGATCGATTGAGGGCAGGAGTTCGAGACCAGCCAGGCCAACATGGAGAAACTGTGTCTCTACAAAAAATACAAAAATTAGCCGGGCGTGGTGGTGTGTGCCTGTAGTCTCAGCTACTTGGGAGGCTGAGGCACGAGAATTACTTGAACCCAGGAGGTGGAGGTTGCAGTGAGTTGAGATTGCACCACTGCATTCCAGCCTGGGCAACACGGTGACTCCATCTCAAAAAGAAAAAGAAAAAGAAAAAAAGAGTCTACTTTCATTAGATATCATCACACAGGAGTCTGAAAATCAGGGTTCGACAAATTTATGAATGAAATACATCTTATATAATCTTCTCAAAAGGGAAATTTAGCAACATGTATAAAAGCCTCTAATAACAAGCTTGGCTTTTGACCCCCAAGTTTCATTTCTAGGAATTAATCCTGAGGAAGTTACTCATGATTTGGGCAAAAATATAAAGATGTTTTACTATAAAAGATAGCAAAAATTGAGAAATATGCTAATTGTTCAATAATAGGAAACTGGTTAAGAAACTTATAGCACATTTGGCCGGGCACGGTGCCTCACGCCTGTAATCCCAGCACTTTGGGAGGCCAAGGCAGGTGGATCACGAGGTCAGGAGATCGAGACCATCCTGGCTAACACGGTGAAAACCCGTCTCTACTAAAAATACAAAAAATTAGCTGGGCGTGGTGGCAGGCGCCTGTAGTCCCAGGTACTCGGGATGCTGAGGCAGGAGAATGGCATGAACCCAGGAGGTGGAGCTTGCAGTGAGCCGAGATCGCACCAGTGCACTCTAGCCTGGGTGACAGAGCAAGACTCTGTCTCAAAAAAAAAAAAAAAAAAAAAAAAAAGAAACTTATAGCACATTCATAAGATGGAGTACTATGAAATCGATAAAAATCATACTATATGCTCTCAAAAAATACTTATTTAGTATGTGCCACATGATACCATTTTTGTTTTATAAAACTTTACATGTACAGGTTAAAAGACTAAGATTGAAAAAATAAATAAATAAAAATAAAACTTACACATAGCACAGAATATAGTGGATGAGATTTGCCAAAAAATTCATAGAGGTCATCTCTGTGCTCTACTGTACTTTTCTAAGTCTATTTATTGATGTTATTTAGACCATATTTTTATCTCAGTAACTTGAAAGAGCACACTCACAATCCAATAAACTGTATTGGGGAAAATGTACATTTAGTGCAAATCCAACACAAACCAGAAAAATACATACAGCAAAATGACTGACTTACCCTGTTTATCTCAACAGTCCTTGGTTCCATATCTGTGCCTATAAAGAAGCAACACAATTAACTTTTTAATATTAAAAAATAATATATTTAGCATATAATATTGCCCCATGAAAAATGGTTTCATTTTCTAGGTCTTTCAAGAGAAGACACTAAAGCAAGCAGGTATTGTACCCTTCCTCAGCATCCAAGCTGGTAGCCAAGTCACCAGGGGCCATGTCCTCTTTTTTTTTTTTTTGACACAGAGTCTCGCTTTGTCACCCAGGCTGGAGTGCAGTGGCACCATCTCAGCTCACTGCAACCTCTGCCTCCCAGATTCAAGCAATTCTTCTGCCTCTGCCTCCAAATAGCTGGGATTACAGGTGCCTGCCACCACGCCCGGCTAATTTTTGTATTTTTAGTAGAGACGGGGTTTCACCATGTTGGCCAGGCTGGTCTCAAACTCTCGACCTCAAGTGATCCACCTGCCTCGGCCTCCCAAAGTGTTGGGATTACAGGCGTGAGCCACCGTGCCCGGCCTGCTGTGTCCTCTATTTTAAAGAAGTGCTCTCTGTTTGAGATCAATGTGGCCATAACCATTTGGTCTGACAAAAGTGGATGGGCTATATAGCAGCAGCTGCCTGGAACATGGTGAGTAAATGCTTGGAGGATGACTCATTTTTGTGTGTGTGTGTGGTTTTTTTTTTTTTTTTTTTTTTAGATGGAGTCTCACTCTGTCGCCCAGGCTGGAGTGCAGTGGTCCGATCTTAGCTCACTGCCATCTCTGCCTCTTGGGTTCAAGCGATTCTCCTGCCTCAGCCTCCCAAGTAGCTGGGATTATAGGCATGTGCCACCATGCCCGGCTAATTTTTGTATTTTTAGTACAGGCGAGGTTTCTCCATGTTGGCCAGGCTGCTCTCAAACTCCTGACCTCAGGTGATCCGCCTGCCTTGGCCTCCCAAAGTGCTAAGATTACAGGCATGAGCCACCGGGCCCGGCTGAGTCATTTGTGTTTCATTGTACATTTTTTTCTACCTTAATCAAAGATAACCCTCCATTCAACAAAAGACTTAAAAGGACCCCTTGTCCCACCCTGCCCCCAAGGATATACACACTTTTTTTTTTCTTTTAACTGGCCCAATTTTCCCATAGAAGGTATACACACTTCTGACCTTTCTCCAGTGACCTGTAATTTATTAATTTTCTCTTTGTAAGTAATTTTATTTTACCATGCACTCCAGCTTTCTGCTTTTCTGTTTTTCAGGTGCTTTGTGTTGTGCCACTGAAGGAATTTCTTTTTTTTTTTCTGGAGACGGAGTCTTGCTCTGTCACCCAGGCTGGAGTGCAGTGGCACGATCTTGGCTCACTGCAACCTCCACCACCCCCGCCAGTTTCAAGCAATTCTCCTGCCTCAGCCTCCTGAGTAGCTGGGACTACAGGCGTATGCCACCACGCCCGGCTAATTTTTTTTTGTATTTTAATAGAGACGGGGTTTCACGGGGTTAGCCAGGATGGTCTCGATCTCCTGACCTCAGGTGATCCGCCCGCCACAGCCGTCCCAAAGTGCTGGGATTACAGGTGTGAGCCACCATGCCTGGCCACCACTGAAGGAATCTCTATGGCTTTCCTACCTTCAGAACATGCCTTTCAGAAAGCTCAGCTTATGTGGCCAAGCTCAAAAAATTAAAAAACATTTATATTAAAGAAGACTGGTTTTTAAAAAACACATTTTTTTTTTTTAATTTGGGTAACAGGATAGTTTTGCTCTGGGTGTGTCCGTGTAATACCTGAATTTTTCTGGGAAGGATCTGAAACTCTTTTTGTGCCAACCAGGTTTTGCAGGCCAGTGATGACAGGAGCGAAGGAGGGATGACAGCTGCTGTGTGCACTCTGCTGACTACCCTGAAAGAAAGACCCAGGGGTCACCTGTGTGCAGACACTGACTTGACCCCCTAAATGCATACTTATCCATTAGTGTGCCAATTACTGATGTCACCATAACCATCTAACAGAAAATCGTGAGGAGGCCAGGAAAGAAAACAAAAATCACCCACACTATTCTCTTACTACCTCAACCCAATCCCATTTAGACATTTCCTCCATTGCTTTCTCCATTATGTGTGCTTTTGTATATGGTTTCAATCACCAAGGTGGAGACCATAGAATCATTTCAGCTGTTCTTGCTCCACATAAAATCAAAACCATTTTCCTAGGTTGCCACATAGTGTTTATGTATATATAGTCAGCTAATGGGCACTATGTTTCATTTGGGGTTACAGTCAACTTTATTACCCAAAATGTATTATGTATTTTGCTAAAACAAGTATAATAAGACCTTGATTAGCAGAAACCTGCCAAAATAGAACCCTCAATTGTGGGGAAAAAAGCACCAAATCTGAAGGGAAAAAGACTTGTTTTAGGGATATATAACATTTTTTTCTCAAAGATTTTCCTAGAATCAGTAATAATTTAGTCCAATCTGCTAGATCTCCATTACCTGTCCCTTTATTCATTTAAATGAATATGTGAGGTTAATACTGTGTAGTCTTTTAAGGCTAGTGGCTGTTCAACAAAAACTGTATACATAGTGAAGGGCCTTTCTTATGTAGACGAAAACATTGCAAATAATGAATATTTTTTTCTACCAAATTATTCTGCATCAAAATTTTAAGCTAAGCCTAAGATCACTGTTATCAGTTCATAAATTATAATTTGGTCCATTTTCTTAACTCTATGATGAAAGTTGTTTAATATTTTAATTCCTAAAATATGAAAACCTTCAAATATATAGAAAAGCTGAAAGAATTATACAATAGACATCCATATAAATAGCACCTAGATTTCACAATGAGTATTTTGCTATATTTCCTTTATCACATAGCCATTTATCTATTCATCACTCATCTTTTTTTAAAAAATTCATTTCAAAGTAAGTTGTAGATCTCAGTATACTTCATAGTGGCTATATACATTTAAAGGAGTGTTTTTATACTTTTCCTTAAAGGATATGATTTAAGTAAATGGTACTATAATAGATAACTAATCAGAACTGAGGAAGTACAGTATATTATAACTTTTGCCTTTAAAAAATTTCAGAAAGGTGTGTTTGCCAAGACCTTTATTGCATTGTATTGTAATTTTTGAGGAGTCTCCCTCTGTCACCCAGGCTGTAGTGCAGTGGTGCAATTTCAGCTCACTGCAACCTCCGCCTCCCAGGTTCAAGTGATTCTGTTGCCTCAGCCTCCTGAGTAGCTGGGGTTACAGGAGCCCACCACTATGCCCAGCTAATTTTTGTATTTTTAGTAGAGACAGGGTTTCACCAGGCTCTTTGGCCAGGCTGGTCTTGAATTCCTGCCCTCAAGTGATCTGCCCGCCTCGAACTCCCAGTGCTGGGATTACAGATGTGAGCCACCACGCCCGGCCCCAAGACGTTTATAAAAGTACACTTTGCCTGACTGTGTTCCCTTAGTTGGCTGAGGAAAAGATCTCGCAAGTATTTTTTCCTCTGTGGAGTAAGGAAATTTCTTCCTGGTTTGGGGGAAAGTCATTTTAAAAAAAGACACTTGGTGGCCCCAAAGCTAGAAGTTATTTCTCTCTTAATGAACTCACTTTCTATGAATTAAGTCAAGAGCTTATTCTCCTTAGCGCTCAAAAGAAGGCATTGATCTCCCTATTTTGTAACTGCTCAGAAGGAAATCTGTGTTCCTACAAGATCCTGATTTTTTAAATGGGTCTGGATGTAAAAATGTTTGGCAATGGAATCTTGTTTTTGCCCACCAGGGTCAGTCTTCAACTCATCATGATGGGAAGACATTTCCTTTTCACAGTCGGCTACCAGCCTTCTTCTAATTAGCCAAATAGGGCAAACTCTTCTATCTCACCCATAATTTTAAGCACAAGGTGATGATAAGATATATTTACTGTTTTTAAAAATTGAATTAAACTCCTACCCTCTGAAATTAAAATTCTGTGTAAGAAGATTAGGGCAAAGTATTTGATACTTTGTCCCAGGTTTCCAAAATATGACAACTCACATTCATATACCAGGTAAGTGGAGACGATAGGTTTTTTTTTTTTTTGATATTTAATGATGTAGCTTCTAAATTTGGTAGTTCTGTCTTTGAGTGTGAACTTAAAAATTATGAAGATGCGGCTGGGCGCGGGGGCTCACACCTGTCATCCAGGCACTTTGGGAGGCCGAGGTGGGTGGATCACCTGAGATCAGGAGTTTGAGACCAGCCTGACCAAGATGTTTTGAAACCCCGTGTCTACTAAAAATACAAAAATTAGCCGGATGTGGTGGCGGGCACCTGTAGTCCCAGCTACTCGAGAGGCTGAGGCAGGAGACTCACTTGAACCCGGGAGGCGAAGATTACAGTGAGCTGAGATCGCGCCATTGCACTCCAACCTGGGCAACAGAGTGGGACTCCGTCTCAAAAATAAATAAATAAATAAATAAGAAGATGCTCACATACATCTCTCAAGAGGGACAGAAATCCATTTCTATCCACTACCTTACCTATCGATCAGTCCAAACTTTTCTTAAATCACACAAACACCTGTTACCTCTTTGTGCCTTTGTGTATGCTATTTTCCCTGTCTGAGATGCCTTTTCCTTCTTTTCCCCAAACTCCATTTGGAGTGAGATTCAATGGAACCTCCTCTGTGTAGCTTCATTCTAATCTTCTGTATACAATAAGGCTTTAATGAAATCATTCAACAAAGATGAGTCTTCCATTAAGGAAGAAGCCTGGCTAGACAACTGTTTCGTTTGTTGATATAAGTCTGGTCAATATCATCACTAACTATTAACTCATGGAATCCTACAGCAGCACCATGTCTTAGATATTTGCTGCCCATTATGTAAGCCAGAAATGAAAAAAAAAAAAAGTGTTTCAAACTTAATATGGTGTTTATTGGGTTTGACTGCTTTGAAGATTCCCTAAGACAAGCCAGCTAGTCTGTAATCCTATCTGAACAATGGTATTTTCCTCACTCATTTTTTAACACCAGTGAGGAACAGGAGGCAGCTAATAGCTTTCCAGAAGTAACTGTGTGCTAACTGTAAGATCAGAGCACCTTCTGAACAAAGGCCTTGGAGAGGCTTCAGAAATAAGGCAACCAGGGAGGGGACCAAAAGTCATGCTTTTAACCTCAAAACTAAGGCGGCCTATCCATAACCCAGAGAGGAGACTTAGGGGTCACATATAAGTTTCTATAGTCTCATTATGTACCACATGGGGCTAACCATACAGTCTACCATCTTGATTTTGTCAGCCATTACAATGAAAAAAATATAGTGAAATATACTTTGCTAAAAAAAAATGGCACTTACATCAGCTTTGCAAATAAATATAAGATGTTTGCTAACCCACAAAATATCACCCACTAAGCCCTCCCTCCCACAGGAAAAACCCCCACACTTGGTTCTCCTAGGAATATGCCATTAATTGCCCTCGGCATGTGTGAGTGGCTAGTCACAAGTTAACTTTATAGCAATATTTAATTGAATGAATAGAACAATGTTGTGCTAATGAGGGTCAAATTGCCACCAGATGTTGCCTTTTTTTTTTTTTAAATAAACACAGCTGTGTACATGCGTGCATAGGCAATATAGAACTAATAGAGAGAAAAGAGCTTCCAAGAAAACATTTGCAAGCAATAAAGGAGAGAAAAATCTAGGGATTAATGAATTTCCATCCCACCTTTCATTTTTATTTCAAACACATGAAAGTTCACTAAACTTGGTGCTGTGAATATGCTGTACATTAGATATTATTTCCAAACAACCATTTATTAAATGGGGAACTTTCTCCCAGTGGGGGCAGAAGAGTGAGTCAGTCTGATGAGAAGCCATCGACAACCTGACTGTTCTGTGATGTCGTCCTTGCGGAGGTCCAGGAACCAGCTCGGAGTCTTCCAATCTCTAGCTGCACAAGTCCCTGTGCACACTTGGAAAGGCAAGAAAAGAACAGAAATGAAAAGTAGTAGCATTTATATTCTGAAATATCTTAACAGAGCCTCTCCCTGCAGCCACAAATTATAAAAGGGTAATGAAAGCAACAGGCATAGCCCTAGAGAGAGGAGGATGAATTCTGTGGCTCCTGGAGGGCCCATCTCATCAAATGCATTTAAAGAACAGTGATGGATACTTAGAATTCTCACAAGTATGAAAAACTTGCTTGTGAAATCCCAAAGCAGGTTCCCTTTCATTCTGTTAGTCAATATAACAGAACTTTCTTTTAAAGCTATTCTGGCTCATTTAAAATAATCAGAGATTAAATTTCTAGTAAAAACTAGAGTTAGTATAAAATCCAACCCATTTTATAATCAAGCTAGACTGGAACAGTTCCCACTGGACTTCAGTTGTGCCAGCTGGGTAAAAAGCAGCCTAGCAACTCACCTTGAGGATGGTGGCCACTGTCTCCTGTGAGGCATTTCTCATGTCCTCCCCATTCACAGATAAGATCTGATCTCCCTGAATCAATCTCCCATCCAGGTCTGCGGCTCCGCCTTTCACGATGTCAGAAATAAACACTCCGCTTCCATTTCTGTTAATACCATACAGCAGTGCAGTATTGGCACAACCTAATATTTCCATGCATAATACGTGTGTGTGTGACAGGATGCACACACATATATGCTCCTTTCTTCTTCCAGTTTTGTTTTCTTTTTGTTTCTTTCATACCTTGGTAATTTGCCTTTATCAGCACTTGGAGCTTCCTCATTTTTTAAATAGCTACATACTATTCTATGATGTTTCATAATTTCACTTACCAGTAGCTTACTGATGGACATACAGGTTATTTCCATTCTTTAACTATTGCAATGAGCAATGAATACTTGTAAGTATATCTTTAAGATAAAGTCCTGGTGATGGAATTGTTAGTCAAAGAAAATAGTGACTTTTGAGAACTATACATCTCATCCTTTACAATGCAAGTTTTTGTGCTAAGGAATGTAAATGTTCCTTACAAACTCAACCTGAAATACTGACATTCACTAAAAGCAAAAAACATTGCTGTAAATAAAACCGCACCAGGTATACGCATGTGTCAAAACAAGAAAGCAAACTTCAACACTGGCTCTGTCAGTTGCTCTGCACCCAGATGTGCACTGATTTTTGTTTAGAAATGTAAGAGACTCAGCTTTTTTTGTTTGGTAATGCATTTTCAGAGTGATGGTTCTATGGTGCTGAAGTAAAAAAAAATGAAATTATGACAGCACAATACTTGGCCCAAAATCAGTACTCAAAAATTGTAGCTAATATTTTTATTTTAATAACAGCTTGGCCTGCTGGACAGACACTAGGCTAGTCACCAGAGGTCTGTGAGGGCATATAACATAACATGCATAAAAGCAACTTGATTTCTTCCTTAACAAGATGGTTGATACACTTTAAGGCCATATTAGGATATTACCTGGAAATCCTATAGCCCTGTTGGGATAAATACATACTAGATACCTAAAAGCCAGTAAACCATGGAAGCTAGGCTTTGTTTCAAGCTATTACTTACCTTTCCAATTCACTGCAAGAGAAACTTAGTAATATTATCCTGGAACAAACGACTGTTAAGCAGTATAGACTTCATTTTTCTTTATTTAAAAAATTTTTTTAGAGACAAGTCTTGCTATGTTGCCAGACTGATATTGAACTCCTCACCTCAAGCGATCCTCCCAACTCAGCTTCCCAAAGTGTTGGGATTATAGACGTGAGCCACTATGCCTGGCCTAGGCAACATATACCTCTTTTTATTTATTTATTTATTTTTGAGATGGAGTTTCGCTCTTGTTGCACAGGCTGGAATGCAATGGCGTGATCTCAGCTCACTGCAACCTCCACCTCCCAAGTTCAAGCAATTCTCCTGCCTCAGTCTCCCAAGTAGCTGGGATTACAGGCGTCTGCCACTATGCCTGGCTAATTTTTTGTATTTTTTAGTAGAGATGGGGTTTCACCATATTGGTCAGGCTGGTCTTGAACTCCTGACCTCAGGTGATCCACCCACCTCGGCCTCCCAAAGTGCTGGGACTACAGGCATGAGCCACTGCATCTGGCAGCAACATATATTTCAAAAGAGTAGCCTGGCCACTAGGATCTACCTACCTACATTTTTGGTGCAAACTATTACTTTGGGGACATCTTTCTTTTTTCCTTTTCTTTTTTTTTTTTTTAATTTACAGATGGGGTCTTGTTATGTTTCCCAAGAGGCTCAAGTGCAGTGGCTATTCACAGGCATGATCATAGCACACTATAGCCTTGAACTCCTGGCCTCAAGTGATCTTCCCACATAGCTGAGACAACAGGTACATGCCACTGTGCCCAGCAGGACATTTTTCTTAATAGAAAACTACTATCGTGAAGAATTATGTTTATCTCTTAACTATGTCTACTCAACTAGTTTCAACATAGTATGAAATTAACAGTATCACGAAAAGCAATGTTCCATGTTAATTTCCATGTCGAAGCAATGTTCTTGACCCAACATTGGATAAATCTCATTCTTGATGCTAGCTATTTCTTGGGTATGGTTGCTTTAATCAACCTCTGCAAAACTCCGATCTTAGTAATTCCAAGTGAAAGAACCTTGCTAGTTGTTCTTACTCTGTACAGAAATATATCAGTCTGGATTGATTGGACTTGGAGTTCTATCTTGATATGACAATTTTTCTGGTAAGACCTTGCTCAGAAATATGACCCATGTTGTCAAATTTTCATAAATATCTTATTTTTAGAAATCCCATCACTACTTTACATTAGGCTTTCTCTTTCAGTGTTCACAGGCATCAGAGCTCTGGATGAAAAAGGCAGATCCCAACTCCCACAGCACGTCTTTACCGTTTCCCAACGATGCTCAGGCCCAGGCCCCGGCCAGCTTTCTTCTGCAGATCCACAGGGAAAATCTCCAAGTTCTCCTCATCCCGGTAGTGTGCCTCATCTCTATACACCACCAGCCGCACCTTCTGGGGGGTCTGCCTCAGGGCTGTGATGGCTTCTTCGTGGCTGGAGTTCCTCAGGTCAACCCCATTAACCTGGAACAATGGGCATCCTGAGCTGGGCTGCTGATGGCAGAGGTCTCTGCCTTCTCTGTCTGCTGAATCTCCTTGATCTAACCAGTAAAGAATCTCTAGAAATTTCCAGCCAATCTCAAGGCAAACAGGTAGTGACCACAAGCAGTATGAGCTGCTTTGAATATAAAGGAGATGGCCCTTAAAATATCCTACCCAACATGTGCACAAAGGGTGGATACATGATAATGCAATTTTACATAGCTATAAACTTTACTGTGAAATCAATGAAAGAGACAGGAGAGTGTGCATGCAGGGACTTAACTAGCTCATTTAATTGAGATAAAAGGGAAATAACTATTAATGTTTAGTCAGCATTTTTAGATTCAGTTTGCTTATTGGATATGACATCTTCACTCTCATTTATTTGTTTATTTTTTTAGATAGGGTCTTGCTCTGTTGCCCAGGTTGGAGTGCAGTGGCATGAATGCTGGCTTACTGCAGCCTTGACTTCCCAGACTCAAGTGATCCTTCAACCTCAGCCTCCTGAGTTTCTGGGACTGCATGTGTGTGCCACCATGTCTAGCTAATTTTTTAAATTCTGGAGAGATGAGGTCTTGCCATATTGCCCAGGCTGGCCTCAAACTCCTGGGCTCAGGTGATCCTCCTGCCTCGGACTTTCAAAGTGCTGGGATTACAGGCATGAGGCACCATGCCTGGCTGACATCTTCACTCTTATTTGCTCACATCACAACGACTTCATAACAGGCCCAGAAGGAGATGAGGGAACAGTATTTCCAACAGCATCCAAGACCCCTTGAAGTCTTCTCACTGGAATCTGGTTCTCAGTGAGCACAGACAGGACCATGCATTAGAAAGCAGTGTACCGAAAAGAGCACTGAGTAAAGCCAAGTCATGTAATCTCTGAGCCTCTGTTTCCTTTTCTGTTAAATAGACATTATAGCCAAATTATTTATTCTTTAACTTAAATACTTCTGCAGTGCTTGTGTGCTAGTCCTTAATGAATATTTACTCATTTAATCCTTATACTAACTCTCTGAAATAGATATTGTTATTATCACCATTCATAGAGGAGGAAACTGAGGCACACAGAGGTTTAGGGACTTGACCCAGGTTACACAGCTAGCAGGTGGAGGAGCCAAGATTGAAACCCTTCCACCCTCAGTTCCTATTCCATGCTGCCTCATCATTAACTCTTAGAATGGGTTACTGGAGATCCCCTGTCACAAAGAAAGTCAAATACTGACATTGGTTAGTAAATTTGATATGAGGGAGAAATCGAGGAGCAGAGTAACCTTGGATTCAAAGGAAAGAAGTCAGAGGTGGTGATTCCCTCAAGGTTGCAGCTAGGAAAAGAGTCAAATGAGGGGAAGGATAAGTCCAGCCCACCAGGCAGATGGTAGAGTGCTTGAGCTCCCCCAAGATGTCAGTTCCATTCCTTATTCTGGTCCAGCCCTGTGTGCTACTGGAAGGTCAGGCCAGCCTCTGAACCTTTGTTCCTTTATCTGTACAATGAAGCAATGGTCTAAGGCTTTTTCTTTTTTTCTTTTGAGATGGAGTGTCACTCTGTCACCCAGGCTGGAGTATAGTGGTGCGATCCCGGCTCATTGCAGCCTCCGCTTTCCGGTTTCAAGCAATTCTCCAGACTCAGACTCCCGAGCAGCTGGGATTACAGGGATCAGCCACCACGCCTGGCTAATTTTTGTATTTTTAGTAGAGACGGGGTTTCACCATGTTGGCCAGGCTGGTCTTGAACTCTTGACCTTAGGTGATCCACCAGCCTTGGCCTCCCAAAGTGCTGGGATTACAGGCGTGAGCCACCGCACCCGGCCCCCAAGGCTTTTTTAATTCTAACATTCTAAAGACTAAGGACCAGTGGCATAAAGAATGGTTACGGGAAAGGAGAAAGGAAGAATGAACCCTTCTTGGAGAAGGTGACTTTTGAACTGCCATTTAAAACTGATTCTGTGAGCCAACCAAATGTTTAAAAGCCTAATTTCCAAGCTGCTGTTTATTTTCTGGTATATCTTGGTGGCTTGTGTGTTCACTTAGATGAGCTACATCCAGAATAACAGTGGTAAAGAACATGGGTTTTGGGCTGGGCGCGGTGGCTCATGCCTGTAATCCCAGCACTTTGGGAGGCCGAGGCAGGCAGATCACGAGGTCAGGAGTTCAAGACCAGCCTGGCCAACACAGTGAAACCCCGTCTCTACTAAAAATACAAAAAATTAGCCAAGCCTGGTGGCAGGCGCCCATAATCCCAGCTACTTGGGAGGCTGAGGCAGGAGAATTGCTTGAACCTGGGAGGCGGAGGTTGCAGTGAGCAGAGATTGTGCTGTTACACTCCAGCCTGGGCAACAGTGTGAGACTCTGTCTCAAAAAAAAAAAAAAAGAACATGGGTTTTGGATATAGATGCACTTCAGTTTGAGTGCTGATTCCAACTTCCTGGCTATATGAAACCCTGTGTAAATTACTTAAGCCAAACTTTTGCCATGTCATCTATGAATTGGAGGTAATAATATTTACTTAGTGTTGTGAAGGTTAAATGAAATAAACCCTGTAAATCATTTGGCACAGGGCTTGGCACACAGTTATATCCAATGTAAGTTAGAAGTTGGTATTTTACAAGGAATTGAAGTAACTTCAGTGAAGGCTGTTTTTCCTCTCAGCATGATCATTCACTGCTACTTTAGGCCAATGAATACATTTTCATTGTCTGTGAATGAAACACAAAGAGGAAAAGTGTATTTCCAGGAAATGTGGTCTGAGTTATTTTCCTGTATTCCAACAGATGGCACACAAGACCACTTCTGTCACTCAATAAAAAAAACCCAGTTACCTCTATGGGTTGAAGGTGAACTTTCTAAGCCTCTAAATACTGTTCGAAAGGCCCTAACAAATATACTTTTAATTAAAAGCATTGTCATTAAGCTCTAATATTACAAAGCAATTTCTATTAAATTCCAGCATGACGGTATCTGCTCGGATGGAAGTGATCTAAGTTCATGGTTTCCATTTGCTCCTCTGAGAATCAGGAGATACCACGAAATGTGCCGATAATCATGAGAGAAATATCATGGCGTGGCTAGAACATTGTGGGGAGATGTATTATGTAAGTGCCTTACAGAAGCACAGTATGCATTATTTAGAACATTGGCTGTAGAGGAAGAGGGGTGGAAATAGCAGGGCTTCCTATTTGAGAAGAAAGGCTCCAGGAAGACCCAGTAGTCAAAGGGAGACTACCACATCCCTTGGGTGGAAGGGCCATGTGGGGAAGTGGGTGAACACAGTTCTTGAGAAGGAAAGAATAACAAAGCTAGTGCAGCAGTTCCTCCACATTTTATTGCATAGGGAAAATCAGACGTTAACTCTCTACTCTCTTCTGCTCCCACTTGCAGACTGCGGGGAGGGTATGAGAAGGAACTGGCCTAAAAGGAGAACCAGAAAGGAGACACAGCTGACGCTCATCATATTAATAGAATCATAAATCTTGCCATGCCAAAACATTATTCGTCCCTATCTTTGGAAGCAAAATCTGGCATGTTCTAACCTTAACATGAGGATAGTATTAAAACCATGAAAGGCCAATTTGCGGAATGCGGAGGACTCTCACGAGTGCAAAGGGCATTGTTTGGGAAAGTGCTGATGTAGTGTTACGCTGTTTCATGGTCTCAAAATATCCCACGAAAACAGGCCTGTCTTCTCAAGGCCTCCTGTGGGTCACAGGCTGCCGATGCCTCATCACACATTTGTACTCATCAGCCACAACCAGAACCAGTCCAATGTGAATTAGAAAGCTGTTTAGAAAGGAAACACGTTCCCTGACCAAACTGAGAGCTGTATTTCTTAGCTAAACAAGTGTTAGACTCTCATGAACTAGACCTTGTCTGAGGTAAGAGAGGAGCCTGTACTGGCCATCTTTAATGAGACGTATAGGCCATCCATTCAGAATAGATAATATAATGCTGCCAGTTGCCAGGAAACTGTTAACTTGATTTTTGAAAAATTCTCCTCTCACTTAAAATAAATTTGCTTTATTCAGGTTAACCTTTACTGGGTGTTTGCTTGTACTTGAATATACTTTATAGAAGAGAGCAGCTACAGAGGGTCTACCTAATACAAACAGAAATAGTTTAAAAAAATCCTTATTGAGGTATAATTGATATAAAATAAACTGCACAAACTTAAAGTGTACAATTTGATAGGTTTTGCCAGATGGGTACTTACACCTGTGAAGCCATCACCACATTCAAGATAATGAACATGTTAGATTTAGTTTCAAGTGACCATTATAACTTGCGGACTTAGAAATCATATAAGTATCAAGGCATATGTGCCATTTTAAATATTTAATCTATTCATCTTAAAAAGCCAATTATGATAACACCAATTGATTTGAAAATCTAGGGAGGGAAAAACAAAGAAACCCCAAACTCCTGACTGCTAAAAAACCATGTTGTATGCTAAGGCAGTCAAGCCAGCTCCCAGAGAGGTCTTGCTTATTTTTCTAACCTCATACACTTGTACCTTAATGAATGTACTGGGAATATGTCTTAATCCAATGATGAAACACAGTAAAGGCCTGCAGAGAAATCCTGTAACTTGGGCTGAATTTAATTTGCAATCAGCCTGGCCTCTCCTTTAACCCCTTCTCGCCTATGTTTCCTGCCCTTAATTATATCTCTGGTTTCATCTTGGGAGGCAGAAATGAACCACCAAAGGGAAAAATAAAATTCTATGATGTCATTTGTAAGTGCTATATTAAAGTTGCAAAGCAAAAATGCACATGCTCACCATAAAATGCCAACTATTCAATTAAGTTCATTCAATGAAAAAAAAAAAAACGTGGCCTAAAGGTTTCACACCATCGAGAAAGCTCTTTAGTTCCACCTACCAGAACGCCTGGCATCGCCTTCTCCTTCAGCCATTCCATAGTGCAGACATTGCCTGCTTTGGTACTTTTTAAAAGGCTTTAACAACTTTGCTAAATGAGAGTCAATTTGAAAAAGTTAAGCATTTCAATTTTTAGTAAGCATCATAGGGGGAAGATTTTACATTTTCATCAACTTGAAAACATTGGTGGCAAGGCATGAACTTCCATTTGGCATAAAGATTTATTAAGATTAAGAAAATATGATTTAAGCTGCCATAAAATCTTTAAAATATCAGGTATATATGTGTATGTGTATGTATCTATATGTATGTGTTTTTAGGAGGAATTTAGTAGGGTATAATGGAGAGGCAAAAAATTTGCAATATTATATAGTCTCATTTGATATTAAAATAATAGACCCATAAGTTCTATTTTTCCTTTTAGTTAAAAAAAGTTTTCATAGACAAATGTAGATTGATAACCTGTCATGATTCTAAACCACTGTATAATGTACACTGAAGAAAAAAAGAATATGATAAGTATTTTGTTAAATGGGAGAGGAATCAGTGAAAATACAGTTGAGTAGAAAGACAACTTTATGGATCGAGACCAGCAAAGGAACCACATTTACTGATATAAAATAAAATTCAAAACCATATACCTCTAATATCTGGTCACCAGCCCAAAGTCTTCCATCTCTGGCTGCTGCCCCTTCTTCATAGACTTCATGGATAACTATAGCATTCTATAAAAAATAAAATCTTACTCATTTTCAACAACCACAAATGCTTCCTTAAGCAAACAACCAATAGGCAGCAACCCATAATTTTCTATTTGTTAATAATGTTATATTTTATCTGACATAAAGATAAACAATATACACAGTTATGATATATTCAGAGGTATAATTAAATTTTCCTAAGATTATTATTTCATTCCTTTAAAACTGGCTCTGCCTAATACTTCATGTTAAAGTTCTTCCATGTGTTTTACTGTTAACCCTGTACATTGCTGCTGTGTATGAACTTGAGGTGAACTATGTGTCATTCTTATTTACATTTTATAGTGTATTTTGAAACACGGTTTCAGGTATTTATTGGTATTCTAGGATTTGGCATAGATGTGTGGCCTGATGAAGGAGGTTTTGCCAGGCCTTATTACTTGGGCAATGAAAGAAAAGAACTTAGTGGAATGAATGGGTCCTGGAGGAGAAGAAAACAGGAGCAGGGGAAACAGCATTCATGGACTTAAGTGTGAAACAGCCATGGGTTCAAATCCTGACTCTGCCTTCTTGTAATCTTGGGCAATTAATTCCTCTGAACTCAGCAATCTGAGCCATAAAATTAGGACAACAATATCTACTGTAGGTAAGCTTTGGTTGGGAAAAGTGTTTCATAGTTAATGAATTAAAAAATAATTTGTATCTCTTCAGATTCATAACCTTAAAAATTATTTATCATCATAAAAATGACATGTACCCACGTATAGGATTCAAGTAATACTACCACAGGTTGTTGCAAAGCACAAAAATAGACTGCTTCCCACCCAGACTCAGTCCCATCAATCACCACTCATAGTTTCCAAGGATCTCTCCAGACAATTCACATTTATGCACCCAAATATTTATATATTTTGATGAGAGACTATTCTAAAAATATTAAATTGAGCTTGCCCACCCTCATCCCCCTCCTGTTGAGCAAGTAGTCAAGCTTTGAAATTCTTCGCTTTGGGGATTTTTGTGGAGCTGAAAACTGAAGTAACCAGAAGTCATTGGCTCTTTCTGTTTTTAATAGAACCGAAGAGTGCTGAATGGATTATGATAGGTGTCTTAGAGGGCTGCTGAGAGAGGGACACAGCTTCTCCTTTTTTTTTTTTTGAGATGGACTCTCACTCTGTCGCCCAGGCTGGAGTGCAGTGGTGCCATCTTGGCTCACTGCAAGCTCCGTCTCCTGGGTTCACGCCATTCTCCTGCCTCAGCCTCCTGAGTAGCTGGGACTACAGGTGCCCGCCACCACGTCCGGCTAATTTTTTGTATTTTTAGTAGAGACGGGGTTTCACCGTGTTAGCCAGGATGGTCTCAATCTCCTGACCTTGTGATCCGCCCGCCTCACCTCCCAGAGTGCTGGGATTACAGGTGTGAGCCACTGCACCCAGCCGAGAGGGACACAGCTTTTGAGTGGAGATTAGAAACAGAGGTCTATGGGTCCCACAGTGGGGATTTGAGTCCTGCAGTGCCCAGGGTCCTCCTATTCCTTGCCCCCAGTGCACACACACAGGTTTTAAGACCCTGCTGGCAATGGTCAAGGGCTGACATCTTTGACACTTGTCAGAGCCTAGAGGCTGACACCTATAGGACCCCAGGCATGAAAGAAGTCAAGCAGCAGGACTTCTGGACTTGAGAGATCTTATAGGCTTGGCCAAGAATAGGCTTGATGATGAGCAGGCAGTGCTGATGGCAATGACCACAGGGGCGTCATCAATGTCTGGGTGTTTGGTTGGTACCCTTTGGAGTTAACGAGCCACCAAAATGGCTGAGGTTGAATTTCACCTTAGTCCAGAAGTATGGAGCCTCAGAATTAAGTTCATATGAAGTAAAGAAATGAATATTTCTTGCAAAAATGTGACAAGATAGACAAAATACACACACCTACCCACACTCACACCCACACCAAACCTTGTTTGTTTGCTTTTTAACTTAAAAAATTTTTTTTGAGATTGCATCTCCCTTTGTGGCCCAAACTAGAGTGCAGTGGCTCAATCATAGCTCACTGCAGCTTCGACCTCCCGGGCTCAGGTAATCCTCCTGCTTCAGCCTCCCAAGTAGCTGGGACTATACGTGTGCACAACCATGGCTGGACAATTTTTTTTTTTTAAGTAGAGATGGGGGTCTCACTATGTTGCCCATGCTGGTCTCAACCTCCTGGGCTCAAGCAATCCTCCTGCCTTGGCCTCCCAAAGTGCTGGAATTACAGGTATGAGCCGCTGTGCCCAGCCATATATATATATATATATATATATATATACACACACACACACATATACACATGTATATATGTGTGTTTGTGTGTGTGTGTGTGTGTGTGTGTGTGTGTGTGTGTGTGTATATATATATATATATTTTTTTTTTTTTTTTTTTAAGAGGAGTCTCACTATGTTGCCCAGAACTCCTGGGCTCAAGCGATTCTCCTGCCTCATCCTGGGAGCTGGGACTACAGGCATGTCCCATAGCACCAGGCTTACTTTCTATTAAAAACAAAATAACAACAGAAAAACAAAAAAAGGGCTTCTATACAAATTCCACAATAGAGAAGCAACAAAAGAAAACAAGAGGTCTATAACTAAATAACCCATCTGGATTCCAAATACTTTTACAATGCTAAATACCGTACTTTCATTTTATCACTATACAGTTCTGAAAACATTCTTTATTACAGCAATTAGAGAGGCAGCCCCCAAAAGCCAGGAAAAGTTTCTGGATCCAGACAATTTACATTTCAGATTCTGTACCAGGAATACATTTTAGACCTTTCTTTGTTTTAACTCTGATTTATGAAATTTCCAGACCCAGGGAGTGTTTACACTGCTAAGAGTTTGTTTCTCTGAACTGTTTCAGGGGAATGATTTGGAGGAAACTTGCGGGGTCAGTGGCTTGCGGTGATCCCTGCGACACTAATGAGATCCTACCAAAGGTCATTTGTATTAAGGTAGTACGAGGAGAAACTAATGCAGACTCCTGGTAGCACCCTGTAATGATACTGGTTTTCAAAGTTTGGTCCCCAAATACCCTATTTTCACTGGATTGAAAGAGTCACACACTACACTCGGACTATGCATGGCTTTTACAGAATTTGATTTTCAGCAAAAACTCCTTTGATCTTGGAACATTACAAAAGGCAAATAGAAAATTTCTGTTCACTCGTACTCAAAAGAAAGAAAAGACCCCCTTGGAATTTTTATTCCATAAAAGCGGTCTGAATTCAAAATCCTTAGATATTTTCTGGCGCTCAATGAACTATCCTACATAAAGGATGCCAGTGACCCTAAAGGAATAATATATTAATAGTTTCAAATGCTGAACTCACTGCAAATGATCCATTTTTAGTCCGTAAGTCTTTCTGTATTTAAAATTCTCCATTTCTTTCTTTCTTTTTGTTTGACTGCTACTGTAATTCCTCTTAAAGTTATTAGTGAAGGCTGGGCATAGTGGCTCACGCCTATAATCCCAGCACTTTGGGAGGCCGAGTTGGGTGGATCACTTGAGGTGGGTGGATCACCTGAGGTCAGGAGTTCGAGACCAGCCTGGCCAACATGGTGAAACCCCGTCTCTACTAAAAATACAAAAATTAGCCAGGCATGGTGGCACGTGCCTGTAATCCCAGCTACTCGGAAGGCTGAGACAGGAGAATCACTTGAACCCGGGAGGCAGAGGCTGCAGTGAGCTGAGATCACACCACACTCCAGCCTGGGCAAGACAGAATGAGACTCTGCCTCAAAAAATAAAAAAATAAAAAATAAAGTTATCAGTGAAGATACAAGAAAATACGAGACACTGTGACCTGTCAATAGAAAACGGCCACATTTCTTTTTTTGTTTGTTTGTTTTGTGTTTAATTCATCTAGTGTATTTAGGGGAAAAAAAGGCCACATTTCTTATTGTGTGCCCCTGTAGTCTATGAAGCTGTGGTTCTGGATAATTACATTAATTGGGGGTGAGAGGTGGAAGGTGGGGACCAAGAGCTAAATTAGAAATGTGGGCTCGTGAATTCAAAAGAAAACCTGATTTATGTTTTAAAACATGCAATTCAGAGAGTGGAACAGAAGAGTAAAAAAGATACTGGGTTGGGATATTTTATGCATCTACTTTGTGAATAGATGGAATAATAGGTCATTAATGAAAGACTGACCTTTATTACTTTAAATTAAAAATTTGGTGTTGATTATGCATATGATGCTTATCTCATCATTGGATATCCTCCTAAATTTTAATGCTCTTGAATTATTCAAGCAAAACTGCAGCTCTGAGTGCCTTCTCCCCTACCCGCCCTCCCTTCCTATCTCTGCATATGTAAATAACATTCCAAAACCCAAGACCTCAGTGACTCCAGCCTACAAATACCAGTGATTTCTAAAACTCATCTATTCCAAAAGCAGTCCATTAATCAACCCACTCTGCAGGTGGCTTGCTGGCTCACTCTGAAGACAGGCTATAGAGGCAAAGGATTATGAGCTAGGCTTCTGGAGTCAGACTTCTTTGGTCTAAATCTTGGCCCTGCTACTGTTGGCCGTGGGACTTGGGGGGAAGACTGTTAACCTCCCCAGGGCTCCGCTTTTTAGATGGTTTTAACAGTATTATCTACCAATAAGGCTTTACGTACAGTGCGAGCACACAGTAAGGAAGCGATAGATTGCTTTTTTTTTTTTTTTGGGTTGAGACAGAGTCTTACTCTTTTGCCCAGGCTGGAGTGCAATGGTGCAATCTCGGCTCACTGCAACCTCCACCTCCCAGATTCAAGTGATTCTTCTGCCTTGTTCTCCCATGTAGCTGGGACTACAGGCATGTGCCACCATACTCGGCCAATTTTTGTATTTTTTAGTAGAGATGAGGTTTCACCATGGTGGCCAAGCTGGTCTTGAACTCCTGGCCTCAAGTGATCCACCCGCCTTGGCCTCCCAAACTGCTGGGATTACAGGCATGAGCCATTGCACCCGGCCAGGTAATATTTTTAATAGCACCTGTCCATTCTTATTTATTTTACATCTATGTGCCATAGATGCTACACACTTCCCATTTGTCCAATTTAATCCTCATAACAACTCATCAAATTCAGTGTTATTAGTTCCACTTACAGCTGAGGAAACGAAAGCTCATAAGGGTTCAGACTTGACTAGGTCTCTGCAGCTTCTAATTAGGAGAGATGAAATTCCATCTCAGGATTGTTTAACACCAAAGCCTGTACTCCCACCACGATAGTAAGCTTCTCATCTGTTTTGAATATTTGATTTTGTACTTGTACAAAAGCTAGCTTGGGATTTTCCATATGGCATCAATTCTGTTGAAATATTGTCACCTCAACTCCACAGCAGAAACTTGAGGGCGTGAGTTGATTATTTTACAGAGAGTGAACAAAAAGATGACTTGTGGAAGCAGAAGTTGAAGCCTTTGACTTAATGAGGCGAGGCGATGATCTGTAGATCTCACTAGCTAGTGCTGGCACATGGTTAGGGGTTTGCACTACAGAAAGCATGATGCATAGGCCCCCTCCCAATCTCCAACAGAGTCCCTCTCATTTGTTATTCTTTTTTTTTTTTTTTTTTTTTTTTTTGAGACAGGGTATTGCTCTGTTGCCCAGGCTGGAGTGCAGTGGCATGATCTTGGCTCACAGCAAAGTGGGCCTCCTGGGCTCAAGCAATCCTCCCATCTCAGCTTCCCAAGTAGCTGGGACGAAGGCGTGTGCCACCACACCTGGCTAATTGTGCTTTTTCGGTATTTTTTGTAGAGACAGGGTTTTGCCTTGTTGCCCAGGCTGGTCTTGAACTTCTGGGCTGAAGTGATCCTCTCACCTCAGCCTCCCAAAGTGTTGAGATTACAGGCGTGAGCCACCACCACGCCTGGCCCATTTGTTATTCTTATCTCTTTCCTTCCTTACCTTCAGCTTTTCAGTCCTATTTCTGTGCACCTATATTATTCACTTAATGATTTTTTTCTAAGACAAATACAAAATATTACAATAGATACAAGTGATACATTGATGTTCAAAACAAAAAGTTGTTTAGCCCAAGAAAAAAGATTAATTTCTATCAATTAACGGCACAGAACTGAGGATCATTTATAGGTGATCAAGACTGACAGAGTCAAAAATGAATTTCCTCCTGGTAGTTGTGTGATTTTCACTGGGACAACAGAAATGTAAGTAAGATGACCTGTTTATTTACTGCTTCAGACAAGACCAGTGATTTCCTTTTGAACGTTTTATTTATTTATTTATTTATTTATTTATTTATTTGAGACAGGGTCTCGCTTTGTTGTCCAGGCTGGAGTGCAGTGGTGCAATCTTAGCTTACTGCAGGTTTGACCTCCTGGGCTCAAGTGATCCTCTCACCTCAGCCTCCTGAGTAGTTAGCACTTCAGGCACATGTCACCATGCTCCGCTAATTTTTAAATATTTTGTAGAGACAGGGTCTTGCTATGTTGCCCAGGCTGGTCTCAAACTCCTTGGCTCAAGTGATCCTTCTGTCTCAGTCTACTAAAGTGGTGGGATTACAGGTGTAAGTCACTGTGCCCAGCCTGGATACTTTAAAATTATTCATTTGACTTGCCAACTCAAGAGCCAGTGAAGAACATAATCAGTGAAAGGGAGAATCTCCCAAATAGTGGTTTTCTCATAGCCAGAAGGGTCAGACAGGATTTGAGAGACATGGGAAGTCTTCTGCTTAAAAACTTCTCCCTCAACAGTCTGTCTGAAACACCTTTAACCAAGGAAAACTCCCTTTATTCCACAATTAAACACTTAAAACATCAAATCTTTATAAACATTTAAAACATTAAAGAAAAAATGGACAACCAGGAAGAAGTAGCTGGCTAGCAAATTCATCATGTTGCTTAAGAAACTACTATCTTTAGGCTGGGCACAGTGGCTCACGCCTGTAATCCCAGCACTATGGGAGGCTGAGGCAGGCAGATGACCTGAGGTCAGGAGTTTGAGACCAGCCTGACCAACATGGTGAAATCCCATCTCAACTAAAAACTCAAAAATTAGCTGGGCGTGATAGTGCGTGCCTGTAGTCCCAGCTACTCAGAGGCTGAGGCAGGAGAATCACTTGAACCTGGGAGGCAGAGTTTGCAGTGAGCCGAGACTGTGTCACTGCACTCCAGCCTGGGTGACAGAGCGAGACTCTGTCTCAGAAAAAAAAAAAAAAAAAAAAGAAAAGAAAAGAAACTACTGTGTTAACGTCTCCATTCCTAAGAGAGTATTTATTTTTAAACATGGATAATGTATGCACATGGTACCATACTCAAAATAGTATTCACTGATAAGTATCTCTCTAGCACTTGTTCCTCAGCCACCCAATTTCTCTATCTAGAAACAAGCAGTATTAAGTTTTTTGTGTATTTTTGTGGAGATTTTCCATATATCTATATTTGAAGTATAGGCTACCAAGTGCTTGAGGGTTATGCTTTCTTTTATCTGCTACCTCCTTTGTTTCATGAAATTCTACAAGTGCCACCTCTTCTATAACACCTTCCCTAACTCCCTCCCCTGATAAAGTTGATTGATCCTTCTTGTGAGTCACCACTACGTAAGTTCATTAGTACCACTGAACTTATCACAGCATCATGAATGTCTGTTCAGGGCTCTATGTCTTGCGCCACCTCCCATCCTTGATGGAAGCCTTCAGGACAGAGGCTGCTTCCAACTCATCTTTTTATTCTGGTGCCAAGTCCAGAGTAGGCACTCAATAAACATTCATTAAATGATTGTCAAGAAATTGGTTGGAGATAGATAGAGGTTACAATGACTCAGAAAGGGGAGGCTGGAAAAGTTAGTGTGTCATAATCTTACTCCAACCAAAACCAATTGTATGGTATGAATGTACCCTCCAAAATTCATGTTGAAATTTAATTGCCATTGTGACAGTATTAAGAGGTGAGACCTTTAAGGCGTGATTGGGTAATGAGGGCTCTGCCCTCAAGGATGGATTAATGCTGCTATCTTGGGAGTGAGTTCCTAATAAAAAGAGTTCAGCCCCCCTCCCTCTCTGCCTCATGTGCTCACTTGCCCTTCAACTTCTGTCACAGGATGATGCAGCATGAAGGCCCTCACCAGATGCTGGCTCCATGCTCTTGGACTTCCCAGCCTCCAGAACTGTGAACCAAATACAATTCTTTTTTTAATAAATTACCCAGTCTCAGATATTCTGTTATAGCAGCAGAAAATGGAGTAAGACACCAAGCTTCTGATGGTAAAATAATAGTGACACACAACCAAAATACCCATCACAAATGGATTTTAAATCCATTGAAGTTTCCAGAGGATTTACTTTAGCTCAGAGAGCAATTTAAGAGAACCAAGTATTAAGGACTTAATTATCACTGAGCCCCACAAAAATCCCAAACTCCCCCAAGGGGATTTAAATTCTGAATTGTTGGAAAAGAATTTCACAACATGCAATAGTATATCCTTAGACAGAGTCAATGTCACCAGACACTTCAGCTCATCAATCACCATTTTTATTGTTCAAGCTGCCAACAGGTAGATAAAGTAACTCATAAACACACCAATCATTCAGCAAAAGGCAACCTTATTGTCACAATAGACTCATAACACTTAAAGAAGCCAGGTGTTAGAAAAATTAACTAAGGGTCTCCTGTGGGCTGAAGGATATCAATAAGTACCCTTTTGTGGGTGAACTATTTTAGTAGATGAGATTTTACATTTCTAGATATTTAGTAGATTGTTTTAACAAGCATTTTAGGACAAAACTTTGACAAATAATCATATGTAGATACTATTATAAAGAACTATGAATACACGGCTTAATTACACTGCTTGCAGGCATGTTTTACTTAATTTGATCACTACTCTGGAATTAAACTCAATCTTTGCCATACTCATAAAAGTCCCTACCTGCACTCCCTACACATACAAAAAAAATCCTAAGGGACATTTTAACTACAGAAAAGTTTCACATTAAATCTCACATTGAGGTGAAAAACATATTCACCAGTGATCCAGAAAGAGTGTTATGTCTTATTACCCTGCATTAGGGGAAAAGTCCCTCCTAACAAGAAAAACCCATGAGGACCAAAAAAAAAAAAAAAAAAAAAAAAAAAAAAGTTGGAGATATTGTATACAAAAAAATAGTCATATGTTTTCCTTTGAAAAAAACTATGGTTTGGATCTGTGGCCTTGGAGGAAGGATGTAGCTTTTAAACACCATTTAATAGTTTTTCCCCTCTATGGCTGTCCCTGTTCAGAAATCATAAAGACAGCCATGTCTTCTACACAGTAGATGACTTTCTCAGCAGGAAAGCCGTAAACCAACGAGGGCTGATAATATGGCGGAGGTGGCAAAATCCTCAATCTAGTGCTGTGTAAACCAAAACTACATCCAAATCTACACTGAAAAACACATGGTTATGCATTAAGTTACTGATTTGTGATGTCTACTACAGTTATAGAGTTTAAAAAGAAAGGGTTAGGTTAAAACTTTTAAAGTATATTTCACTTTGAGCAAAGCTGATAGACCCCAAACTGTATTTATATATAAAAAAGGATTCAGTTAACAGAGTAGAATTAAAAAAAATAAAAAAAATTTGAATGTTTTAGAACACGATTCTTTTCCATCCTAAAGCCTTTGTGACCAAATGCTTTAAAAATTTTAAAAAGCTTCCCTATTATATTCAACTAGAATGTGATTTTAAAAAAATGTGCAGTAGTCTGTGAAAGAAAAGACTCAGGACTGGGGGGTCAGAGGAATTAAATTTTCTGACAGCTCTGCAGGTAACCAACTGGATCAATTTGTTCATGACACTAATATTACCAGTAAAGCACAGAGTTGAATGAACTACATGACTTTTTTTTTTTTTGAGACACGGTCTCACTCCGTTATCCAGACTGGAGTGCAATGGCACAATCTTGGCTCACTGAAACCTCCACCTCCTGGGTTCAAGTGATTCTCATGTCTCAGCCTCCTGAGTAGCTGGGATTACAGGTGCACACCACCACACCCAGCTAATTTTTGTATTTTTAATAGAGATGGGGTTTCGCCATGTTGGCCAGGGTGGCCTCAAACTTCTTTTTTTTCTTTTTTCTTTTTTTTTTTGAGATGGAGTCTCCCTCTGTCACCCAGGCTGGAGTGCAGTCGTGCAATCTCGGCTCACTGCAAGCTCCACCTCCCAGGTTCACGCCATTCTCCTGCCTCAGCCTCCCGAGTAGCTGGAACTACAGGCACCCACCACCATGCCTGGCTAATTTTTTGTATTTTTAATAAAGATGGGGTTTCACCATGTTAGCCAGGATGGTCTCTATCTCCTGACCTCGTGATCCACCTGCCTCGGCCTCCTAAAGTGTTGGGATTACAGGTGTGAGCCACCACACCCAGCAAGCCTGGCCTCAAACTTCTGACCTCTAGTGATCTGCCCGCCTCCGCCTCTCAAAGTGCTGGGATTACAGGGGTGAGCCACTGCACCTTGCCTGAACTACATGACTTCTAAAGTCATTCCAGTTCTAAAATTCTAGGCCTCTATGAACCCAAATGTTGTGTAGAGTGAAGCAGATAAAGTCACTGTTTTATACAGATATTTAGGTCCTACCTAAGAATAAGACCTCCTTCTAAATGGTAGGTCAGAAGAATCCTAACTCGCATAGGTTGAACAAGATATAAAAGCTATGGAGGCTGGAGTCAGACTCTGTTTTAGTTACCTTTGGCCGCAAAACTTAGTGGCTTAAAACAACTATTTATTTGTTTACAATTCTATGGGTTTGCAATTTAGGCTGGGCTCAGCTGTGCAGTTCTTCTGCTTTACATTATGTTGCTTGGGTTCTGAAGTGAGCTTGCTGTCAGGTTAACCCAGGCTGGTTGTGTCCTGGATGGCTTTACTGTCATGTCTGGGGCCTCAGCTAGAATGGCTGGGCCTCTCTCCCTCCACGTGGTCTCTCCACATGCTGTTTCATCCTCCAGGAGGCCAGTCCAGACTTCTTCACAGGGTAGCAGTGTTTCAGGAGAGCAAGAGCTAAAATTGCAAGGCCTCTTGAGACCAAGGCTTAAAAGTCACACAATGCTACTTTTGTCACTATTGGTCAGATTGGATTCAAGGAATCTGGAAAGAGCTGCATAAAATTTATAGTCTTTTTTTTTTCCTTTTTTTAAAATTTGAGACAGCACATATAGCCAGTTTCAATGTACCACAGATTCTATCAAGGTTGCCAGAGGAATTTTCCAGCCTGCAAACAGTGGAAGGCAGCAATGTATGCTGGGAAGAGTACTGGCTATGGCCAGATAAACCTGTGTTCAGATTTTAGCTCTGCCACCTATCATAGATTTATGATACTTCCATTAAGTTATTTAACCTCTCTGAGCCAGTTTTTCTGCCTCTGCAAAATGGAACTAATAAATCCCCCCTTTTAGATTTTCAGGATGAGATGGGGTTATATGCCAAGTAAAGTGTCAGCTAAATCACAGGTATTGAGTAATTGCTCATGAGAGCTCCTAACATAGATACTAAGTTTGAAGGGGCATATCTAGTATATAAAACATCTATGTTGGGCCGGGCGCAGTGGCTCACGCCTGTAATCCCAGCACTTTGGGAGGCCGAGGCAGGTGGATCACCTGAGGTCAGGAGTTCAAGACTAGCCTGGCCAACCTGGTGAAACCTCGTCTGTACTAAAAATACAAAAAGTTAGCTGGGTGTGGTGGTGGGTGCCTGTAATCCCAGCTACTTGGGAGGCTGAGGCAGGAGAATCACTTGAACCCGGGAGGAGGAGGTTGCAGTGAGCTGAGATCGCGCCATTGCACTCCAGCCTGGGTGACAAAGTGATCAAAATTCATGACTCTAAGGATGAGTGACACCAGTCTTGTCCATTTTTTTCATTTCTAGTTTTCCTGTTATTATGGTGATCCCAAAATATAACTGAAATATAATCTTTCAAGAAAGATTATACTACAAGGATATTTTAGATTATTTTTCCCAAGTCACAGACTACTCAGGATTAAGCTCAAAGGACCATGTGAATGCCAACAAGCTCTAAGCCAGACTGCAGGAGTCTCATTCCCAGACATTTTGATTTTTCTTGGTCAAGTACAATCCTCACTGATCATGGATTCCATATCTGTGAATCCATCTACTCCCTAAAATTTATTTGTAACCCCCAAATCAATGCTCTCAGCACTTTTGCCATCATTCTCAAATGTACAGTGGTAGAAATTTGAGTCTTCTGATTTCCTTTTTCCCAGCTGGAGTTGAAAAAGGTGTTACTTTGCCTTCTTGTTTCAGTTCCCATACTTCTTGTTTCATGTTGTTTTGCTTGCCAGCTGCATAGTTGAACAGGTAAACAAGAACCCTTTTTGTGGTCTATTTAGTGTCTTTTTTTGTTTTAATTTTTGTGCTTTTTCTGTTTAAAATGGCACCCAAGCATAGTTCTGGGGTTCTGTCCAGTGTTCCTAAGTACAAGAAGACGAGGATGTGCTTCATTGAGAGAGTATGTGTGTAGATAAGCTGTGTTCAGGCATGAGTTTCAGTGCTGCTGGTCATGCATTCAATGTTAATGAACCAACACTATATATTAAACGAGGTGTCTTTAAGCAGAAACATACATAAAGCAATGTTGAAAATGTTGACTAGAAGCTTGGAAAAACCTGCCTCTGTATTTCCCCTAGCAGCAATGGTTCACTCTTCACTAATCAGTGTTTGCCTTGACTTTATAGAATACAACTCCTGTGAACAGTGAGAATCAGCTATAATTCCTACTGTTGCTTTTCCCGGGTGATACTTTACAAAAAAAAACTGGGAAGCACAATGTGAAAGGCAGAAATGCAGACAAATGCTTTCTCTAATAGAGTTGACAGGACTCATGTTGACAAAGGCAGTCCTTGCCACAATGAGGCAGGGGTTGATGAATCCAAGGATGAGAAACTTAAAAATGCATTTCCTCTATGCTGTGGCATGTATTTTTATGCTTATATGTCAATGCATTTTGTGGATCTATATTTTTTGAACCAATTACAAAGGTAAAATGCAGAGATGATTCAAGATGAGTTGGAAAGTTACTTATCTTCTCCACCTTTGGACCAAGAACTTTTCTCTTCTTTGATATAAAGAGTTATTTGGTATCACCTCATTGATTCATGAGAAGCAAAAGATTAAGCACTACTTAATTTCAGTATCTCACAAGAGCATGCAGGACCTGAGGCAGAATGTAGTCAATCGAAATTATACTTACTTTAAGATAATTTTTTTCTTATTTTAACAATTTTACAATTTGGATGAATCTAACACTCAAGTGTACATTCAATCTACTACTTTCCCACCATGGGTCACGATAAAAGATTATTGCCTTTGAAGATACACAGTGTTTGCCGAGCTGATGTTGTTTTGCCTGCCAGCTCCATAGGTTGAACAGATAATTGTTTCTGTTCAGAAAACCTGAGGGACTGTAGCTGTAGAAGGGAAGTCAGCAAGGGTCAAAGGAACTTACTGATCATACTTGAAATCATAGTTTTAAAAAATCTGGATACTCTATTTGGTTCACAAATAATAAATTAGTTTACTGCACAGATTTTCCCCAAAATCTCACAACACAGTCAGACTTCAGTTGACCCTTACAAAACTCTGCTATAAAATAAACACAGAGCTAGTCTATATATCCTAATATTCATTTACAAAATCCCTCAAGAAGGAAGAAAATGGATCATAATGTTCAGTACCTACTGTTTTGAAATATTTGAAACATTCTCAGCTAATAAACTATAGATAACGTAAGTGGGCATTATAACAGCAATAAATAATGGTGGCTCTTTTGACATAAAAAAGATTAAATACTCACTTACACTAGAAGAAATAACACTAACATCTCTGTGTGTGTGTGTGTGTGTGTGTGTGTGTGTGTGTGTGTGTGTGTGTGTGTTGAGACAGAATCTAGGTTAGGTTCAGTGGTTCATGCCTATAATCCCAGCACTTTGGGAGACTGAGGCAGGAGGATTGCTTGAGCCCAGGAGTTTGAGACCAGCCTGAGCAACAGAGTAAGACCCTATCTATATCATTATTTTAAAATATAAAAATAAAAAAAAGAGAAACAGAGTCTTACTTTGTCACCCACGCTGGAGTGCAGTGGCGGCACCACAGCTCACTGTAGCTTTGAGGTCCCAGACTTAGACAATCCTCTTGCTTAGCCTCTCAAGTAGCTGGGACCACAGGGCACACACCACCACACCTGGATAATTTTTAATTTTTTGTAGAGACAGGGTCTTACTATGTTGCCGGAACTGGTCTTGAACTCTGGGCCTCAACTGATCATCCTGTCTTGGCCTCCCAAAGTGCTGGGATTACAGGCATAAGCCACTGTGCCTGGCTGTGTGTGTTTTTTAATGCAATGGACTATGCAAGCAATCCTAAAACCCAAACTCAGGGATTGCAAACTATTACATATATTTACAGGTAACTAATATGTGAAATAAAATCACAGCAATACATGGCTAACATAAGAACTGCTGTAAATATATTAAAAGGTTTTGCATTTCAAGACTGAGCAAGTTTTCTCTTCTTAAGCTCAAAAAAGAAATGGCTTTATATTTATTTAAAATGGAATTCCGTTACCCAAGTCTTCATTTAACAAAAAGTTGATACTTATCAATATGAATATAATTTTTCATACAGAAATATAGACTTATTTTAAGGAAATGGTATATGATTTGCATTATATTTTATAAATCCCCACAGTTCCATTTGGTTATTATTTATTAAATTTGACTTAGCTTACATAATATTTTTGCTTATATTCATATTCTTTAAGACCAGAAATGTCCAAATCTGGAATTCAAAGGTACTATTCATTAACATTCTTTCACTGTGATTCATAGACTTTTTGCAAACTCTGCTTTGATTTTAAAATAAAACTAAGGTAATAAGATGTTTTGTATAAAAATATATGACTTAAGCAATAACAATAAAAGGAGCTTGGCTTTGGTGGATCACATGCCAAAGCAAACCACACTCCTCATGAAATAGACCGTACAAAGTTCACGTCAGGGGGAATAACAAAATAAAACACTTAATCAAATATAAAATAGCTTTCTATTCTGCTTATTTAAAAAATATCCAGTGGTTTAAACTGCTGTAGTCCTACGTTTAAATTATCAAAAGCAGTACCAGAATGCAACATGATGAGGGGTTAAGTGAGGTCACTTCAGAACAACATATGGTTATAGCTAAAGAACAGGTATTCTTTATTTCAATTTCTAGATAGATGAATTTTGCCACATAGTACCCAAATGGGAGAGTATGTCTACCATGATATTTCTTGCTAACGTAGCTGCCCTATAGAACTTCTGTTTAATAAGAATGAATTAAATTGGTATTAAATCAGGTGATTGAAAAAAATGTGGATTTGAAACTTGGAGAGAAATGACAAGATTCTAACTCTCGGCTGGGCACAGTGGCTCATGCTTGTAATCCCAGCACTTTGGGAGGCTGAGGCGGGCGGATTGCCTGAGCTCAGGAGTTTGAGACTAGCCTGGGTAACATGGTGAAACTCCATCTCTACTAAAAATACAACAAATTAGCTGGGTGTGGTCGCGCGTGCCTGTAGTCCCAGCTACTCAGGAAGCTGAGGCAGGAGAATCTCTTGAATTTGGGAGGCGGAGGCCGTAGTGAGCCAAGATCGTACCACTGTACTCCTGCCTGGGTGACAGAGCGAGACTTGGCTCAAAAAATAAAAAAATAAATAAATAAATAAATAAAAGTCGTTTTCTTGCCAGGTGCAGTGGCTCACACCTGTAATCCCTGTACTTTGGGAAGCTGAGCCAGGTGGATCACCTGAGGTCAGGAGTTCAAGACCAGCCTGGCCAACATGGCGAAACCCCATCTCTACTAAAAATACAAAAATTAGCTGGGTGTGGTGGTGGGTGCCTGCAATCCCAGCTACATGGGAGGCTGAGGCAGGAGAACTCCAGCCTGGACGACAAGAGTGAGACTCCGTCTAAAAAAAAAAAAAAAATTCCAACTCTGACATTCGCAGGACTTTTTATCATTAAGAATATCTAAATCTAAAAAGAGAATAGTGCTTGAATCACATTTTTTTTTTTTAACAGGCAAGGTCTTGCTCTGTTGCTCAGGCCGGAATGTAGTGGTGCAATAAAAGTTTACTGCAGCCTTGACCTCCCAGGGTCAAGCCATCTTCCTGCCTCAGCCTGCCAGGTAGTTGGGACTACAGGCACATGCCACCATGCTCAGCTAATTAAAAAAAATTTTTTTTGAGACAGGGGTCTTGCCATGTTGCCCAGGTTAGTCTCAAACTCCTGGCCTCAAGCAACCCTCCCATCTCAGCCTCCTAAAAGTCTGGGATTACAGGTGTGAGCCACTGCACCTGGCCTTGAATCACTTAATTTAATTTTCTTTCCTTTTTTTTTTTTTTTTGAGACAGGGTCTCTGTTGCCCAGCCTGGAGTGCAGCGGTGCGATCTCGGCTCACTGCAACCTCCGCCTCCCGTGTTCAAGTGATTCTCCTGCCTCAGCCTCCCAAGTAGCTGGGACTATAGCCACGTGCCACCATGCTCAGCTAATTTTTGTATTTTTAGTAGAGACAGGGTTTTGCCATGTTGGCCAGGCTGGTTTAAAACTCCTGACCTCTGGTGATCCGCCCACCTCGGCCTCCCAAAGTGCTGGGATTACAGGCATGAGCCACCCTGTCCAGCCTATTTTATTTTTTTTTAAAATAAGAGATGGGGTCTCACTATGTTGCCGAGGCTGGTCTCAAACTCCTAGGCTCAAGTGATCCACGTGCCTCAGCCTCCCAAAGAGCTGGGATTACAGGTGTGAGCCACCTTGCCCAGCCAAATCACTTTTTTAAAGTTTGATGTTGAAAAACAAATATGCAATTGTCTAGGAACAAAGCCACATTTCACTGTCCAGGTAATATACCAAAGACACACAGACAAAGTTAAGGATCTACTTTAATACAAATGTTTATAATTAATAATAACTGAACTCAGTTTAAATAGGCACTGGGTAAAGTTCTTCATATTCATTATCTTAATTAATTCACATGACAATCTTAAGAGGTAGATTTTTGTTATCACCACAGTGGCACAAATGAAGAAGCAGATTTAACTTAGAAAGGCTGTCATTTGTCCAGAGTCCCACAGTTAAATATCTAAAATTCTAATGCCAAAGAACCAGCATCATTACTCTGCTATGGTGCCTTTTAGGTTTGGTAGAACACATTGTCTATAGCCTGGGATCTCTGGCAATGGTATCAGGGAAGGAAAATGCATAGAAAGAGGGTCCTAGAGACCTCATTCTCATTCATATCCTGGGATTCACAGCCTGGGATCTCATTCATAGCCTGGGATCTCTGGCAATGGATCTCAGGGAAGGAAAATGCATAGAAAGAGGGTCCTAGAGACTGCATTCTCATTCTTTCTCCACTTCATTTGTTCAATTCCAAAAACAGTTCAAGTCTGCCAATAATCCAAGATAAAGGATTTAGTTCTGAAGTTTTTCTTCTCTATAATTCCCAAGCCTGATAATAACCCCAGTGAGTGAGTCTGGAGAGCTATCTTTTACTTCTTCTGAGGGTATTGCTGATAAAACTTCTAATCAACGAGTATACATCTCTGAGAAGTGGACATTGAAGGACATCAGGGAGGAGTTTAAGGAATACGATGCAAACATCAGAAAAGGTAAGAGGCCTTGGTCTTTCATTTGACAGAGTAGGATGAGTTCTCTAAGCTGTAGGATTTCATGCAAATTCAACACTCCAACAAGACCAGAGGGGTGGAGGGAGATAGAAGACAGGAAGAAAGGATGGACTGATGGATAGAAGGAAATAAAAATTATGAATTAATATACTACCTCTGATATCCAATATGCCTTATCTGGCTTCCCGGCTAATAAGAAACATAACAATAGCTTATATTAATTAAATCTAGAAAGTGGATGCCATGGCTCTACTCTTTTCTGGCTTCCAGAGGAAGCCCCTATTTTAATAGTCATTATTATGACTTTTCATTGGTTTACCTCCTATATTAGACCATAATCACTAAAAGTCAATAGAATTAACTTGAACGACTGTGTGAGCTCTTCTAGGACAAGGTTATCTCACTCAATCTTGTATCCTTAGCACTAAGCAAAGGGCAGCCTTTGAGCAAACATATGCAACCTATCACAGAAGAGCCGCATCCACCAAAGGCAAGCCTGGGAGCAACATCACAAGATTAAAACAACAGGCAGAAGTCTGTCATTGAGGATTGGGTCCAGGTGTGCTTGTAAACCTTCCCAAGAGGTTCACCCTCATCATTACCTCGGCATTTTAAAAGGTCGATTTAAATACAATGGGATGCTAAGTGAGATCTCCCTCTGTGATCTCAGAAACCGTCTGTCTTGGCTCCAGAGAAACTATTTATAGCAGAGAGGACTGATGTGGTGTCAAGACCAGGTTCCAGAGACTTAACTCCTCTAAAGACAGCAAAAATATCTTTTGGACACACAACAAAGAAGACACAGAAATCTTAATTGGGAGGTTTGGAGCAGATGTTAAGAAGGGTCACCAGAAGTCAGGACATACTCTTTCCCCATGCCAGAGCTGGAGTCAGGATGCATCACTTAACCAAATGTGCGAAGGTTCTTCTGTAGTGAGTCTCAATGTTTTCCACCATTTCGCTTTGATATGCTCTCATCTTTGTTTGCTAACTTTCTGCTAGCTGGATGCCATCCCAAGACCTGACTGGAAAATGTGACCTATGGTATCAGTTAGGTTGCACATTCCATGTCAAAATTTGGAAGGGGAAAAAAAAAAAGAAAAATGAAAGATTTGCATTGTGGTAAATAATAGCTTTATTTGTTAAAGTGCTTTCCAACCCTCACTGTTCAGCCTCACTGAAATGACAGACAGGCCTATATATTTCTCCTGAGTCTAACTTATGGCTTTTGATGAGGTACCTGAGGTTAGGAAATAAAAGCTGTGTCCCATCCCTCATTTTAAAGTCATGCTTATCCTTCCAAGGACAATGGGATTTACAGTCTGAAAAGGCAGAACTATATATTACGAACCTCAAGAAGCTCTTGATTTTTTTTTTTTTTTAGCTGCCTCACAGTGGCAGGGAAAGGAGAGTACAGTATTTAGCAAACAGCCTCACATTCCTTGCAGGAAGTGATGGAATTCAATGGAAACCCTCAAGCTATCAGCCACCAGCACAAATGAATGCAATATTGAAGACCCAAGAGCAGCACAGAAGACACATCTCGTTCAGGTATTCCAACCAACCCAGGTAAAACAAAGTCAGATTAACAGCGGCAAAAGCAAAACCACAACTCATTCAGCTAGGCTGGACGTGCTGATGAAATTCTTCCGATTTCCTATGGGAAATCTATTCCCATATAAAAAGCAATGTAAAAAGACTTTTATTTACAAAAGTAATCAAAGGTTAATTTTCTGTTATGAAGGAATTCACTACAGAATTTAAACTGTAACTTCCCAGGATTATTGTTTTTAATATTCATGAACACCTCCTCGGGAAAGTGTGGAAACACGCCTTGGAAGCAGCCATCACCCAATGTTCAGGGTCAACCAGTAGTTTCTGAATATATATATATATATATGTTCTATATATTCTATATATATATGTTCTATATATTCTATATATATGTTCTATATATTCTATATATATATATTCTACTGTTTATAAGATATCTGATCCTCACCATAACTCAACAAGTCAGGAATATTAAGGTCATTTTGCATATGTGAAAACAGAGAGTTGGAGAAGGTATGTGCCATGGGCAGTGGCTTACTGTGTGCTAAACATCCTATGAAGGTCATCTCTTTGATCATCCTAGTAAGTCTACAAGGTATTATTATCTCTGTAAATAGAGCAGGAAATAGACTGAGAGGTTAAGAAGTCTGCCCCAGCTAGTAAATGGTAGAGAGGGAATATGACTGAGAGCTAAAAGAGAGGAATGGTCAGCATCACCTCTGAGTTTGGCTGAAGACCAATCACAAAACCCAGGGAAGACTTCTTTGGGAAGAGTGGCTTAGAGGAGGTAGAGAAGCTTGATGGGAGCGGAAGGAGGGCAGAAGAGAGCAAATTCAGGGGAGCAGGGCAAAGTCCGAGATGCTGGAGTGCATATGTAGGTTTGGGGAACGATGGTCTGGTCTGGTCCTATGTTGGTGGTATGTGAGACTTTCTACATAAAGTGGGAGCTAGCTGGGTGGCTGGCGCTAGTCAAAGTGTTTCTGTGAACTGCTGAGAGACCAGATGACATAAAATTACAAAGAATTGGCTGGGCGTGGTGGCTTATGCCTGTAATCCCAGCACTTTGGGAGGCTGAGGCAGGCGGATCACCTGAGGTCGGGAGTTCAAGACCAGCCTGACCAACATGGAGAAACCCCGTCTCTACTAAAAATACAAAATTAGCCAGTCATGGTGGTGCATGCCTGTAATCCCAGCTACTCAGGAGGCTGAGGCAGGAGAATCGCTTGAACCCGGGAGGCGGAGGTTGCGGTGAGCCGAGATTGCACCATTTCACTTCAGCCTGGGCAAGGAGAGCGAAACTCCGTCTCAAAAAAAAAAAAAAATTACAAAGAATTATTAAAAATACGATTAGAAGATACAGCGCAGACCAAATTCCTGTATGTATGAAGCCACACAGCAGTTCCTGCTTGCAAAGGCAAGAGGAGAATTCAGGACATAAATTTTCATGAACTCCAGAGAAAAATGTTAACAGTACTTTTATCAAGCAGAAGGAGATAAAATCCTTTCAGGTTCAGGTGAGGTGGTTCACTAGCAGGGTGGGGCTCAAAGCCAGGATTTTCTAGACGGGGCCCAATGGTAGGAAAGGGAAGGACCATGACCAGCAAACATGTAAAAGGCATTAATGATAGGGACAGGAGGCAGAGAAATTCTAGGCAGACATGGGCAGATCCCCAGCAAAACCCCACCTTTGAGCCGAGAAGCCTGAAACCCTTGGTCCAAAGTGATAACTTCTATCCCTGTTTGCCTGCTGTCTCCTGATTGGTTCTTTCTGAATAATGTCTTTTTACCAATCGAATGTTGCTTTTCCCAAAACTACCTACGGCCCGCCCCGCCCCCCATCCTATGCCTACAAAGATCTCAGACTCAGTTGGTAGAGGAGAGAAGCAGCTTGACTGAGGAGAAGCAACTTGACTTTAGAGGGATGGCTGGACTTTGGAGGAGAGACAGCTTAACTTTAGAGAAGAGCCAGCTGGACTTCAGGGAAGACTCTCTGCCTGTGCTGTCCCCTCTCCAGCTCCCCTCTCCACTGACAGCCACTTCCGTTGCTAAATAAAATTCTTCTTCTCCACCATCCTTCAAGTGTCTGTGCAACCTAATTCTTCTCGGACGCCGGACAGGAGCTTGGGACTCACCGAGTGCGGGTACCCAAAAAAGGCTGTCACACTGGCCCTTTGCCCTCCCTGGTGGGGAGCAGCTGCCCCATGCAACAAGGCAAGGGGCCCACTGAGCTGATAACGTACCGCTGTCCACGGACGACGGAGGTTAGCATTGTAACACACTCTCTGGGGCTTCAGGGGTCGCAGGCACCCCTACCTGGTCTGGCCGAGGGGACCCCACAGAGCCTGCTCCTGCCGGCACCCAAAGCAGCCAGCTGGGTCCTGCACTCGCTCTCTCATGAACTCCATCCTACAACAGGCTGAGCGAGGCGCTCCAAGTAAACAGTACCCCTGTTGCAAGTCTGATGAAGGGGTCAAGAGAAAACTCCTGCATCATCAAGACCCTGGTTTCTATCGCCTATGCTGTTCTTGAGTTTCCTAGTGCTTTAGGGAACTAATATTTATTACACAAAAGTAGATTAGGATCTCCCCACCCCCAACAGTACTACCACAAAAATGTTACATTACTGCCCAATGTGGAAAAAAATAGTTTTATAGACCCTGATATGTTTGTTTTATCTGGCATGTACAATTTATTGCTTACTAAATAAAATGGGCAAAAGAAATACCAAAATATTCATTTAAAACATATTCATTAACAAGAGTGATTGTCTCTAGGGAGTCGCCCTGGTTTTAGGTAGTGAAGGGCAGAGCTAGGGCAAAAAGGTAGGAGGGAGATTTATTTTTCACTTTTTTCCTTTTATGGCAACTTAACTTTGTATAAGATGCAGGTATTACATACACACACACACAATTTTCCTTTTGTATCAATTTAACTTTGTATAATATGCAGGTATTAAACACACACACACACATACACACACACACACATGCATTAATTAATCACATCTTGAGTAAATCAAAACCCAGGAAAAGTTTTCATTTTAATGGCGCTACTGAGCAGTGATAAACAAAAGGTATTGAATAATGAAAAATCAATCATCCTGGCCAGGCACAGTGGCTCATGCCTGTAATTGCAGCATTTTGGGAGGCTAAGGTAGGAGGATCGCTTGAGCCTAGGAGTTCAAAACCAGCTTGGGCAACATAGCAAGACCCCATCTCTATTTATTTAAAAAAATAAAAAACAATAAAAAGTCAATCATCCCAGGAAACACTAATATTCTACACCGACTTCTAAAAAAAATTATGAGTAGATATGAAAATGGTCAGTGTAAAATGAACCCTAAATTGTTAGGCCGGAATAATTCATGCATACCTTTTTTTTTTTTTTTTTTTAAACAGAGACAGGGCCTTGCTCTGTTGCTCAGGCTGGAGTATAGTGGCATGATCATAGCTCACTGCAGCCTCAAACACCTGGGCTCAAGTGATCCTCCTTCCTCAGCCTCTTGAGTAGCTGGGAATACAGGTGTGTGCCACCATGCCTTGCTAATTTAAAAAAAATTTTCTTTGTAGAGATGAGGTCTTGCTATGTTGCCCAGGCTGTCTCAAACTCCTGGCCTCAAGCTATCCACCTGCCTCGGTTACCATGCTGGCCTGATGTATACTTTTTATCTACAATTCCATTAAATAATGATGATGAGAATAACAACAGTTCCTACTTACTGAACACTTACTATGTGTGAGGCATCCTCTTAAATACTTCTAAATGCTGCTGTGATACTGTTGGTCTAATAAGTATTTATAAAAATATTCAACATCCTAGATGGAGAAAATCCTGATGAAAGTTTTTTGTTTGTTTTTTTTTTAAGACAAGGTCTTGCTCTCTGTCACCCAGGCTGGCGTGCAGTGGCATGATCACGGTTCACTACAGCCTCGACCTCCTGGGCTCAAGTGAATCTCCCACCTCAGCCTCCTAAGGAGTGGGGCTAGAGTGCAGTAGCACGATCTCAGCTCATTGCAGCCTCTACCTCCTGGGTTCAAGTGATTCTCCTGCCTCAGACTCCTGAGTGGCTGGGACTATAGGTGTGCACCACCATGCCCAGCTAATTTTTGTATTTTTAGTAGAGATAGGGTTTCACCATGTTGGCCAGGCTGGTCTTGATCTCCTCACCTCAAGTAATCTGCCTGCCTCAGCCTCCCAAAGTGCTGGGATTACAGGCGTGAGCCACTGTGCTCAGCCCACCCAGACAATTTTTGTACTTTTTGTAGAGATGGGGTTTCGCCACGTTGCCCAGGCTGGTCTTGAACTCCTGGGCTTAAGCGATCTGCTTGCCTTGGCCTCCCAAAGTGCTGGGATTATAAGTGTGAGCCACCGCGCCCAGCACTGTTGAAAATTAAACACTGAGAAAAACTTGAAAACTAGCTAGACTATGGATGCACATCTATTTATAATCACATTTTCTCCTCATACTATGAAAAAGGCAAGTCTTGCAGAGTTGTGGCGCAGGGCCAAAATTAACCTCAACAACTAGTTCTATGACAGTGGATACATTTTATTTCTAGAAACTTACCAAGGGTGTGTCTTTTCCTCCCACAATGCTGAGACCAAGCCCTGAACGTCCCTTGGATATTTCTATAATCATTTCCTGTCCAGGGACAATGGGACACGTTGCGGGGTCCACTGACAGAGGAGCCTGGAAACCACCTGGAAAAGAATTGAACACAGCATGACTGGCATGTAAGAGCTGCAGCTCAGCCTGCACGTTCCATCACGTGGGGAGTGTGGGGCTTGCATGTGTTTATCACTGCACTCTTTTCCTGCCAAACACCATGAAGCAAAAAGCTGGGTCATTCCTGCCTCTTCAGCCAGGGATGACACTGCTGAGATTAAAACGATAACTCCCACCCCTCAACCCATCAATTTTACTTGAAAGTTTTAAATCTTATTTTATTTATTTATATTTTTGAGACAGAGTCTTACTCTGTCGCCCAGGCTGGAATGCAATGGTACGATCTCAGCTCACTGCAACCTCCACCTCCTGGGTTCAAGCAATTCTCCTGCCTCAGCTTCCCAAGTAGCTGGGATTACAGGCACCCACCACCATGCCTGGCTAATTTTTTTATTTTTAGTAGAGACGAGGTTTTGCCATGCTGGCCAGGCTGGTCTCGGACTCCTGGCCTCAGGTGATCCGCCCGCCTTGGCCTCCCAAAGTGCTAGGACTATAGGTGTGAGCCACTGCACCTGGCTAAAAGTTTTAAAATCTTAAAATACATCATGAAAATCTGTATGGAAAAATTACAATGATTAAATGATTAGGTATATGAAGGCCTATGTTACAATGAGAATAAAGGCTGGTATAACAGGAGATTCTGAGCTATAGGATACTAATTAAGAAACAATGCCTAAATACTTTCAATTAGAGCATATCAGATGAATTAAATTATTAAGATGTATAAAGAATTTAATCAATAAAGTATGAAATACCTGAAAATAACAATTACCTAAAATTTATCCCCAAATATATTACATATATAGTAAAGCAAAATATATTATAAACACAAGACTCAAAAATTACTTGCGGGGTTCATAGAGGAAAAGTTTATTTAAAAGTTATTGCTTTTTTACAAAGGTTTATTTTTAAAAACAATTGTTTTAGGTTGGGTTTTTCCAAAGAGTGAGGGAAAAAATGTTTATAGGCTAAGAAAAAATGTTTACTAACACCTGTTTATCCAGCATAAAATCTACACACATGCATTTTCCAGATAACCTATTAAAAACTCAAAACATTCAGCCGGGCACGGTGGTTCACGCCTGTAATCCCAGCACTTTGTGAGGCTGATCACCTGAGGTGGGAGGATCACCTGAGGTCAGGAGTTCGAGACCAGCCTGGTCAACATAGTGAAACCTCGTCTCTACTAAAAATATAAAAAATAGCTGGGCGTGGTTCATGCCTGTAATCCCAGCTACTCAGGAGACTAAGGCAGGAGAATCGCTTGAGCCCGAGGCAGAGGTTGCAGTGAGCTGAGATCGCGCCATTGCACTCTAGCCTGGCCAAGAAGAGTGAAACTCCGTCTCAAAATGGCAACAACAACAACGAAACCTCAAAACATTCAAAATGTTGAATAGTTTCAAGAGATGCTCATATAAAATGTTGAATAGCTTCAAGAGATGCTCATACAAATCATAGTCTCCAGAGAATGTCATATTTTCTGATAACTGAGTTTGATCACCATGAGTATTGTTTCTTACATTATGATATAATTCAGGAAAGGGCTGATGAGAGAGGGCTCCATCTGCTGGTCAGCTGCAGCTAATGCACAGAGCTGAGATGAGATCCCAGTGCTCATTAAACCTATGTAAAAGCAGGGGTCAGCGGACTATAGCTCGCGGATCAAGAATGGCTTTTCACTTTCAAAAGCTTGAAAAAAAATCAAAAGAAAAATAATGTCTCAAAGCATGTGAAAATGATATGAGTCTAAATCTCAGTGTCTATAAATAAAGTCGTATTGGAACACAAACCCACTAATTCATTTATGCCTAGCCTATGGCTGCTAGCATACTACAATGGCAGGGGTGAGTAACTGCAATAGCGGTTGTGTGGCCCATAAGCCTAAAATATTTACAATCTACTTCTTTATAGAAAAAGCTTGTCAATCTCTGGTATAAAACAAAAAGAAACAGGCTCTAGGTAAGCCTGTGGGGGTTCTGCTCTAACTAAGTGATAATCATGGTCTTTGAGATGAAAAGGCACAGGTTTTGGAGTGGCACAGAGCCACAGTTGAGTTCCTAAGCAGGAATTTAACAGGAGGGTGAAAGTGGAGCTCACTTCTCATCAGAAAAATGCATGTAACCACTATTAAAGAGGCTGTTAGAGAAACTAAATGAACAGTGTGTGTGAGGTGCCCGGCCCAGAGTCTGGCACATTGTGGGTATTCACATATCTTGTTCCCATCCATATGGAATTTATTAATCTAAAGGCCTCCTGGTTAACAGCAAGAAATTCAGTGATACAACCATAAAAAGTGCCATATTTAGAAGTAGCCTATGGCCAGCCTATGGTGGCTAGCACACTACAATGGCAGGGGTGAGAAACTACAACAGAGGCTGTGTGGACCACAGCCTAAAATATTTACTATCGACTTCTTTATAGAAAAATCTTGCCAATAAGACAAAAAGAAAGGCTCTAGGTAAGATACAGGCAAGGCAGAATATTAAATTGTAAACCAAATTTGTCTTTAAATCTTTTTGCAGCATATGTATTTTATACCACATTTCCCATTAATTTACAATAAAAATGACGTACGATAGTGGCACACTTTCATGGGTGCTTTAAAAAGTTTCTATTGCTTTTAGGTCGGGTGCGGTGGCTCACGCCTGTAACCTCAGCACTTTGGGAGGCTGAGGTGGGCGGATCACCTGAGTTCAGGAGTTTGATACCAGCCTGACCAACATGGTGAAACCCTGTCTCTACTAAAAATACAAAATTAGCCAGGCATGGTGGCACATGCCTGTAATCCCAACTACTAGGAAGGCTAAGGCAGGAGAATCACTTGAACCCAGGAGGCAGAGGTTGCAGTGAGCCGAGATCACACCATTGCACTCCAGCCTGGGCAACAAGAGCAAAACTCCATCTCAAATAAATAAATAGATAAGTAAATAAAAAGTTTATACTGCCTTTGTAAATGACTAGCGTAGTCTCCTGAGTGAGAAGAGAGAAAAAAACCTGGTGAGACATCCTGGAGATGGCATTTCTTTTCCCTCCTCCACGTTTGCCTCACCCTAGCCAGTCCTGAGTCAATCTTTTTATTTACTTCTCTCATGGAATCCAGCCCCAAACCCAGCTCATACCAAGTCCTCAATAAATGCTTGGTAAGTAGATGAGTAAATGAATAAAATTTCTATAGATTCAACTGTAGGATGATGAACTTCATTTATTTATTTATTTGTTTATTTATTATTTAACCATGAGAATGAAAACCAGGAAGGATGCTGAATTTCTGTCATCTAAGTATAAATATGTGATATATATTACCAAAACTCAACTTGTCTACCTCCATAGTCAGCATGCATTGTTGGTAAAGTGCCAAGTATACATATTTTAATAGGGCATTACAGGCCAGACTGTCTCTGTTGTGACTACTTAACTCCATCATTATAGTGTGAAAAAAGCCACTGACAATACAGAAACAAATGAGTGTCTATAAACCTGTATTTGTGGACACTGAAATATGAATTTCATAGAATATTTTAATAAAATTTTCTTAGGTGTTTTTTCAACCTTTAAAAAGTGAACACCTTTTTTAGCTTGTAGACCATACACAACTAGCTGGTAGGCCAGATTTGACCCATGCGCCATAGTTTTCTGACCACATGCATCAAATGTTTTAGTACATCTACAATGCTTTAAAATAGTACCTGCTTGATGAACTTTATGAAGTTAATATTTATGAAAAAATATATAAAAGGCAAATACCACAAAGATTTCAGAACTGCTAAATTAATGCAGGGTTATGCTTTGCCATTGGTGAGTACTGTCTTTTAAAGAGTTTTATTTTTTACTGATGTATACTGCACAAAAGCAAAGTAGGGCTGGGCACAGTGGCTCACGTCTGTAATCCCAGCACTTTTGGAGGCCGAGGCAGGCAGATCACTTGAGGTCAAGAGTTTGAGACCAGCCTGGCCAACATGGTGAAACCCCATCTCTACTAAAAATGTAAAAATTAGCCGGGCATGGTGGTGAGCACCTGTAATCCCAGCTACTCAGGAGGCCGAGGCAGGAGAATCACTTGAACCCAGGAGGCAGAGGTTGCAGTGAGCTGAGATCAGCCCCCTGCCCTCCAGCCTGGGTGACAGAATGAGACTCTGTCTCAAAAAAAAAGAAAAAAAAGCAAGTAGAAATACCTATTATTCTTTATAAAGTTCTATTTTCAACCCCCAGTCAGCATAATTCAAGCCAGGAATTTAAAGACAGAATGTGCATGCCAATTTCTTTAAGCATTGAAAATCAACATTCTTCAAACAGCTTAAAGCAACATTTGCAGGGCTAAAAATTGGGTTTGATAGGATTTTTAAAGAGATATTACTCAAGACCTAAATATAATCTTTTGTAGAGATTAGAGAAGAATAATACAGAAGCCTCAGATTCAAATAACATTTACTGAGGTCCTTTTCTTTTCCTTTTTTTTTTTTTTGAGACAGAGTCTCACTCTGTCACCCAGGCTGGAGTGCAGTGGTGCAATCTCAGCTTACTGCAACTTCTGCCTCCTGGGTTCAGGCGATTCTCCTGCCTCAGCCTCCCGAGTAGCTGGGATTACAGGCATGCGCCACCATGCCTGGCTAATTTTTCGTATTTTTAGTAGAGACAGGGTTTCACCATGTTGGCCAGGCTGGTCTTGAACTCCTGACCTACTGAGGTCCTGTTCTGTTCTAGTGCTCTTATATTCAAAAAGCAACAGGCAATGGCGATGGCAGAGAGGAGGAAAAATGATGTAGGAAATGAAGTGACCTATCCAAGCCCCAAAGCTAAGGAAGCGGAGGAAGTATCCAGAGTCAGACTTCTGCCTCCTGGTCCAGTTCTCGTTTTAGGACATTATGATCCCTTGCCTTCTCTAAGGCTTAATGAGCCAGATCTGCTGAGAGAAAGAATCATACCATAGCCTGTGAAGTCTGCATCTGTTGAATGGTATGATGAAGCTGGTGCTAATGGTATCTCTTGTGAACTGAAGGAGACTTTTGTTGGATATTTTTGCTGTTTCATCTGGCTGACAGCCTACAAAAGAAAGGAAAATTAGATGAATATCAAAAAGGAGAAAGGTAACAAGAAAATACTTTAAAACTGGTGTATTGTTACCAAAACAATGGTGCAGTCCAATGATGTCTTTTGAGAATATAAGGTTGGAGGGTGGCAAGAAGTTAGGATGATTTATGCCTCGTTCCTCATTCTTCCCTATTTAACTTTACAACTAAAATGCTTTGATGAAGGGCAGATCAAGGAAGGGAGGAAAGATAAAAGCTGAAGATACTCTGTCAGTGTGATCTGTACATGAAGCTGGGGGTGGGAGGCAAAACAAAAATTATCTTGCAATTTCTACTCATTCTGATGAAATCAGCAAGAAGCCCCTTTATCTATGGACTTTGAAGTGACTTATCTGTGTTGTGCACATTGAAAAACAATCTACGCTGGGGATGTTTAGAGCATCAACACTGTCCATTTCTTCTGGACACACTAGAGTCAAAGATGCATTTGGTAGGTTAATTAAGCAAAATGAGGGGCAGACAAAGAAAACCAACACCTACTGAAAGCCTACTAAATGCCAGCTACATCAGTGACATTTAATTCACATAAAGGAAGCATAGCTCCTTTATTGAGTCCCTACTATGTTCCAGGCACCTACGATACCCAGTGCCTGGAACATAGTAGGGACTCAATAAAGTGCTTGATGAATGAATGAACAAGAAAGAAAGAACAAAGAAAAGCAAAACTGAAGACATGAGTAACTCAGGGTAGAAAGTGAACTTGCAATTCAGTGAAGGTACAGGGACCTCTACTGTGTGAGTTTGGGAAAAATTAACTTGTAATTCTGGATTTTTGCTGACAGTACCTCCAATGAATATTAATATTAAAAAACTAAGGGGCCAGGCATGGTGGCTCACGCCTGTAAACCCAGCACTTTGGGAGGCTGAGATGGGCAGATCACCTGACATCAGGAGTTCGAGACCAGCCTGGCTAACATGGTGAAACCCCATCTCTACTGAAAAAAATACAAAAATTAGCCAGGCGTGGTGATGCATGCCTGTAATCCCAGCTACTTGGGAGGCTGAGGCAGGAGAATTGCTTGAACCCAGGAGGCAGAGGTTGCAGTGAGCTGAGACCGTGCCATTGCACTCCAGCCTGGGCAACAAGAATGAAACTCCGTCTCCAAAAATAAATACATACATACATACATACACTAAGAAAAACCAAAAGGACTCCTTGCTTATTTAACAGGCAGTTAAGAAATATAGGTAGTAACCTGACCTGCCTTCTGGATCTGCAGTTGGCCAGGGAACCCATCCCCAGCTGGAAGAGTCTGGTAGTGAAGCACCAGGTTGCCCCTGGAGTCTAGAAATAGGACCAAGGTAACTGCTCCAGAACTGTAACACCTCAAGATTCTGTCAGTGGAAAGCTGTGCCTCAATACAGGGCATTGTGCAGTGTGCAGTAACAACAAAACAATACCATCCATTGTGCATATGCACTGTGCTTTCTAGTTTTCAAAACACTTTTACATCCATAAATTCATTCAATCACATGAACAACCCCGACAGTTAAATATTACTTTTTTTCTTTTTGCAGAAAACCAAGCATAAATGTCAAGTGACATATTTGAAATCACACTGCTAATTAGAGAAAGAGGTAGAACCGGAAGTCAATAGTTGAAGAATGCTACAAGCTTAAAGTGTTTATCAAACAGCTGATAGGCAATGATTCTATGGAGTTTTTTTGTTTTTTCCTGCAGTTTTTCTATCACCATCTTCTTTTTTTTTTTTTTTTGGACAGGGTCTCACTCTGTCACCTAGGCTGTAATAGTTGTGTGATCTCGGCTCACTGAAGCCTTGATGTCCTGGGCTCAGGTGATTCTCCCACCTCAGCCTCCTGAATACCTGGGATTACAGGCGCACACCACCACGCCTGGCTAATTTTTTGTATTTTTAGTAAAGATGGAGTTTTGCTATGTTGCCCAGGCTGGTCTCGAACTCCTGGACTCAAGCAATCCACCCACCTCAGCATCTCAGAGTGCTGGGATTACAGGCATGAGCCACTGTGCCCCGCCACTATCAGCATCATTTAATATTGACTAAAAAGAGACTTTTTCAATTACATATTTATCAGTGATTTTTAAAGGAAGAAAGTAGAAAAGGACAAATAAGGGGTTACTATAAGAAAACAACATTGAGAGGACTTAGATATCCAATTATTCTAAGGACCACATTTACTAGCCTCATTGAAGGTAGGTGTGCCAACAGGCTAAGTCCTGGTCAATGGGATGTAAACAGAAGTGAATGTACAATTTTTAGGTCATTCTCCTAAGGAGAAAGATCCTGTCTTTCCCTTCTCACTGCTTGGAATACAGATGTGTTGGTAATAACTGAAGCAGCCCTCTTAAACTAAAGAATGGATGCCACCATTTGAGGGTGGTAGAGTAATCAAATAAGAATGGTATAGTAATCAGATAAGAGGTGCTTGGGTCTCTGACACTTTGGAGACACCATATCATTCCCCAACTGACCACACACAGCCACACACAGACTCTTATGCTAAAGAGAACTTCTTGCAGCAATTGAGCCTGTGTCTTAACTCACACAGTACTTACCTCCAACTTACATTTTATATCACCTCAAGAAAGAACATGGATTCCCAACAAAGCTGGGTGCAAGCCGCAGAGTTCTTTTATGAAAAATCACGCGACTTTTAAAATAAGAAAGCACTAAAGAGAGCAATCTAGATTACTAAATTACGACTTTTCTATAGCATGAGATGATTGTTGCTTTTCTTTATATCCCAGTTTCATGTAGCATCTGGTGCATAATAGGTCCCTGATAGATACTGGTGGAATTGAATTCAATTTAACAATAAGGAAGCAGTCCATAGAATCCAAGTGAAATGTCCAAACATATATACATAGAGGCTGGCCTCCAGTTGTCGGTATGTGTGGTGATGGATGAAGGAGTGTTCCCATGACTCATTCATTGGCACAAAACCAAACTACTGTGTAAGAAAGATCAGAAAGAATGGATTTGCTGTTGTATGTTACTGTATTATAAGAACTGAGATGGACTTTATAGGTCATCCAACCTAACTAAACCTGTGGTTTTCAACCCTGTTTCATAATAGGAACACCTACGGAGCTTTTAAAAATTACAGATGCTAGGATCCCCATCGCAGGCAAAATAAATTAGCATCTAGGGGTGTGGGTCCCAGGCAGGTTTTTTTTGTTTTTTGTTTTTGTTTTTAATTGAGACTTATTGATTAAGACTTAATCTTCTTTTAAGAAGCCCTGGCTTAAGAATCCATGGTTTAACTTTAAACGATGTCTCAAAAACAAAACAAAACAAAACAAAACTTGCCTGGGATCCACATCCCTAGATGCCAGTTTATTTGGTCTGGGATGGGGGTCCTAGCATTCGTGATTTTTTTTAAAGCTCTCTAGGTGTTCCTATTATAAAACAGGGTTAAGAACCACTGGTTTAGTTGTAAAACACCCTTGTAGTTGTATCAAAATTGTACTTGTCAGTGTTTTTCTTTTCTTTTTTTTTTTTTTTGAGACGGAGTCTCGCTCTGTTGCCCAGGCTGGAGTGCAGTGGCGCGATCTCTGGTCACTGCAAGCTCTGCCTCTCGGGTTCACATCATTCTCCTGCCTCAGCCTCCCGAGTAGCTGGGACTACAGGCACCCACCACCACGCCTGGCTAATTTTTTGTATTTTTAGTAGAGACGGGGTTTCACCGTGTTAGTGAGAATGGTCTAGATCTCCTGACCTTGTGATCCACCCATCTCGGCCTCCCAAAGTGCTGGGATTACAGGCGTGAGCCACTGCGCCCGGCCCTTGTCAGTGTTTTTCTAGAGAAAGGATTTACACTTCATCAGGCCCTCATGAAAGGAAAATAAACATCACTACTCAAAAGAAGGTATATGTTGCTAAGTTTGCTATCACTAATTAGCTGTGTGACCACAGACAAGTCACTTGACCGCCCCATCTATAAATTGGTGATACATCTATATCTTGCAAGGTTGTTGTAAAAATTAAAGGTAAATAAATAAACCCATCATTGTGCCAGAAATAATTTAGGCTCAATTAATAACAGCTATTAATGCTTTTATGTCCTTTTAGAACATATCAATAAATGATCAGCCAGCTTCTGATTGAAAACCTTCAGGGATGGAAAATTCCACTTCCATGAAGAAGCTCATTCCATTTTGGAGCAGCTCAAAGGGTGGAAAAGTTCTGTATAATGAGCTGCCAGCCTCACTGCAGATGATGCCCACTGACCTCTGGGCCATTTCTCTTTGGAAGCTGCAGAAAGGACTTAAAATCACTTTCCCAAAGGAGAATAATTTAGATGTTTAGGTGCTCATTGTTCTGCAAGAAGAAGAATGTAAGATGATATTTAGGATTCGCCCTAGCTCTAAAATTCTATGGTTGTAATATTTTAGAGATGTTTGATATGTGCTTGAGGTAGGTGGGAGTATATGAAGTTTTGTTTGTGTGTTTGTTTTTGAGACAGAGCCCTGGTCTGTCATCCAGGCTGGAGTGCAGTGCTGTGATCTCAGCTCACTGCAACCTCCGCCTCCTGGGTTCAAGTGATTCTCCTGCCTCAGCCTCCTGAGTAGATGGGATTACAGGCAGCTGCCACCACGCCTGGCTAATTTTGGTATTTTTAGTAGAGATGAGGTTTTGCCATGTTGGCCAGGCTGGTCTCGAACTCCTGACCTCAGGTGATCCACCCGTTTCAGCCTCCCAAAGTGCTGGGATTACAGGCATGAGCCACTGTGCCCAGCCGGGAGTATATAAAGTATTAATACCTTAATGTATTTGCAAACACATTCAAGCAAAACCTGCTTTTAAATTTAAAAATTATAATTGGCCAGATGCAGTAGCTCACAACTATAATCCCAACATTTTGGGAGGCTGAGGTGCGAGGACTGCTTGAGCCCAGGAGTTTGAGGTTAGAGTGAGCTATGATTGCACTACTGTACTCCAGCCTGGGTAACAGAGTAAGACCCTGACTCTTAAAAAAAAAATTGCTTAAAGGTTTTCAGTTGAACTGAATTTGGTTATTTTTAAGGTTCATTCTGTATCTATTTTTTTTTTAATTTTATTATTATTATACTTTAAGTTTTAGGGTACATGTGCACAACGTGCAGGTTTGTTACATATGTATACATGTGCCATGTTGGTGTGCTGCACCCATTAACTTGTCATTTAGCATTAGGTATATCTCCTAATGCTATCCCTCCCCCCTCCCCCCACTATTTTTTTTAATTTGGGTTTTCAGCATATAATTTTACAGAATTTTCAAAGGCATTTTCTTTGGCAATGTTTGAAATATATATTTCCTGTAAACTCTAGTAATCTATAGTTTCTTAAATATAAAAATAGCTAACACAGTAATAATGTATACATTTTAGACACATAAAAACATAGATTAGTACACAGATATGAAAATCTGGAGTTAAAAAAAGCAAGGAAAAAGCTCAACAGCAACAAAAGTATAAAAATGTGATAAAAGTTTATAGTTCTTTAAGAGAAGTGAAATTCAAATGTAAGGAACACTGAAGTTATTTTATAGAAATTCTTCCATTTGTAATTTTTATTTCTAATATTGTGTAAGACATGGTGCTCTCAGAAATTTTTTTGGAGATGGAGTCTCAGTATATCGCTTAGGCTGGTCTGGAATTCCTGGGCTCAAGCAAGCCTTCTGCCTCAGCTACCTGAGTAGCTGGGACTACAGGTATGCACCACTGTGCCTGGCTAGATAGAATTTATTTAAGTGCAAGGGTGTTTTCAGGGATACCCTTTTATTATTTATTTATTTATTTATTTATTTAAAGACAGCGTCTCACTCTGTCACCCAGGCTGGAGCGCAGTGGTGCAATCTTGGCTCATTGTAACCTCTGCCTCCCAGGTTCAAGTGATTCTCAGGCCTCAGCCTCCTGAGTAGCTGAGACTACAGGCATGCACCACATCTGGCTAATTTTTGTATTTTTGGAAGAGATTTTTGTATTTTTAGCAGACTTGCTATGTTGGCCAGTCTGGTCTGGAACTCCTGACCTCAAGCAATCTGCCTGCCTTGGCCTCCCAAAGTGGTGGGATTACAAGCATGAGCCACCATGCCCAGCCAGGGATGCCCTTTTAAGCATCTGTTTAGGGGGTTGGGACAGAGAGGTGAACACAAGATATTTGCATCAACTTGCACAGAATCAATGATACAGTTGTGGCTTGATTTCAGGTTGCATGACACTCCACAACCTCCTGTCAAGTAATAAAAGATCTGATCTCATTGCAATCACCTCCTTTTCTTTTGGAACCCGGTCTATAACGCACGCAACCCCAGAAGAGCAAAACCTAAAGTACAAGTTATGTACATTGTCAGGTGGGTATTCCAGTGCCTTCTGCTGATCTGCCACCATGCCCTGACCAATCACCTGGGACATGTCTTCCTGAAATGTAAAAGACACAACCAATTAGCAGCATTGGAGGGCTCAACCGCACTTTCCAATTTCAGCAGTTAGTACATTTAATTGGGCTTCAGTCTACTACAAAAATGACCAAAACACTGGGCAAAAAAGTTTCATTCACCCACTGGACTAACTCTTAGAAATGAACACAGCCTTGTCATTTCCAAATGTTTTTTCAGCCCTTTCAGATCTGTGAGGCCTTAGACCTATCAGATTTCTTTTCTTTTTCTTTTTCTTCTTTTTTTTTTTTTTTTTTAAATAAAAGACAGGGTCTTTTTATGTTGCTGCTGGAGCGCAGTGTGTTCTTCACAGGCATGATCTCACTGCTAATCAGCACAGGGGTTTTCACCTGCTCTGTTTCTGACCTGGGCTGGTTCACCCCTTTTTAGGCATCTTGGTGGTCCCTCCTCCCAGGAGGTCACCATATCGATACCGAACTTAGTGTGGACACCCAATTGGCAGAGCTCGTTATAGCGTCAAACTTCTGGGCTCAAGTGATCCTCCTGTCTCAGCCTCCTGAGTAGCTGGGACTACACGAGCAACAACACACTCGGCCAGATATCCTTTGATGGTCATTCCAGCCAGAGTTTTTTCTTTTTCGTTACACTAATATCCCTATAAAACTATCTGTTCAGGGCTCAAATCCTGAACTAGAGTTTTTTCCCCTTAAGACATTCAATTAGAATTAAAAAACAAAAAAACAAAAACAAAAAAAACCACGGCTACAGAAAATACTGGGGGATAAAGGTAAGTTAGCTCTAAACCCCACGGAGGAGTGCAGAATCCAGACTTGGGAGAATCCAAACTGCCTAAACACGTGGAAAGTGAAGCATAGCGAAAGGGCAGTTTATTAACTGAAATAAATAATAACACCAATAAATTGACCAGAATGTTTATGTCTGCCTCCCATCATATCCTATTTTTTTTTTAATAGGCACATTTTCAGGGGAAATTATCATACGATGGTTTACTTTAAGGCATAAATTCCTGCAACTGGGTTTGGACAAAGCAGGGAACAGGAGAGACTGGTTTGGATAGGAGAAAGCATGGGTTTACTCTGTCTCTTGGTAACGTCTGAGAGACACCCAGGTGGTGAGGTGTAGTACACAGACAGCAGGTAGGTAAGCTGATCTGGAAGGTAGGGATAACTTGTATAATGAATGGAATGTTAGGAGTCTGTGATCCTAGCTCTTCAACTTAAGAGTTCTGCAAACCTGGCCGGGCGCAGTGGTTCACGCCTGTAATCCCAGCACTTTGGGAGGCCAAGGTGGGGGCGGTGGATCACCTGAGGTCAGGAGTTCGAGACCAGCCTGGCCAATATGGCAAAACCCCGTCTGTACTAAAAATACAAAAATTAGCTGGGTGCCTGTAATCCCAGTTACTCGGGAGTCTGAGGCAGAAGAATTGCTTTTACCTGGGGAGGCGGAGGTTGCAGTGAGCTGAGATTGCACCACTGCACTCCAGCCTGGGTGACAGAGCAAGATTCTGTCTCAAAAAAAAAAAAAAAAAAAAGTGATCTACAAACCTGAACAGGTTATTTGCCCTCTTCAAGCCTTAATTTCCCCATCCATAAAATGGAAAAAAATAAAAGTAGCTATAATTTCAGGATGCTGAAAAGATTAAATGAAGTAATACATGAGCACCCTTAGCAACACACCTGGCAATTAATAATATTTACTAAAGATGCTAATGATGATAGTAAATGGAATTGGGCTATGGTAGCCCCATGTTCCTAAATGCACTACAGGGGACTAGTGCAGAGCCCAGAACATGCACCCATAACCACGGTGCTAAGAGTCTTGGAAGCGACCTAGAAAGGACACTTTTCTCCTGTAGGAAATGCTGGAGGCAATTTTTAGAGTAAGTAAGACTAACTTACCTTTGTATCTCACAGTATTTTCTGTAACTGGTTTTTGTTTGTTTGTTTTTTGCTTTTAATTGAATCTGACATCCCCTGCCTCGGGTCTCTTTCCTAGGCATGTTCACACAGCCTTTCTTCACCAGGCTCCCATTCGATGTATAACAATACAATAGATAGTGACCAAGTTATGCCCAGCTGTTCATTGTTATTAGATTCAGTTACAATCTCATCCTATGTCCTTAATTCCCCATTGGTTTACAACCTGAAAGATTTAACCCCAGTAAGCACTATCCTGAGACTGGAGCCTAGGTCTCCTGGATGACCATGCCTACACTTAGCTGCCTACTTTCTAACTGATTTTTGGGGGGCCAGACTTATCTCACTCATTCAGATTCTCTTTAATTTTCCCCTTCTATGAGAAAGATCCTAGGACTGCTCCCCTGCCCTTTATAAATTTTGCTTCTAAACAGATGATATGATATAAAATGAACTAAAAAAATTACCTCCTCTTGTAATTCTTCCCTTAGCCCCTGGGTGGTGCCCCTTCCACAAGATGAACCAATGAATTTTATCACTTATTTGCAAGATTATATTGTATCTTTTTATGTATGTGTCTCCCATATCTTAATATGATCGACTTTGTCTTATTTCTTTCTTCAACATATGGCAGAATAGAATATGGGCTTTATAAAGTGTTAGTGCTGAGTGAATCAAAGTTCGGGAACTTAAATCTTAAATGCACCCACGTGGATTTGAGAACCAGCCATGAAAGGAAGGTCACACAGTGAAGATGACTCTGTGGCCTTTACTTTAAAGGATCACACTTGAAAAGAGAGAAAAAAGACGTGAAAAGGTCAATAAGGCTCATGGGAATTTTTAGAGGAAAAACTCTAACCTGCCTCGTAAACAGAAACTATTGGTGTTACTCCTACCAGTGTGTATCAAATGGCCTTAGGAGGAGCAAAAGTAAGTGCCTCTGTTTGAAAATGATATTGTAGATCTGCAATTCGACCTTGGTTTCAACCCCAATTAACCAGCAGTGGGACAAAGGACCTGACTTCCCAAACTACAGGTTTAAAAATCCAATTTGCACATCACATGGAAGAAGTACTAATTTGGTTTTATTCTTCCTTATCATTTGAACTTTTTAGAAAAAAGAAATGGCACTGGAATAACAGCCAGATAATCTGGGTTCAGACTTGTTCTGCTACTTACTAGCAGTAATAGTGTTTGGAAACCTTCATTTTTTTATTAAGAATGCAATAACTGCTACCTGAATAAGGGGTTGTGAGCAAAGTTGAATTCAATACATGCTTACTGAGCACCTACTACATGCCAGCACAAACAAAAAGAAAAACAGAGGAGCCCTTGCCCTGAGCACATTTACAGACCTAGTGAGACAGATGTTAAAGAAATAATCATAGAAATGAATACAACTGAATGGTAGATGCGTGAAGGTGTGTGGTGGGTAGCAGGAGCCTGAAGTGTCAGTTTCCTTCCTTTTTTCTTGTCCTCAAAAATGTAGAAGGAATAGATGAGAAAACTGGATTTCTGAAAAGCATCTGGTCTGACGCACTGTCTCATTTCTTATATTGATTACTCTTAAACATCCGAGCCAAGGGATGGAGCTGGTACGTGATGATGATGAAAATTATGACAGCTAAAATCTCCTGAGTATGTGCCTGTTACTGAGCTAGGCATATTACCCATTTGTTGGTGTACACAACAGACCTGTGTATTAGGGACAATTATTGCTCTTATAATTATTGCTCTTATAATATAATTGAGGTATAATTATATACCTCAGCAGAGCTGAGGTAACTGCGGCACAGAGAGGCTAAATTATTATTTGCCAAGCCAGAACTTAACTCAGACACATCTTGCTGCAGAGCCCTTGCTCTTAACTGAGTAAACCTTCAGGGAAAGGGAAAGTACTGTTTACCTCCTCCCAGCAACACACGCAAGATTCTTAGCCAGCAATGACATAGTGATTCCGTTTTTAGATCCAATATCAGGTCAGAACAAGTCATGCCTGCTTATTTTAAACTTGGGTTGGGAAAAAAAATCATGGCAGTAGCCACGGCAGTGACCTTGGGTCGCTTTCCTTCATATTTTGTGTTTAAACATGAATTTATAATTTGCTAATTGCCCAATTATTACACAAAAGGAGCTCTTAATGCCTTCAAAACTGAGGTTTGGGGACATTCTAATGTGTTTACTTTGCAAGGGACCCCTAAAAAAGAAGAATGAAGAAATGTTGTAGAAAGGTCATCTCATTTCATGAAATAAACTGATATGACACATTCTGGCAGCATGATGCTATAATCTTCAGCACAGCACTATGAGCTCTGAAAGAAAATGCTTTGTGGGCCAGGAAAATTACTGTGATCAAGTGAAGGAGCTTCTGAAGGGTGGACATAAAAGGCAACACTGGCAATATCCCATATAACAGATGGGTGACATGTCCAGCTGACAATCCCCAAAGCTGGTTGATCTCTGTCCCAAAGCTGGACAATCAAAATGCCCTGTCTCTCTGGCCACAGTAACTGGTCCAAGGGTGGACACTTGAACCACACAAGAATATTCTACGGATTTTCCAAAGTAGACCCAAGGGAAGAGTCAGCTCTTTTCTGGCAGAGAGGCTTAGGAGCTTTGGGCAGCCATACACACATCAGGCTGAAGAAGCACATCTGCAGGAGGAAAGTCAGATAAACAGAGAGAACCCTGGCAGCAGCAGGCCTCTGGTTCCAACCACCTCTGAGGCTAAGTGTCAACCACACGCTGCCTGCAAGTATATGAAAAACAAACAAACTAACTAACAAACAAACAAACCTCTAGCCCTTGAGTAAATTTCTCCTTTTGTCTAAGTAATGTCAAATTGAGATTCTGTCACTTGCAACAAAGAGATCCCTAATTGAAACAGGGTGGAGCCCATCTCTCCCAGAAAATATCCACCAGGATAACAAACTCAGATGCATCCAGGCATCAGGCTGCAAGGGAGCCAACTGAAGGTGAATGACGTGAACTGAGTATAAGACAACAAATTAGGCCAGGCGCGGTGGCTCACGCCTGTAATCCCAGCACTGTGTAAGGCCGAGGTGGGTGGATCACTTGAGTTCAGGAGACTGGCCTAGGGAACACGGTGAAACCCCATCTCTACAAAAAATACAAAAATTAGCCAGCCATGGTGGTGCACACCTGTGGTCCCAGCTACTCAGGAGGCTGAGGTAGGAGGATCGCTTGAGCCCGGGAGGCAGAAGTTGCAGTGAGCTGAGATCGTGCCACTGCACTCCAGCTGGGGTTATAGAGTGAGACCCCATCTCAAAACAAACAAACAGAGATGGTGGTTCAGCCTAAAAGCATTCAAATTTAACAATTCTTAAAATATGCCCATCAGACAAACAACAAACAAACACTAATGTTTACTACTACTTTTGGTCCTTGGGCTTCCATTTTGTAGCTGAAGCTGCCTTTGCAAAATTATGACAGTAAGAGAAATGTGACATAGTTGACTTGATCTAGCTTCTTGACCACCTCACTGTCCTTGATCATTCCTGCATGTAGGCCATAGTAACTCTGGGAGGAATTTAGTGGATAGTTTAACTTGAAAGCAAAGATGATAATAGTCCCCACCTAAAACTAACCCCTTTCTTGCTTAGGGATCAAAAGCTCCTTTTGTAAGAGTAATGAAAGGCCACAAAAATAGGATTATCGGGGCTGGGCGTGGTGGCTCATATCTGTAATCCCAGCACTTTGGGAGGCTGAGGTGGGTGGATCACAAGGTCAGGAGATTGAGACCATCCTGGCTAACATGGTGAAACCCTGTCTCTACTAAAAATACAAAAAAATTAGCCGGGCGTGGTGGCATGTGCCTGTAGTCCCAGCTACTCGTGAGGCTGAGGCAGGAGAATTGCTTGAACCTGGGAGGTGGAGGTTGCAGTGAGCCAAGATTGCACCACTGCACTCCAGCCTGGGTGACACAGCGAGACTCCATCTCAAAAAAAAAAAAAAAAAAAAAGAAAGAATAGGAATTATGAGAGGGGCCTGAACTCTTTGCTAAGAGAGGCATAATTTCTATAATCCCTTGCTGCTCAGGGGTCATATGGCTAGAGGTCACAAGATTTTTGATTTCCCCAATTGTAGATAACATCACTAGTGTAGAACCTAAGGTTGGTTCTTTGAGATATCTTTCAAACTGACCCCACGTGGACTTGTGACTCATGATTCAACTGATCCTGTGGCCCCACCCAGAGGTGGATCAGTAAACAAGGACTGTGTCCACACCTCTATGAATTCACCCCCAACCAATCAGCAGCACCCATTCCCTAGCCCCCTGCCCACCAAACTGTCCATAAAAACCCCAAAGTCTGAGCCTTCAGGGAGACTGAACTCCAGTTCTCCTGTGCATGGGCTGGTCTTGCGTCAATTAAACTCTTTCTTTACTGCAATGCTGTGGTCTCAGTGGGTTGATTTTGTCTGTGCAGTTGGCAGGAGGAATATACTTAAAAAGCCCTTTCCTGGGTCAGTTCCAGCCTAATTCCTACTCATCTAACCACCTGGATTAGGTGAAATCACATTAGCAAAGTTCCCACAGGCCAGGTGTGGTGTCTCCTGCCTGTAATCTCAACACTTTGGGAAGCTGTGGCAGGAAGACTGCTTGAGCCCAGGAGGTCAAAGCTGCAGTGAGCTGTGATCACACCACTGCGTTCCAACCTGGGCGACAGAGTGTGACCCTGTCTCAAAAAAAAAAAAAAGTTCCCACAGCACGTTACCTTGTCCTTCAATAATACTTATTAACCTTAATAATTACTTATTTAAAGTTGGATTCAAATCTTGGCTATGACACTTATTAGTTGAGTGTCTCAGTTTCCTTATCTATAAAATGGGAATAGTAATAGACCAATCTCATATAAGATACAAATTGATGCACTTGGAATAATGCCTATAGAATGCATAGTAAATGCCATGAAAGCATTAGCTGCTGTTATCCTCGGCAGTTCTGAAAGCTCCCTGAAGGCAGGATTCTTCACTGTCACTACACCTTGTTTAGTGCAGAGCCTGGGACATAACTGGCCCTCAATACAAACTTGCTTAGTTTCTGAAAGAGAAGGTAGATTTATAGTTCCCTTTGAAAGATAACAAAATCAACACACGTTTTAGATTATAGGCTCTTATTATGTGTGCAAATAAGGCTTCCCAGAAAACCGAAAACTTCATAGACTCAGAGAACAGTGCCCAAGCAGCAGCACTTGTTTCTGAGGAGCAGTGGGATTCTGAAAGGAGGGGATGTGACCGGTGTGAGAAAGTCTGAGTTCTGGGTTCTGAGCCCTGTCATTTTACTTCTCTAAGCCCTGCGTGCTAAAAATTACAATTGTGAGATCACTTTCTCAATTTAGAAAAAATCTGATAAGCAAGTGATTCCTTCTGGGCAAGTTAAATTTCAAGTTGAATCAGTCTCCACATTGGACCAGTTACAGTGGTTGGGAATGAATGTAAGCTAGTAGATATCAAAGCTGTAAATTATTATTTTTTTTGAGACAGAGTCTTACTCTGTCACCCAGGCTGGAGTGCAATGGTGTGATCTTGGCTCACTGCAACCTCTGCCTCCTGAGATCAAGCGATTTGCCTCAGCCTCTCGAGTAGCTGGAATTACAGGCAAGCGCCAACTATGCAGGGCTAATTTTTGTATTTTTAGTAGAGAAGGGGTTTTGCTATGTTGCCCAGGCTGGTCTCAAACTCCTGAAATCAGGTGATCCGCCTGTCTCGGCCTCCCAAAGTGCTGGGATTACAGACATGAGCCACGGCACCCAGCCTAAAGCTATGAATTTGTGTCAAAATTGTGTGCCTACATTTCTGCTGTCTTTGAGTTCATGAGGTTACTTGCTCTGTTACCCTGGTGTCTCTACATTATCTTCATTTACTACAGTGAGAGGAAGAGAATAGAAGAAAAAAACAAAAGCTTTTCTCCAGAGACTTTCCTGAAGGAAGTAGACTTGACTGTAAAACCTACAGCCTTTTTTATCACCAAGAAAGGGAAATTTATCATGTACGCAAATCTCAAGTGGTTTTCAGGAATACAAGAGATAAAGAACAATGAGCTGTGAAAAATGCCACATATTTGAATGCACTTGAACTCTGCCATTGGCAATTTGCATACTGTCACAAAAGAGAAGGCAGTGCTGACTCAGTCACACTTTCTTGCTCCTTAGAGGGAATTCCTAGACTCCTGCTACAGATGTATTTTTTATGTTGCATCTGAAACAGAAAAAAAGGTTTGCACAGTGACATTTGCTCCCAATAGCAAACCAGAAATCCAGCAGTTGATAGAGTGCAAATTGGGGGTAAAAATTGATTTTAAGCATACAGTTCAAGATCTCATATTAAAAATGAGTAGGATATAACACCTGGGAATTCTAGCCTGGAAGTAAGACCAGCAAGAAGCCCATAATCATTAGAAACACATTTTAAGCTGTTTTTTCATACTTGGATACCAGCACTTTAAAAACACTTATGAAGGCCCGGCGCGGTGGCTCATGCCACCCAGCACTTTGGGAGGCCAAGGAGGGCAGATCACTTGAGCCCAGGAGTTCGAGACCAGCCTGGCCAACATGGTGAAACCTCATCTTTACTTAAAATACAAAAAAAATTAGCTGGGTCTGGTGATGCACACCTGTAATCCCAGCTACTCAGGTGGCTGAGGCAAGAGAATCGCTTGAACCTGGGAGGTGGAGGTTGCAGTGAGCTGAGATTGTGCCACTGCACTCACTCCAGCCTGGGCATCAGAGTAAGACTCGGTCTAAAAAAAAAAAAAAAAGCATTATGGCTCATACCCCATTTATACTTCAAAAGTCATTAAGTCCATAAGACTAAAAACAAAAACCATATTATCATCTTAGTAGACTCAGAAAAAGCTTTCGATAAAATCCAACATACCTTCATGATAAAAACCCTCAACAAACTAGGCATTGTAGGAACGTACCTCAAAATACTAACAGCCATCTTTGACAAACTCACAGCCAACATATTGATTGTGTAAAAGCTGGAAGCATTCCTCTTCAGAACTGGAACAAGACAAGGATGCCCACTCTCACCACTCCTATTCAACATAGTACTGGAAGTGCTAGCCAGAGCAACCAGGCAAGAGAAAGAAATAAAAGGCATTCGAATAGGAGAATAAAAAGTCAAATTCTCTGCCTTCACTGATGATATGATTCTGTAACTAAAAAACCCTAAAGACTGCCAAAAGACTACCAGACCTGATAAATGACGTCAGTGAAGTTTCAAGACACAAAATCAGTGAACAAAAATCAGTAGTATTTCTATACACCAATAACATTCAAGCTGAGAGCCAAATCAGGAATGCAATCCCATTTACAATAGCCACACAAAAAAATACCTAGGGATACATTTAACCAAGGAGGTGAAAGATCTCTATAAGGAGAACTACAAAACACTGCTGAAAGAAATCAGAGATGACACAAACAAATGGAAAAACATTCTATGCTCATGGACTGGATGAATCAATATTGTTAAAATGGCTATACTGCCCAAAGCAATCTATGCATTCAATGCTATTTCTGTCAAACTACCAATATCACTTTTCACAAAAGTAGGAAAAGCTATCCTAAAATCTGTATGGCACCAAAAAAGGGCCTAAATAGCCAAAGCAATCTTAAGAAAAAAAAAATGAAGCCAGAGGCATCTCATTATCTGACTTCAAACTATACTATATAGCTATAATAACTAAAACAGCATGGTACTGGCACAAAAACAGACATGCAGGGCAACAGAACAAAACAGAGAACCCAGAAACAAAGTTGCACACCTACAACCAACTGATCTTTGACAAAGTCAACAAAAATAAGAAATGTGGAAAGGTTCCACATGTCAATAAATTGTGCTGGGATAACCAGCTATCCATTTGCAGAAGAATTAAACTGGATCCCCTTCTAGTACCATACATAAAAGTTAACTCAAGATGGATTGAAGACTTAATTAAGACCTAAAAGTATAAAAATCCTAGAAGAAAACCTAGGAAATGCCCTTCTGTACATCAGCCTTCACAAAGAATTTGTAACTGAGTGCTCAAAAACAATTGCAACCAAAACAAAAATTGACAAGTGGGACCTAATAATTAAAGAGTTTCTGCATAGCAAAAGAAACTATTAACAGAGTAAACAGACAACCTACAGAATAGGAGAAAATATTCATAAACTACACATCCAACAAAGGTCTAATATCCAGAATCTATAAGGAACTTCAACAAATCAACAAGCCAAAAACAACCATATTAAACAGCAGGCAAAGGCAAAGGACAAGAACACACTCTTCTGGAAAGAAGACATACACCTGGACAGTGTCTCATGCCTGTCATCTCTGCACTTTGGGAGGCCAAGGCAGGAGGATCACTTAAAGCTAGGAGTTCTACATCAACCTGGACAATGAAGTGAGACCCCCATCTCTACAAAAAATTTAAAAATTAGCCAAGTGTGGTGGTGCGCCTATAGTCCCAATTACTTGGAAGGCTGATGTGGGAGGATTGCTTGTGCCAGGAGTTCAAGGTTGCTGTGAGCTATGACCACACACCACTGCACTCCAGCCTGGGAAACAGAGTGAGACCCTGTCAAAAAAAAAAAAAAAAAAAAAAAAAAGGTTGCTGTGGGCTATGACCACACCACTGCACTCCAGCCTGGGAAACACAGTGAGATCCTGTCAAAAAAGGAAAAAAAAAAAAAAAAAAAAAAAAAAAGAAGACAACATAGAAGCAGCCAACCAACATATGAAAAAATGCTCAACATCGATAATCACCAGAGAAATGCAAATCAAAACCATGAGATACCACCTCATACCAGTCTAAATGGCTGCTATTAAAAAATAAAAAAAAACAGATGTTAGTGAGGCTATGGAGACAAAAGAACTCTTATATGCTATTTATTGGTGGGAATGTAAATTAGTTCAGCCACTGTGGCAAGCACTTTAGAGATTTCTCAAAGAACTAAAAATAGAAGTATCATTCAACCCAGTAATCCCATTACTGGTTACATAACCAAAGGAAAATAAGTTATTCTACCAGAAAGACACCTGCATTCATATGTTGATTGCTGCACTATTCACAATAGCAAAGACATGATATCAACCTGGGTGCCCATCAACAGTGGACTGTATAAAGAAAATGTGGTGTAAGTCTTGGTGCGGTGGCTCACGCCTGTAATCCCAGCACTTTGGGAGGCCGAGGCGGGTGGATCATGAGGTCAGGAGATCGAGACCATCCTGGCTAACACGGTGAAACCCCATCTTTACTAAAAATACAAAATATTAGCTGGGCATGGTGGCAGGTGCCTGCAGTCCCAGCTACTCGGGAGGCTGAGGCAGGAGAATGGCGTGAACCTGGGAGGCGGAGCTTGCAGTGAGCCAAGACCACACCACTGCACTCCAGCCTGGGCCACAGAGTGAGACTCCATCTCAAAAAAAAAGTAAATGTGGTGCATACACATGAAATGCTACACAGCCATAAAAAACACTCAACGAAATCATGTTCTTTGCCACAACATGGATGCAGCTGCAAATTAACACAGGAACAGAAAACTAAATACTGCATGTTCTCACGCATAAGTGGGAGCTAAACACTGGATACACATGGACATAAAGATGGGAAAAACAGGCTGGGCACGGTGGCTCATACCTGTAATCCCAGCACTTTGGGATGCCGAGGTGGGTGGATCACCTGAGATCAGGAGTTCAAGACCAGCCTGGCCAACATGGCAAAACCCCGTCTTCACTAAAAATACAAAAATTAGCTGGGCGTGGGGGCGGGCACCTGTAATCCCAGCTACTCGGGAGGCTGAGGCAGGAGAATTGCTTGAACCTGGGAGGTAGAGATTGTAGTGAGCCAAGATCGCACTACTGTACTCCAGCCTGGGTGACAAGAGTGAAACTCAATCTTAATAAAAAAACAAAAAAAGATGGGAAAAATAGACACTGGGGACTACAAGAAGAGGCAAGGAGAGAAAGAGGGAGGGAAGGCTGAAAAACTACCTACTGGGGACTGCGCTCACAGAGGTTCAATCATATCCCAAACCTCAGCATCACACAATATGCCCTTATGACAAACCTGCACATGTACCCCCTGTATCTAAAATAAAAGTTGAATGGCTGGGCGTGGTGGCTCACTCCTGTAATCCCAGCACTTTGGGAGGCCAAGGTGGGTAAACCCTCTGAGATCAGGAGTTGGAGACCAGCCTGGCCAACGTGGTGAAACCCTGTCTCTACTAAAAATACAGAAATAAAATAAAAGTTGAAAGGTCTGGTGCAGTGGCTTATGCCTGTAATCCCAACACTCTGGGAGGCTGAGGTGGGAGGACCGCTTGAGGCCAGGAGATCGAGGCTGCTGTAAGCTATGATCTTACCACTGCACTCCAGCTTGGGCAACAGAGCAAGACCCTGTCTCCAGGACTCTTCAGTTTATAGAGAGATTTACTTACATTATCTAATACGATCCTCACTCCCTCCCACCTACCACCACCCTATTTTCACCCATCAAGTTATGTTAGTGTAGAACTGCTGAACTGAACATGGCGAAACCCATCTCTATAAAAAATACAAAAAAATTAGCCAAGTATGGTACTGTGCGCCTGTAGTCCTAGCTACTTGGGAGGCTGAGGCAGGAGGATTGCTTGAGCCCTGGAGTTTGAGGTTGCAATGAAGCTATGTTTGCATCACCACACTCTGGCCTGGGTGACAGAGCAAGACCTTGTCTCAAAAAATAAATAAAAAATAAAATAAAAGTTGAAATTAAAAATAAAAAAAGTCAGCCCAGTCAAATCCATAAGGCTCTGAATCCTTACTACAGCACTCACAGGCTCTAAGTCTTTGAGCACGTGCATTAACTTCTGGTCCCTCAGCTGCAAAATGGAGATGACGACAGTATTAACGCTTTCATTACGGGAAGGACAGAGGTGGAGAGCAACAGTTTCTGCTCAGTTCCTAACAAATAAGCATAGAATCCAGGTGGATGGTATTGCTATTATTATTGCTGTTTCTATCAGGATAAATGAGATCATATTTTAAAGTGCCCATTATAGTGACAGATATGTTTCTTGTTTTACAGAGACATCTAAAAACAGACAAGAATGAAGGTAATCCTCTTCCCACACAAATCTGCTCTTCCTCCTGTTTCTTTTCTCAGTAAATAGCATCAACCAGCCACCCAGTCAGCTGCCCATGATGCATCTGAGAATCATTTTTGCCTCCTCCCTCTTCAACTTTCATATCTACGTAACCATCAAGTCCCATCCATTCTGACTCCTGTATATGTTGAAAATCTGTCCATATTTCTCTGTCCTAATGGCCAGATCCTTGGTTTCAGTCATTATTAACTTTCATCTCAGTTACTCTAATAGCTTTTTAATTCTCTTCCTGACTTCAGTTTTGACATTTTCTAACTGATTCTTTATATTTTATATGTATATAATTTTCTTTGCAAAATTGAAAATTGACAAAGTATCTAACCAATTCTTTTTTTTTTTGAGATGGAGTCTCGCTCTCTCACCCAGGCTGGAGTGAACTGGCGCAATCTCGGCTCATTGCAACCTCCGTCTCCCGGGTTCAAGCGATTCTCCTGCCTCAGCCTCCCGAGTATCTAGGATTACAGATGTGTGCCACCATGCCCGGCTTTGTATTTTTAGTAGAGACGGGGTTTCACTATGTTGGCCAGGCTGGTCACAAACTCCTGACCTCAAGTGATCTGCCCACCTCAGCCTCCCAAAATTCTGGGATTACAGGGGTGAGCAACCATGCTGGGCCTAACCGATTTTTCAAAGGGCACCCAGAAGGATCTTTTCAAAAGGTTAATCTCATCTTTATAATCCTCTGTTGAAAACCATTTCAAAGGCTTCCCTTGGTATAAAGTCCTTTTTTCCTGGTCCACAAGGCCCTCTGCCAGCCAACCCCTGCTGACTTGGTGGTTTTCACTTCCTGCTACTATATCTGCATGTCCATAGTTCTGTCTCTAGGATTAGGCTAGGAATGCAGACGTGAGGACCTACAGGTGATGCCATTAGGGAAGCAGGCTGCATTAGAGAAGAATGAAAAGGCAGGTACTGAGATAAACTCGGAGTACATAATTGAAGGGCAGCTTGGAATGCTGGTCCATTTCCAGTGGAAAATGGAAACCTGGATTTTTATGGAAAATCTCCTGATTCATAAAACTTAGCTCAAAAATCTTAAGAATGTTGCATAGACTAAATGAAACACATTTGTGGGCTGAATCTGACTCCTAACAACCAGCTTGTGACCTCTGCGTTAGACCAAGTGTGGCACACTCCTGGACATGAAAGCGGTCTTACTTATCTTCACATGCCTAGAGCTCGAAACGCTGCACAGATTCTAACAAAATGTGTACTGAATAATGAGAGCTCTGGCACACCTACATTTCATATAGGCAAAATCTGGTATTAATGATAGCTACCAATAACTGAGCTCTTACTGCATGCCACGTGCTGTGTCAGAAATTTCACATACAAAATCATACTTGATCCTTATAACAAAGAAGTGAGCACCATCTTCTCTAATTTTTGGATGAAGAAAAATAGGCAGACAGGATAAGCCCCTTTCCCACAGGCAGGATCTAAGTCTGTTCAGACTTCAGAGCCTATGATTTGTATCTGACAGCCTTTTTCATCTGGAAAAGCAAGTGTTCCCAGTCCATTTGGCAATACAGGTGTTATTTGTAACACGTGACGCTGTTTAATAAATATGTTTAATTTTTTTATAAGGATCAAATGCATCAAGGTGGAGAGTAAAGAATGCTTCTAAAATGTTGGTATTCTAGCTGACAAGGACTCTGAAATGGTAAAATGCACGGTCAGCTGCAGTGTGCATTTCCATGTCACAGCTCATTTAGGTTACTGGTAAGTTACCTCTGAAAACAATTCATGCTTCCTCAGGCATCTTTCTATCCTGTAAATTCTAAAATCTCCACAAAGAAACTCCAAGAAGAATGCTGCCCTGAGTAGACTGGAATACTCTCATTTTTGTATTCTTGCCCTAAGGGTCAGAAATTATATTTCACAATGAAAGACAACAGTAAAGACAAATACCACTGGAAATTTGAAAAATCATAACATTCTGAAAATTTTTGAAAAATCTAAAGAGTTCTTGAGGCAGCTGTATACAAACCAGGTCTGTAATGACAAGTGTCACTTGACATATAGAGCCCACTGCTGTTATGCAGTTGTACAAAATGAGGGAAGTACAGTAAGCACATCTGTCCAGGGCAATTCTAACACAGTTCTCTTGGGCTCCTGGCCAAGCTTTGGGATTATGGTTGTTCTGAAGCCCTGGATGCTATGGCATTTGCCATTTAAATAGCTCTAAACCTGCATTCAGAGGAAAGCTTTAAAGAACACTTACAGACACAAGGTTTACATACTGGGGGCAAGAAACGTCAATTATTTTACTGACAACTCTCTGTGAAACTTACCTAGTAAACCCATACATTGCCTTGCTGAAGAGTCAAGCATGTTTATTTTACATGATTTTTGCAAAGACAAAACATGAGAATATATATTGTTTCCACCATCTCTCATGGACTGCCAGTGCTGCAATCAACTCTCAACCAGGGCATCAGCGTCCGCTCTGGCCTGTTCTATCTGATGCCACACTGCGGCTACAGTGAACTGGGAGTCATCTCCTGCAGACCTCTGTGGCCTCCCACTGCCATCAGCATGGAGATCACAGTGCTTAACATGGCCTGGCTGCTGCTGATCACTCCAATTTCGCTTCCATCTCACCAATCTGGCAACCACAGACTTTCAGTTCATCAGACTCTCAGAGGCTCTAAGGTTGCCTAAAACCTTCCTTTGTTTTCTTCTTTGTCCCATTCCCAATTATTGTCAGCTTCTCCTTCAAATTCATCCCCAGGGTAGCCCTCCCTCTCAAGGTCAAATCCCCTTTCATACGCTCTCTTAGCACGAAGCAACTCTAGTTCTTAGCTTTGATTAGAGTTGAGGTTTCAGGCCCAGCACAGTGGCTCACGCCTGTAATCTCAGCACTTTAGGAGGCTGAGGTGGGGAGATCACCTGAGGCCAGGAGTTCCAGACCAGCTTGGCCAAACATGGTGAAACCCTGTCTCAACTAAAAGTACAAAAATTAGCCGGGCCTGGTGGCGCATGCCTGTATTCCCAGCTACTCAGGTGGCTAAGGAACGAGAACTGCTTGAACCCCAGAGGTGGAGGTTGCAGAGCAGGGAGCTGAGAAAGCGCCACTGCACTCCAGCCCAGGTGACAGAGTGAGACTTAAAAAAAACAAAGTGTAGTAACCTCCAATTTGAGCCCTGGCTTCAATGGGTGATTTTTTATTTTTGAGATGGAGTTTTGCTCTTTCACTCAGGCTGGAGTAAAGTGGTGTGATATTGGCTCACTGCAACCTCCGCCCCTGGGGTTCAAGTGATTCTCCTACCTCAGCCTCCCAAGTAGCTGGGATTACAGGCATCCAACACCACGCCCAGCCAATTTTTGTATTTTTAATAGGAACGGGGTTTCGCCATGTTGGCCAGGTTGGTCTCGAAGTCCTGACCTCAGGTGATCCACCAGCCTCGGCCACAACTTTTTTTTTTGAGATAAGGTCTTACTCTGTCACCCAGGCTGGGGTGCAGGGGCGTGGTCATAGCTCACTGCAGCCTCAAACTCCTGGCCTCAATTAATCCTCCCACTTCAGCCTCCTGAGTAGCTGGGATTACAAACTGGAGCCACTGTGCTTGGCTCCAAGGCAATTTATTTAACATTTCAGTGCTTTATCTCTTACATGGAAATGATACTACTATATAACTACTATTGTTATGTGAATAAGTTAGCATGTGTTAAAGAGCTTAGAATAATATATTAACTATGATGGTGAACTTTAGGTATCCATCTGAGTGGATTAAGGGATATCTAGCTAGCTGGTAAAACACTATTTCTGGGTGTGTCTGGAAGGGTGTTTCCAGAAATGATGGGCATTTGAAGCAGTGGACCAAGCAAGGAAGACCTACCCTCATCCAGTTTGGGCAAGGCACCATCCAATTGGCGGAGGGCCAGGTAGAACAAAAAGGCAGAGGAAAGGTGAATTCGCTCTTTTCTGAAGCTGGGACACCATTTTCTCCTGCCCCTGGACATCAGAACTCCATGTTCTCCAGCCTTTGGACTGCAGAGCTTTTATCAGCAGCCCCCTGGTTCTCAGGTCTTCACACTTTAACTGAATTTGCTCCTGGCTCCCCTGGTTCTCCAGTTTGCAGACAGCCTATTGTGGGACCTCTCAGGCTCCATAACACGTGAGACGATTCCCTTAATAAATCCCTTCTCAGATATCCATATATCCTATTGGTTCTGTCTCTTCGGAGAACCCTAATACATTAGTAATTGTGCTTTTCAGGTTGAAAAAGTCACTTCAATTTTTCAAGTTATATCTTAATGCTTCACTTGGAATAGTTGTTCCTTCTATGGCTACCCCTTAATGCTTTAATCAGAATGACAGCATCATCCTCATTAACAACAATTCACTCTTTGACAGTGACTACAGCGCACTCTGGTATGGATTAAGTAGTACTTTACTGTTATCAACTCATTTAATTTTTCCTCCCATTTTACAGAGGCATAAACTGAATCACAGAGAGGTTAAGTCATTTCTCTAAGGTTATAATTGTTAGCGAATAGCGGAACCAGGATTTGAACCCAAGTAGTCTAGCTCCAGTGATTGCACTCTTACTAATTTAATTATACCACTTCAAAAGAGCATATTATATGAACATAGATATTCTGAACATTATAAGCACACAAGTTTATACCCAAAAGATTAAAGTAATTATTTTAGGGATCTTGAGCTCCGATGTCAGCAAGCTACCAGGACATCATGAGGCTTTCTGAATGAGTTCCACTTCTCCCAATTTCCAGTTTTTTGATCTTACACTGAGCAGATAAAGTCTCATCTATAAATCTGGGATAAATAATTCTTCTCCTTCTCTTTACATATGGTTATTTTGGGGATAAGATTAAGATCACAAACCAACTAAACACCATTTTAGAAAAAAACTTAAATTTTTTTTTCTTTTTTTTGAGACACAGTCTCGCTCTGTTGCCAGGCTGGAGTGCAATGGTGCGATCTCAGCTCACTGCAACCTCCGCCTCCCAGATTCAAGCGATTCTCCTGCCTCAGCCTCCCAAGTAGCTGGGACTACAGGCACCCGCCACCATGCCCAGCTAATTTTTGTATTTTTCGTAGAGATGGGGTTTCACCATGTTGGCCAGGCTGGTCTCGATCTCTTGACCTCTTGATCTCCCCGCCTCGGCATCCCAAAGTGCTGGGATTATAGGCATGAATCACCGTACCCCGCGAAAAAACTTAAATATTAAAAAAATTAAGCCAATGAGATTATAGATGAAACTGTTTTGCAAATTGGAAAGCTCTGTGCAAGTACTTTCATTCAAGTTCTTTTCAAAAGGCTTCTAACAGGCTCTCATCTAGACTTCTGAAATAGATACCAGACACTTCCCTGCCTCCAGTCTCTCACAATCAGAATCTATGTTTCACAAACCATCAACTGATCTACAAAAAAGTTATTTCCCCCTTTAAAAATATTTTAAAGAAATGGAATACCTTCTGAAATTATTATAAACTCCTTGGCTATGCATCTAGGGCTACTGAGACACAGTCCAAAGCCAACCAACTGAATATACTGAAAATAGCACTGGAGTATGCATAGGCCACGGCTTAGCCTCAGCTCTGAAAATAACTTTTTTTTTTTTGGACACAGGGTTTCACTCTGTCACCCAGGCTGGAGTGCAGTGGCACAATCACAGCTTACTGCCACCTCAACCTCCCAGGTCCAAGTAATCCTCCCACTTCAGCCTCTTGAGTAGCTGAGACTACAGGTGCTTGTCACCACACTCAGCTAATTTCTTCTTTTTTTTTTTTTTTAAATAAAAATGGGGCCCACAATGTTGCCTAGGCTGGTCTGGAACTAGGCTTGTCTTGAATTAATACTTCATTACAAGACAATGACATTTATGTATATGTTAGGTTGAACCATATGAAATTTTTACCTACCAAAATGGCAATTTCATATGATTCAATCCAACATTTTGCTAATTGATGTACTGTCTATCTTCCTTCCCCCTCCAACTGTGGAATGAGTCCATGAGGGAAGGCATTTTTGTACATTTTGTTCACTGCGGTATCTTCAGTACCTGGAACATAGTGGTATTTGGCAAATATTTGTTGAATGAATGAAATGAATTTACTAAGCTCTATTTGCCCTATATTCTTCTGTGTGATTTATATTTTATAGCCCCTTTGTTTCCTAATAGCATCCTAATTACCGTCATTCCTCAGCTGAGGAAACTGAGGTTTGGTGAGGTCAAGTGACTTCTTCAAGACACTTTTTTTTTTTTAGACGGAATTTCGCTCTTCTTGCCCAGGCTAGAGTGCAATGGCGCGATCTCGGCTCACTGCAACCTCCATCTCCCAGGTTCAAGCGATTCTCCTGCCTCAGCCTCCCAAGTAGCTGGGATTACAGGCATGCGCCATCATGCCTGGCTAATTTTGTATTTTTAGTAGAGACGGGGTTTCTCCATGTTGGTCAGGCTGGTCTTGAACTCCCAACCTCAGGTGATCCTCCTGTCTTGGCCTCCCACAGTGCTGGGATTACAGGCGTGAGCCACTGTGCCCGGCCAGACACTCTTAAATAATACTTTATGCCAGGCCATTTATATTTATGCTATAAAAGTTGTCCAAATTCAGGCTATCTTTCCTTTCTGAACTAGAACATGCAGAGATTCTACTGCAAACAGTGATTAAGAAACTCCAGAACCAAAAGGACAGATGGTGGGTAAGGAAGGGAACAGAGTGGAAAAAGACAGACACTAGTCAATGGGTATGGGAAAGCCTTCAATTGTTGGTGAAGTGCAGTATGAAACATTATCTAAAAATGACCCTCAGGCCTCCAGGCCCTCTGCCTCTTCAACTGTCTTGACACCTGCAGCCCTGTCACTGGTGTTGCTTACTTGGGAACTGGGAGTGGATGATGGATGGCTTTTACCTTTGGCCTGCACATGAGCCTGGCTGGGACTACCAGATTCTTCCAGCAAGCAAGAGAGTATTCTCACTCTTTTTACCATTTCCTCTGTGGATGAAATTGGGGATGCCTACCTACAAAATTCTGTTGCTTTAAAAGACTTTCCCCTAACCTGACTATGGAGATATAGTGCCAAACAGAACAAGTTAACATATTTTTAAGTAAAGGGGCTTTCGGTTTGAAATTTGTTGCTGTTCCTCATTTCCCTGTAGTGCAAAAATGCACTCTACCTTTTGGAAAGGGAAATCATAATTTTTTACTGCCATTATTCTTTTTTCTTTTTTTTTTTTGAGACGGAGGTTCACTCTTGTTGCCCAAACTGGAGTGCAATGGCGTGATCTTGGCTCACCGCAACCTCTGCCTCCCCCTGGGTTCAAGCGATTCTCCTGCCTCGGCCTCCCGAGTAGCTGGGATTAGAGTCATGCACCACCACGCCCAGCTAATTTTTGTATTTTCAGTAGAGACGGGGTTTCTCCATGTTGGTCAGGCTGGTCTTGAACTCCTGACTTCAGGTGATCTGCCCGCCTTGGCCTCCCAAAGTGCTGGGATTATAGGCTTGAGTCACTGTGCCCGGTCATTTTTTTTTTTTTTTTTTTAGTCAATCTCTGGTAAATAAACTGCTAGTACTCTTCATGCCAGGGGTCTCAGGTCCCATGTAGGGTTTATTCATGAGTGGCCCATTACAATTTCCACTCTTGCTGAAACATTCTTTCCCTTCAGCCAGAATAAGCTCACTTTCTAGGATATGCAATCTGTGGCAGTCGCAAGATATATTTTCCAAAACCTGAAAGAGGATAAATGGATGATTTCTCAAATGCCCTGAAGTAAAATGAACAACTCTGGGCTGTCATAAAATCAGAGTTAGATGACACTCCTAAGTGATTAATTCTTTGAGATTTGTAGGACATTTTTAAACACAGAGGGGAAAAAAGCCTACATTTCTTCTAGAATTTGTAGTCTAACCCTGGAAGTGCTGGGCTACAAAACAGAAAAGCAGATGATGAGCCAAGGCATGGGAGTCAGAGGGTAGGGCAGCCATCTCCCAGCCTATCACATACTGGCTGGGGGCCTTTGGCAAGTTAGTTAACTTCTCTAACTCTCAGTTTCCTCACGTGTAGGAAAATCAAAGAACAGGAAATGCATGCAGAACACAGCACAGTGTCTGATATGCAACAAATGTTCAATAACTATTAAATAACAAAATATCAAACATTAGGGTACATAAGGAGAAAGAGTTCTCTAAAACTGCCTCTCTTCTAATGCCCTAGCCCCTGGATAAGTTTAAGTATCTTTTGCTTGGAATCAATGGAATAAATTTAACATTTTTTCTTGTGCCTCCAGGACTAATTAAGCACAGCTCTGGCCTTATAAAAATCCAATATTAAACCAGATATAAAGGATAAATTGCAGGCCAGGCACAGTGGCTCACATCTGTAAACCCAGCACTTTGGGAGGCCAAGGCGGATGGATCATCTGAGGTCAGGAGTTCAAGACCAGCCTGGCTAACATGGCAAAATCCCGTCCCTACTAAAAATATAAAAATTAGCTGGGCATGGTGGTGTGCGCCTGTAGTCCCAGCTACTCTGGAGGCCGAGGCAAAAGAATCGCTTGAACCTGGGAGGCAGATGTTGCAGTGAGCTGAGATCATTGCACCACTGTGCTCCAGCCACTGCGCTCCAGCCTGGGCGACAGAGTGAGGCTCCATCTCAAAAAACAAAAACAAAAACAAAAACAAAAAAAAAGAGGAGAGATTGCTTCCTTAATCCCAGACAGCACAATTCAAGTGTTGCCAAGGTAAGAGAAGATGCTCTTCTTCAGAGTCAATGGGTCACTCACTACATATAATAGCTTCTTGTCTCACAGACGAAGATTCCTGAGAGAAGCAAACATGATAGGTGGTTCTTTCCAAGGTGGTACAAAATATAAGTGATACATCCCTAAACAGAATACAGGATGAAAAATACTCAAGATTCTCACCAGTTTGAAGCTTTCACTTTCAGGCAATTGTTTAATACCAACTTCGACGCTGCCATCTTCCTCACTACTAATAGGTTCGGTGCCGCTCTGATCCTATGGAACGTTAAAAAGAAAATGGCAAAGATGTCATTCTTCACTTACACTCCCTCGAATTGTACAGATACTCAATGTCATTTGCTCATCATATGGTTGTGGTGGATATTGTTTCCTCTGAGGAAGTATTTTCTGTTTCTTTCTTTCTAGCAGAAGACTGTTTTGTTGTTGTTGTTTCAGGTATCTATCTCTGCTGCTCACAGATAGGCCTTAGGGAAAGCTGGTCCCCACCCTCTGTTTCAGGTGTAGGCCTGATTGCCTAGGATAGTCTTTTTCTTTTCCCAGTGATTTTGTCCAGAATGGGCAGATCAGGAATAGATTTTGTCAGTTCTGGCCAATGAAATATAAGGAGAGGTTTGCTGGAGATGTGTGGAAAAGTTCTTCTTTAGTCTTAAGAGAGCTGCAAGAAGTCCCTATACCTCCCAAATTAACAAGAGAGCATGAGCCCAAGTTTCCATGGACGACCGTCCCATGACAATGAGGGAACCAGCCTTAGGATAAGGCTGACCCTGTGGGTTACAAAGCAAATGTAGACATAGAAAGAACTGGTTCTCTGCTGGCAAAACTAGGTCACTGGATTGAGCAAACTTGGAGCCCAGCCTTATCCTTAACCACCTTCTGTGAGAGCTAATACATTTCCTTTTGCTTCAACCGGTTTGAGTTAGCCATTCTGTTACCTCCAGCCCAAGCTTTCTCACTGAGTCAGTTGACTGTTTTTTGTATATGACTAAACTGTTTGAGATAAGAGACTGGGTTTATCTTGTTGATTTCTTTTATTTATTTTTTTTATTTAATAAAAAATGTTTCTTTAAAATTTAATAAATGAATTTTTTTTTTTTTTTTTTGGTGGGGCAGACAGTCTCACTCTATCGCCAAGGCTGCAGTGCAGTGGCACGACCTCCGCTCACTGCAACCTTCGCCTCCCGGGTTCAAGTGATTCTTGTGCCTCAGCCTCCTGAGTAGCTGGGACTACAGGTGCATGCCACCACACGGGCTAATTTTTGTATTTTTAGTAGATGGGGTTTTGCTGTGTTGGCAAGGCTGGTCTCGAACTCCTGACGTCAAGTGATCTGCCTGCCTCAGCCTTCCAAAGTGTGTCTTGTTGGTTTCTGAAATCAAGTCCCATCACCATGCCTGGCACGTGGAAACCACCTAACACTGATGGAACTAATGAATGCACTGAGTACTTGTTTTCTTTCGTGACTTTTTCCTGCAGAATCCTGAAAATATGTATTTACATAAATGAGACACCTGGCAATAATACATACCACTAAAAATCTAAAACACATTAGGCATCTCCTCAATTGAATTGTGACATATTAAATGTTATAGTTAACTAACTAGAAGTTATTTTACTTTCTGGGGATATATAAGGAAGGATAAGGATGACAAATGGAATATCCACATTGTACTTACCTGGACTTTTATTTTTAATCACCACCATCCTGGGATTACTACAGATTTGGCTGAAATAGTTTATAGGGAAAAGAGTTTTGATTTTGAGACATTCAATCTCACTCATAATTTGATGCAATTAAAGCAAAGAGAGCATTCTTTCAACTATCAAATGGACAACAGAATAGGAAAAGAACATTCAATATTGGTAATGTCAGGGAGAAAGGAATTTTTATACATCACTGAGTGAATATAAATTAAGATAATCTTTTCAGAAAAAAAAATACTCTGTGTGTGTGTGTGTGTGTGTGTGTGTGTGTGTGTGTGATTGCTTACTTCTGGGGAGTGGAATTGGGGAACGGGTAATTTTTGCATTAATTATTTCTATACTGTTTGATTACAGAAGAATTATCACATACGATTGCATATTTAAACATAAAGTAAGGGGAGACTATGAGAAACACCTAAAAGAAGAAAAAAAAATTAAAGAAAGCAAGCAGCATGGACTTTAGAATTGGGCAGATTTGGGTTCAAATCTCAACTTTGCCACTTAGAATTATATGACTTGGGGCAAGTTGCTTTCAAACCTGAGTACAGGTTAAGTATCCCTTATCCAGAATGCTTGGAAATGTTTTGGACTTCAAATTTTTTCAGATTTTGGAATGTTTGAATTATACTTACCAGCTGAGCATCCCAAAACCAAAATGAAAAATCTGAAATCCAAAATGCTTCAATGGGCATTTCTTTGGAGCATCATGTTAGTGCTCAACAAGTTTCAGAATTTGGAGCATTTCTAACTTCAAATTTGGGATGCTCACCTGTAACTTAACTTGTTTTTAAAGTGCAGATAAAATACCAGATTAAAAATACTACCCTATAAGGTTGCTTTAAAAGATTAATGAGTTAATATGTAAAATATCCATTTGCATAACACCAGGTACAGTTAACTTTTGTTTCTAGATTTTAAATATAATTTACTATTTTCTTTTCTTTCTTTTTCTTTTTTTTTTTTTTTTTTTTTTTTTGAGACAGAGTCTCGCTCTGTCGCCCAGGCTAGAATGCAGTGGCACGATCTCGGCTTACTGCAACTTCTGCCTCCTGGGTTCAAGCGACTCTCCTGCCTCAGCCTCCCGAGTAGCTGGGATTGCAGGCACCCACCACCAGGCCCAGCTAATTTTTGTATTTTTAGTAGAGACGGGGTTTCGCCATGTTGGCTAGACTGGTTTCAAATTCCTGACCTCAAGTGATCCACCCACCTCAGCCTCCCAGAGTGCTGGGATTACAGTGTGAGCCACCACGCCCGGCCTTTTCTTTCTTTCTTTGTTTCCATGTGAATTTGACAGAACTGTTTCTAGCTTTTTGTTGAAGCAGATTCTTTATTCTTGCACTATCTCATATAGTCTTCCTAATAACCTGCTAGGGGAATGTACCACCATGATCCCAATTCATAAATGAGGATAATGATACATTTTAAATCACTTGCTAAACAACTCCAGGCAGTAAAAGGTAGATCTAAGATTCAAAGCTGGGAAAGGGCCATGCTAGGCCCTCAATAAATGATGCTCTCATTTCTCTCTCGTTCTTCCTTTTCAGTATTGAGTGTTGACAACTGATCTTACAGAAGATAAGACTCACAATCTTTCAAACAATTATTGTTAATAGACCATGGATTTTCTAAAACATGTCTTAGGATTTTTTTAACCAGAAAATTGTATTAGATAGAACATCCTCTTCTCAGTGAATTTTGGATAATCAAGGAGTTACCATGTGAAATAAACATACCCAAGTTAATACATCTTGAAAACATACAGATTTTCAGCATTTTTGACAGTGGTAATGTAAGTGTTAGAAACAGAAATTCTGAACAAAGGAATTACTCTTTAAAAATCAGTATTTAATCTATGGAAAACTTGTAATATCCAAATTCCTTAGTGTGTCTAGTTCTGCAAGCTGTGGGAGCCCCTGAAGAAGGCCTGGCGAGGTTACGGTGGCCAAGTGGAGCTTTGAAATAGTCAATGTTGGGCTGGGTGCGGTGGCTCACGCCTGTAATCCCAGCACTTTGGGAGGCTGAGACGGGTGGATCACGAGGTCAGGAGTTCAAGTGGGCAAGATGGTGAAACCCTGTCTCTACTAAAAATACAAAAAAATTAGCCAGGCGTGGTGGTGGGTGCTTGTAATCCCAGCTACTCAGGAGGCTGAGGCAAGAGAATGGCTTGAACCCAGGAGGCAGAGGTTGCGGTGAGCCGATATCACGCCACTGCACTCCAGCCTGGGCAACAGAGAGAGACTCCGTCTCAAAAAAAGAGAAATAGCTAATGTTTGTAGCTGCAGCACATTAGACTGTAGAACGAACCCACAGGTTCTGTTAGTAACCCTGCAAATGGCCACCACCTCTGGTCCCAGAAGAGAGAGATTCTCACATGAAGAGGCGTCAGCTGAAAACATTCATCTAATTATGCACATGTCCCCTTAGGGAAAGGAAAGCGTTCCTTAAATAAATTAGAGGAACCTTTACTTTTACATTTCTCAGCAATATGCATATTGAAGATAAGATATTCTTGGTCTTTATAAAATGAATACTAAAGTAGAGGAGAAAACAGCTGTTTAAGGGATGCGTCAACCTGTAAAATTTAAGAAAACATGGGCAAAGCAGTCTAGGTTCCAAATAGTCTATGCATCCTTTAAGATGTGAATAGAAACAAAAAATACTCTCTATGTCTACACCACATCCCACACTTAGAAACTAGAGGATCAAATGAAGCAGAATTTATCATTCAAAGCCAGGTCTCAAATGTCACTTGTTCCATTGTATCTTTTCCTTCTCCTTACCTGGGGGACATCTCTCCTTCCTCTAAATTGTAACATTCTACCTGAACCTCCTCTGTCACTTAACATTCATCTCTTTTGTATCCTAATTATGCATGTACAGAACTGATCTCCCTGACGGGACTGAAAGATCCTTGAATCGAGCATCTGGGCCTCATTCATTCCCACTGCCTGATTCATTTTTCACCCTAGGTCTGTTTTACTTCAAATTCCATACTCTTTTTAACTGTACTACGCCTCCCCACTTTTCCTCTTAGTCTGAGATGACTCCGTAGAGGAGGGTTTGAAGTCCAAATCTAGATGGAGTTGGGAGTCAGGCAAAAAGGAAGTTGGAATTGAGGGAGGATAGCAATAAAGCATTTACTTTCTAGGAGAGCTAAAGTCTGTAACAGTTTGATGTTCACATTCATGTTACATTACAAGTAGAGCTAAAGTTGTAATGTTTATGCTAAAATGAGGTACAGAACATAACAATGTGGATCCTTTCCCTCCCTCCCTCCCTCCCTCCCTTCCTTCCTTTCCTTCCTTCCTTCCTTTCTTTTTTCTTCACCATCTCACTCTGTCACCCAAGCTGGAGTGCAGTGGCATGATCACAGCTCACTGAAGCCTCGACCTCTTGGGCCCAGGTGATCCTCCCACCTCAGCCTCCCAAGTAGCTGGGACTACATGCATGCACCACCATGCCTGGCTAATTTTTTGTAATTTTTGTAGAGACAGGGTTTCACCATGCTGCCCTGGCTGGTCTTGAATTCCTGAGCTCAAGCACTCCTTCGGTCCTAGCCTCCCAAAGTGCTGGGATTACAGGCATGAGCCCCTGTGCCTGGCCACAACAATGTGGATTCTGCTCTGAGAACAGAATGGCTCATGAGGTAAGGAGTCTTCAAAATACCCCACTCACCAGGAGCTTGGAAAATAGCCAAGAGTCTGATATGGGAAAGGGAAAACAGGTCAGCAGCGTGATTTCTAAGGCACGAGTGAATTAGAGTGGTTTGAGGACCATCTGGCTGACGGATGGGGGCCAGTTGACACCCAAGATGACTCAGCTAATCCGGATGGCTGGGTGTTCCTGTCGTCTCTTGCTGATCTTCAAACCACCTGTCCAAAGCTGCCTGCTCAGCCAGGCAGCTTAAGGAGAACAACTTCTCCCTATGAGATCACAGTCAGTGGATTCCACAGTCAATTATGTTTTGTAGATGAACAAACAGAAAAGGCAAGACTTGTAAGGTTTGCAGATCAACCCCTACTGAGGTTAGTCTTTTTCAGACCTTTAGGAAGTTCCAAATTCCCTCCCCTGGGCTCTCCCAAAATCTTCCACATAAGTGATTGCAGAAGTGATAATGCTTATTATTTTAAACTCCTTTTTTTTTATATCCACCATTTGTCTATAATTTTCTTCAAACTGAACAGCGAATCTTGATAGCAAGAATGCTATTTTATTTGAGAGTAGGCATTCAATAAAAGTTAAATTCGTTAAGGATGTTATTGTGGATTGAAAAAACATTTCCTTTTTTTTTTTTTTATTTGAGACGGAGTTTCACGGTTGTTGCCCAGGCTGGAGTGCAATGGCACGATCTCAGCTCACTGCAACCTCCGCCTCCTGGGTTCAAGTGATTCTCCAGCCTCAGCCTCCCGAGTAGCTGAGATTACAGGCGCACGCCACCACACCCAGCTAATTTTTGTATTTTTTTTAGTAGAGACGGGGTTTCGCCATGTTGGCCAGGCTGGTCTTGAACTCCTGACCTCAGGTGATCCGCCAGCCTCGGCCTCCCAGAGTGTCGGGATTACAGGCGTGAGTCACCGTGCCTGGCCCATTCCCATATTTTCTAAATCCAATGTTCTTTTAGAAAACACACAAAATAATTTTAGTCTCATCGCCAACCTAAATTCACAAATATTTCCCTCTGCAAAACCTTGTTTACCACATGTGACAAACTGAATTTCTTTCTTCTAACCCCAAACGTGAGCTTATTTACTAGGCTGCTCAGAATTCTAGAAAGGCAAGGCAAAATTAAAATAAAATGGAAATTATGCTAATGGAACTCCCTGCATGATCAACCTCCCTGATCTTTATGAGGCCTGTTCCATCTCAGTTAGTACTTTAAAAAACACAACTTCTAAGAAAGCAAAAAGGAGGTCCTTGTTTGTATTGAAGATATTCTAAAAGATTTAGGCTGTCCTGTCAATAAATGGAATAAGTATGTCGGAACCCAAGTTATTTGAGCCCTCAGTACCTCTTACTAGACGACAGCAATGGCTTCTTAATTGGGTTTCCCTCTTCAAGATGTCTTTAACATTGCTATTAGACTAATCTTTCTGGAGTACAGCCTTGATCAGATTGTTTCATTGTTCAAAATGCCTTCAACAGCTCCGAAACCAAAGAATGAAATTCAGACCCTCTGGGATTTAAATGTGGAATCTAAAAAGTTGAACTCATAGAAGCAGAGAGTAGTGGGAGGGGCTGGTGGATGGGGTGAAGGTTGAAGACATGTTGGTCAGAGGATGCAAAATTTCAGTTAAAGTAATAAGTTCTAGAGATCTGTTGTACAGCAGGGTGACCACAGTTAATAACAATGTACAACAATGTACTGTATTCTTGAAAATCTCTAAGAAAGTAGATTTCAACTGTTCTCACCACAAAAATAAGTACGGGAAGAAATACATATGTTAATTATCTTGTTTAGCCATTCTACAACATACACATATTTCAAAACATCATGTTGGCCAGGTGCAGTGGCTCACTCCTGTAATTCCAGCACTGTCTCGAGGGGCTGAGGTGGGAGGATCTCTCGAGCCCAGCAGACTGGGCATGGGCAACATAGTGAGATTCTGTCTCTGCAAAAAAATCTTATAGTAGCCAGGTATGGTGGTGCGTGCCTATAGTCCTAGCTGCTCAGGAGGCTGAGGCAGGAATATTATTTGAGCCTGGGAGGTCGAGGATGCAGTGAGCTGAGATCATGCCACTGCACTCCAGCCTGGCAACAGAGCGAGATCCTGTTTCAAAAAATAACTGCCCCCCCCAAACCAAAACCAAACAAAAAAACCCATCATGTTGTATATGATAAATATATACAATTTTTATCAATTTAGTTTTTAAAAGGAAAAAAAATCCTGTTTTGTATGTAACTATTAAAAATGGAAGATGCTGGAGGCTGGGAGTTCTACTAGAGGGCTGTGATAATATAAGTACAATCACAACAAAAATGAGGTCTTATCATGTGCCAGGAATAGTGCTAAGCCTTTTATAAACATTACTTAATACTTCTAACAAGTCCATAGAATTAATTATTATTATCAAACCCATTTTAAATGTGAGGAATTGAAGTTTATAGAGCATAACTGGCTCAAGTTCACTCTGCTAGTAAATGGTAGAACACTGATTGAGACTTGGCTCTGTCTGACATCCAAGCTTATGTTCACATCACTATGCTGTAGAATTGTGCCAATGGTATTATAATTACCACAAGCACTGCATCATAATCCCTTATAAATATATATAGCTGTAGGAATAAAATATTTTTACACCTGGCCCTCATAACTACCCTTTGACACAGGCAGAGGAGGCTATTAACCTGGCTTTACAGAAAAAGACAGACTTTGGGAGGTTAACTGCCTCTACCAAGGTTGTATGCCCACAGGTAATTGGTAGAGCCAAAACCAAAACCCACATAGTCAGAATTCTTGCTCAGTGTTTTATTAGCACTCTTGCTCACTCAACTAGCACAGAACTACATGAAACAATTTTGTTCTCTGCGATACCCTTCGGGTCTAGAACATTGACACATAATAAGAGCTCAGTGACACTAGGCTCGGTAGCTCACACCTGTAATCCCAGCACTTTGGGAGGCTGAGGTGAGAGGACTGCTTCAGGTCAGGAGTTCAAGACCAGCCTTGGTAACATGGCGAGATCCTGTCTCTACAAAAAATTTAAAAATTAGCCAAGCATGATGGTACGTGCCTATAGTCCCAGCTACTTGGGAGGCTGAGGCAGGAGGATTGCTTGAGCCCAGGAGTTTGAGGCTGTAGTGAGCCATGATAGCACCACAGAACTCTAGCCTGGGCTACAGAAAAAGATCTTGTCTTTTTTTTTAAAAAAATAGCTCAATAAGCATTTGCTGAACAAAGAAATAAATATGAGATACCATTAACATATAATAAAACTGCTACTTAATAATACTGAATTATTATTATCAGGTCCAATTTAATAATGATATGGCTCTATTTCATCTATTTGGTTATGATTTGAATGGGCTGTCTCTTTTAGCCATATGCTGGATATGAGTTATGCTTTAGTACTCAATAGAAACATCTAAGGGGGAAAAAGATATACTAAGAGGGTCCACATAGGCAAATGGGAAAGGAAGAGAAAGTGGTCAGGGATATGCGTCCTCTTCACATACCGCCCACAGGAGGGGTGGCATTCATCATTTGGTAGCAGTTACCACAGCCAACAGTCCAGAGTGGAACTAAAAAGCCCTCTCTAGAATATAATCAAATTGTGATGGTTCAATAGAAACATCGCCCGCATAGCATATGCTGTTAGAGAAAGGGATTTATTATTTATTTATACATTTAAATGCCTAATGTGATTTCATTATTTTTGAAAATGAAATACAAATAATGGCACACAAATTTGATTAAGATACGTGATAATGTTCTTGAAACTTAAGACTGGCATTATTTATACTTTACATATTTTTTACATACTAGCCTGCTTTATTTTCTTATTATTATTATTTATTTATTTACTTATTTATTTTTGAGATGGAGTCTTTCTCTGTCGCCCAGGCTGGAGTGCGGTGGCACGATCTCGGCTCACTGCAAGCTCCGCCTCCCGGGTTCACGCCATTCTCCTGTCTCAGCCTATTTTTTCTATTTTTTAGTAGAGAGGAGGTTTCACCATGTTAGCCAGGATGGTCTCGATCTCCTGACCTCGTGATCCACCCGCCTCGGCCTCCCAAAGTGTTGGGATTACAGGCGTGAGCCACCACGCCCGGCCTAGCCTGCTTTATTTTACATACTAGCTTGTACTTTTTATTTTACATACTAGCCTGCTTGTTTTAAAAATAAAATCAGTCTTCTAAATTTTCAGAACAGCTATTCTTTGAAAGACTCTAGTAAATAGTACCACTATCTACCCAGTTGCTCAAGCCAAAAATCTAGGTTTATCCATGACTCTCTACTTCCCCTCAGCTCCCTCGTTTAATTAATCAAGTTTGACTCAACCTCCAAAACATCAAGGATCTGCTCACTTTTCATTGCTTCCAATACCAACACTTCATCCAAGCCACATTAGGGCCTCACTGGAGCTTTTGCCTTTTACCATATTACTTTCCCACCAACCCACTCCCTACCTAGCAGCTGTGGGAGATGAGAATATGCCACTCTAAAAAGGAAGGATCCATGAGCTGAAGGCAATTAGGAAGAAGCAGATGCAGGAAAACCCTCTGCTCTCCCTCTATTTGTCTAAAAGCAGGACATACATATATAAAGACAAAGGTATCCCCCTCCCTCTGAATCAGGGAGAGCAAAGGTTAACCCCTGAAGGTAACACAGAATGTTTATCCCCTGGAGATGGCACCAGGGGAATCTACATGAGCAAGCTATACCAACTAGCCTTTATCTGCCAGTTGTTTGCCTTCCCTCAAGTTGCCACCCCTAGAGACAAAGTCCTCTTCCTTTGTCTTGTCATTTCTCTAAACATTTACCATTTTTGTTAAAGATGCTATTTAAGCTAGAATTTAAATCTATCTCATTGAGAACTACTCATTCCCTGAGTGTTTGCCATGTATATAAGAAACACATATGTCATTAAACTTCTGTTTGTTTTGCTCTTGTTAATCTATCTTTTGTTTCAAGGGTCCATTCCAACTAAGAACCTATGAGGGTTGAAGAAAAAAGTTATTTTTCTTCCCCTAAATAGCCAAATGGATCCTTTAAAAACTATGTATCAGGTCACCTCACTCCCCTGTTTAAATCCTTCCAGTGGCTTCTACTGCATCTAGAATAAAACCCAACCTTCTAACTCTGACTTACACAGCCTTTCTCTCCCTCTTGTCTCATATTTCACTGCTCTCCCAGCTTCTAAGACGCTTCCAGCCATATTCCTCAAACACGCCCCAGCTCATTCTCACCTGAGAGCTATTTCTGTCCTCTCAGCAGGGAAGGCTCCTCCCTCTTATTTTTGAATGTCTGGCTTTTTCTTTTAATTTTTATCTTATTTAAATTTTACCTTGCCCAAGTGTAACCAAGTACTCCCATTTTTCTAAGAGATAATTATTTTTTTCTCTCTTCTCTCCTCTTTCCCCCAGTTCCCCACTTCCTACTCAGCCCTTTAGAAATGCAAACATAGGGTCATGCCTGTAATCCCAGCACTTTTGGGAGGCCCAGACGGGCAGATCATCTGAGGTCAGGAGTTCGAGACCAGCCTGGCCAACATGGTGAAACCCCGTCTCTACTAAAAATACAAAAATTAGCCAGGCGTGGTAGTGTGCGCCTGTAATCCCAGCTACTCGGGAGGCTGAGGCAGAAGAATCGCTTGAACCCGAGAGGCTGAGGTTGCAGAGAGCCGAGATCACACCACTGCACTCCGCCTGGGTGACAGGGTGAGACTCCATTTCAAAAAAAAAAAAAAGGAAGAAAGAGGAAGAAAGAAATGCCAGTATCGCCTTTTACCTCCCCTTCACCAGATGCTCCCTAGAGAGCAAGTTCATCTAACTATGTGCTTGGGAGAGATCCAGAAAGGAACCCTCACTCACCAGGAGGTTGGCTGGATCAATAACAGCTGATTTCTATGGGCCCCCACCCCCCAACCAGGAGACTGCCTCGAGAGATATGAAACTCTGTCCCACCTGGCGAGTTTTTGGCCTAGTCCTGCACAAGAAGGCACCAGCAGTCACCAGCTCGACTGCCCAGTAGATAAGGCACCGGAGCTAGCACATGGACCTCCCCGTTGCTCATTTCCTCCTCTGCCTTTTAAAAGTGCCAGGTTTCTGCTCCAAAAGCGAAGCAGTTACCCTTAAAGCAGGAAGCCTGTACTCCTTCCCCAAAGCTAGCTTTGGAATAAATCACCTTCTTTATACCAGACCCCCTTCTTGATAACCTGTGTTTCGGCTACACAAGTAGCCTTCTCTGTAACTCAGGAAAGAGGTCACATTCCCCACGTTAATTCTCTCCAAGGCACTGCCCACTATATGATAATTCTTTTGGTTTATTTATTTCTTAATTTGTATCTTTGTGTCTTCAACCATGAAGAGAGAAAGATGATAACAAATTGGTAGGAAGCCTTAGTTTTATTCACACCTAGATCTCTAATGCCTAAAAGAGTGCTTAACAAATAATATGCACTCATTGAACACTTGTTTTTTTTTCCTCCAAACAGATTTATTGGATATAGCAAAATTCTATACACAAAGTGACCTGGACCAACTGCTTCAAAACATGATCCTTTCTTACTAATATTTTGATAGGTCAGTCCATAATGTTAAAAAGCAATTTACTCTTAAGTAAATAGAAAAGTGCCCACTGCACATTAAATGAATGGCCTAACTACTGGAACTTTAGTAGTTCTACAAGACAATTAACAAAGGTAGGATGGAGTTCCTATGACAGGCTGCTGAAGAACAGATACGAGCCATCAAGAGGCCATTTTGTGTACTGCCACTGTGAAGCCATCATGCTTCTGGATCATAATGTTCCCATTATCTGATGCTGGACACACTACAGGAGTATCAGTGGGGTCAGAGGTTAGCTCAGCTGCTTGTTGGGCTAGAACAGATATCACTCCAGCATGCTCATCTGACAGGGTCCCATGGCAACCCAGATTAAGTGAATCTGTGCACAGGACTCCAACAATGGAGGGATTCTTCATTGTATCTTCTATGCGCTGCTCCAAGGTCGCCTCCATCCCACCCACCGTCCACCCCGGCCCAGAACCCTGAACACGTGTTGAAAGAATAAAAATAATGTGTATTGCACAATCACATTTTTATTAAAAGGGACACTATATATAGCTATTTATGTTTACTGTAGAAACAAAGAAAAAAGTATGAAAAGATACTGAATAGTGAACGTTAACTTCCTTAGGGAGGTAGTGAAAGAAAAATTAAGATTTCTTTGAATAACCCTGCACTATTTAATTAGTAACAATAAGTATGTATTTCTTTTTGGAGTTAAAAAATAATTCAATTAATATAAAACGAGAAGAGAAGGAATATCCCCTCAGCTGGGGACACAAACTGATTACACAATTCTTTATCTATCTACTCCAGAAGCTGACCAATATTACAGCAATCTTATTATGCTAGTAATTTCGCCATTCACAGATGAAAGCAATTATTTAAAGACACCTTGATCACAGGTATTAAAGTATTTCAAAACCATAAAGAAAGGGGTACAATTCAGTCATAAACAAAGAGAATTTTCTTGTAAATTCTGAAATGCTCAATTAGGACAAAATTATATATTTAGAGGAGACCTTGAGCAACTTTGAGGAAGGTAATACTTATATGGTTAGGTTCTAATATATTTACTTAAAAAGTTACTTTATAATCAATACCTCAATACTTTCCATTTTGGTTAGGGAAATTTTCCACGAGTTTGGAATACCAAATACTGAATATCAAAAATGTCAGATTGGGGGAAAATGCTCATGACAAATCCATCTAATATACTAAGAGCTAATTAGAAACAACCTTACCTCAATAGAAGATGGAGAACTTGATGGCACTGGAAAGGGAGTAACGGCCATCTGATTGACTGCATCCTCGTTTCTGTGAAGTGTTAAAATAGGCAGAATCAGTACACAGTAAATGCTAAGTTCCTGGCTCAAATTATAAATACTTCCTCAGTTCTCAGTTGAAAATGCACACACAGCATCATAGAATTAAATATATATATATAAATATATAGCTTCCATATATATAGCTTCCAAGCATGCAAAGTTACTATGCATAAAAAATATGTGTAGCTCAAAGGATACTAAGATGCAATTATTAGTGACAAAGAGTGATGATGCTAGGAGTTACTCAAATCCCACTTAGTAAGTCAGGTGCTGCAGAGGATAAGTTTGGAAAGGCTTTGGCTCTTTCAGCACTGCAGAGTATAAATTTTTCAAATGGCCATGTGCAACCTTTAGGCCCCATTAATGTCTGGGGCGTTTTGTTCTTTGAACTGGAAAGGATCCCAGCCTCCTCACTTGGCTTCTAACTTTGTTTTGCCAAATGAAGGATGATGGGGTGTCTACAATAGGGCTGCAAGGTGGAGTATGAGGAGGAGTGATTGAGGGGGAGGGCAGAGCTCCAGACAGACAATGCTTTGTGGGTAGGTGAATTCTCCTCCTCCTCATCCCAATGGAGTAGAGTAGATGGCAGCTGAAACCTCATCACCAGGGTGATCAGAACCTATAATACTGGTTCTGATTATCTGGACCTATTTTCACCACATTACTAGCAAATGGTTGGCAGTGGTCTGTGGGAGATAATGACTATCCTTTATAGTCATTATACCCATTATGATGCACAACCAACATAATTATCTCAAGATTTATGTGAAGTTTGATTTTATGTTTCACAATATAAACCAAGGAAGCTCACAATCAATGCTTCCTGCTGATATGTAAAGTTCTTAGACTGTTCGCAGATTTCTCTCCATATGACCCATGTATATAGAAGAGCTATTGCCTGACTTGGGAGGGCATTCGAAATCCAACCCCATTTTATGCTTTACTTTTCACCAATTGGATTAGGAGACCATTCCTCCCTTGGTGATTTAATCATGTCACTGCCTTTTCTTGAAATGCCTTTCTTTCTCTTTTTTCTTTCCCTTCCTCCCTTCCTCCCTCCCTCCCTTCCTTCCTTTCTTCCTTCTTTTTTTTTTGAGATGGAGTCTCACTTTGTCACCAAGGCTGGAGTGCAGCGGCACAACCTCAGCTCACTGCAGCCTCCACCTCCTGGGTTCAATCGATTTTCCTGCCTCAGCCTCCGGAGTAGCTGGGATTACAGGCATGTGCCACCACACCTGGCTAATTTTTGTATTCTTTATTTAATTTATACCCCACCCATCCTTCCCCTCCAATGTGAGTTCAATGACCTCTAACTAGGTGAATTATTCCCTTCCCTTAAATTCAAAGACTATTGTATATATGGATGTCTTCCAAATTCACATATTTAGCCTAAATCTTTTGAGCTTAGGACTAGGACCTGTGTACCCAACTGTTACTTTATATCTCCACTAGATGTCTTACACGCATCTCAAATAAAATAGACCTTTTTTATCCCGCTCATTCACCATATGGTTCCACAGCCAATTCTCTCCACCAGAGTAAATGTCAACAACATCTGTCCAGTTGTTCAACCAGGAAACAGGGGTCATTCTTGAAAATTATCTTCCTCATCTGTACTTCCAACCACTAAGTCTCATGAATTTCACCTTCAAAACATATCTTGGATCTTTCCACTTCTTTCCATCCTATCCTATCTATAAGCCATCATCATTTCTCACCGGCATGTAAGAGCAACCCAGTTACATCTTCTCTCCAACCCATTCTCCACCCAGCAAAGTTATTATGATTCTAACACATAAAACTGATCATATTTCTAACCCCTTCTTATGGCTTCTTAATGCACTTAGGATCAAGAGCAAAGTCGATAAGGAAGCTCTGAGGTCCCAGCCCCCATCTCTGGCCCCCTCTAGTGCTTCTTCCCCTTGCTCACTTATGCCTCAGTCCAGCTGCACAGACTTTCTTTCCACTTCTTAGCTGAGCTGAGATCTACCCGCCTCAGGGTCTTCTCTTACCCCACTCTCTTCTGCTCTGCTTGACAAATACTTTGGCTGATTTACTCCTATTTCTCCTTCACAGCTCATCATAAACGTCATTTCCTAAAACAAGCCTTCCAGGACCTTCTTAATATGCTCATAGCACCCTAGACAATGATTGCTGTTATAGGTCTGCTCCTTTCATATTTTACCTAACTGATCTGTGTGAACATTTGCTCCAAATCTGAATTTCTCTCTGGGTGGGAAGCATTCCAAGGACAGGACTCATGTCCGTCCTACTCCCTATGACACTATCTAGGGGTAACACAGTGCCTGGCAAGTGTTTGTGCTTAACATAGTTATTGAAAAAAAAAAAATGAATGAATGGTGGGGTGGGTTGGGGTGGGATGTAATGACAACTCTCTTCAATAAGGATACAGAAAAGTAGGAGTCTCAGTTCCAGCCCTGCCGCTAACTAACAGAGTGACTTTGGGGAAATCACTTCTCAGAGTCTCAGTTTCTAAAACCCTTAAGTAAGTAGCTTAACTATTAAGAATCCTAAATTGGTTACTTTTTTTGTGGAATGAAGCACAGTATAAATAAAGACATGAAGTCTAGGTGCCATTTCAAGCTCTATGCTTTTTGGATTCTTAGACTATCTATCTAGGCGTGAACCAAACCAAAGCAATTGGGAGAAAAACTACAACTATAAAGTGACATAGCGTATCAAGCGCATCTGTTTTTTCTGACTGCATTTCAGGTGCCTTGAGCAGACACTATTATGTTAAGAGATGGCTTAGCTATTGTTTTTCAGGGAGTACAATCCATTCCTCAGTAGTTTGCTCACATATAGAAAAAGTAATCCATCACTTGTGGGTAAAGAACAGTATTTTCCCAGTCATAATTCCTTTTCCCACTCAATTTCTCCCATTGAACACCACAATAAAGCTCAGCTTAGGGCCGAAAGCCAACAGGCCATGTCTGCTGTAGATCTGGAACTCACAGCGCAGAGTATACTTGGCAGTAATTAAATAGGTGACTTTTCATATCTCTTTCAAAGGTTACCGGCATTAAAAATATGGCTGTACATGAATTCTTATTGAGAGATCGTGATGAACTGAACCAAGTTAGCTCAAATTGGCCAAGTTATTCCTTCACAATTTAATGATTTTTTCACAAATTAGTATGACTTTAATGGCCTTTAAAGTCCATATTAAATTTTTTTAACCTTACATAATAGAAAACCGACAATTACTCTCACTGAAAAGAAGAAAGCTGCTATAAGAAGTTACAGTTCATAATCCTTTATCATCTACTTAATGGTTAGTGGTCACATCCCTCAGCATCAAGCCATGGAGAGCTGACATAGCTGCTATTTTAAAGAGAAAAGTAGGAAGACGGCAACCAAAGGAGAGAAGGCATTTACACTTCAGACAAGCAGTGGGGCCTGGATGACATCTGGAGAACCTTTGAGCCCTCATATCCTATGATTCTCATAAGTAATGATATCTGTTTGCTTTATAATTAAGCTTTTTTTTTTTTTTTTTTTTGAGACAGAGTCTCTCTCTCTCGCCCAGGCTGGAGTGCAGTGGCGCGATCTCGGCTCACTGCAGCCTCCACCTCCCAGGTTTAAGCGACTCTCGTGCCTCAGCCACTCGAGTAGCTGGGACTACAGGCGTGTGCCAACATGTGCAGCTAATTTTGGTATTTTTAGTAGAGATGGAGTATCACCATGTTGGCCATGCTGGTCTTGAGGTCCTGGCCTCAAGTGATCTGCCCGCCTTGGCCTCCCAAAGTGCTGGGATTACAGGTGTGAGCCATCAAGCCGGGTGAAACTTTCCTTTCCATATAATTAGCCTAAGTTTCTTAGGCCCCAGTGCCTCAAAGAGAACACAGTCAGGAATTGTAATTGTTTGTGGGTGTTTTTATAATTATCTTTAAGAGCTGCTGGGAGAGAGATAACGGACTTTTCCCACAGATAAGGGTGAGACCTGTTTTCCAGAGCACGGAACACTGCATGTGTGTCCTCATTGCTGTACTTGCCATGCTCTGTTAAAATTACTTGTGCTGGTTTTTCTCCCACTCTGAGCACAAGGATGAGATCTTATTACTTCGTATCTCCAGCTTGTAGTGTGGTACCTGGCAGGGAGTAGGTGTACTGTGATGTAAATGTCTGTTGAACAAAAGTGATCTTAATAAGGCAGAAAAAAGAAACCAGAATTACGGAAACCGCCCCATGCTTTCTGAGCTGTTTCCATGAGTTAGTGAGGCTGTGCTGCCTGTAGTCGGCCAGCTATCAGTATTTACCTCATGTAAGGGCCATTTCTTGGGGTGTCCACCTAGCTCACAGTGATTCCTCGGATGGGCCAAAATGTCTACACTAGGTACTAACAGCCCTGCCCTCAAGCAGATTGGATAAAGGGGGCAGATGCCTGCCTCAGTCTGGGGCAAATTCTCTCTCCCAGAGGCTTAACATTTAGAAGAGACATATAAAGATCAGGAGTGCAATGTGAAGACTACCAACGGGAATGCTCAAGGATAAACAGGGGTTCAGAATTCCCTTCTGCTGACATCTCTAGAGCTGCCCTGGTTCCATCTCTGGAGCCTTATTGTATGGATCCTTTTTTAAGAGTCCATGAGGCATCTGGACTCTTACAATACATTCTCCTTTTAGTTTAAGCTGGCTGGTGGTTACTTTGATTGGTTGAAACTCAACTACATAGCTTTGATTTTATTTTGAATATATACATTTCTTTATTTAACAAATATTTATACTATGTACACAAAAATGGATAAAAGACCATTCTTGCCTTTGATGATATTAGCAATTAGTGAAGAATGCAGCTAAGTAAATGAACAACTACAATTGTGGCATTAATACCTGATATGGTTTGGCTGTGTCCTCACCCAAAATCTCATCTTGAATCGTAGTCCCCATAATCCCCACGTGTCAAAGGAGAGACCAGGTGGAGGTAACTGAATCATGGGGGCAGTTTCCCCCATGCTGTTCTTGTGACAGTGAGTGAGTTCTCAGGAGAGCTGATGGTTTTATAAGTGTGTGGTAGTTCCTCATGCATTCATTCTCCTTCCTGCTGCCTTGTGAAGAAGGTGCTTTGCTTCCCCTTGCGCCGTGATTATAAGTTTCTTGAGGCCCCCCCAGACACGCTGAACTGTCAGTTAAATCTCTTTCCTTTATAAATTACCCAGTCTCAGTATTTTCATAGCAGTGTGAGAACAGACTAATACACTACTCAAGGGATCTCAATTTAGTTTTTCTCCAAAAGCATGCTAAGAATACCTCTAATTCAGCTTCTTGTTTGTAGAATATATTTATGTTTGTGGAAAACACACATTCTGGATCCTGATTTGAATTCTGCTTTGTTATAAAAATGAAACTCACATTGGTAAAAATCATATAACTTGTGTTAGACAAAATGCTAACAAGTCTCCCAAAATTCCTGCCCCCAGTTTACAGACAAATTTCACTTCCATAATTAAACTATATGATAAGTCACAGCTGACTGTAAGATAAAGGGAGATTATCAGTTTGGACCTGACCTAATCATACAAGCCCTTCAAATCTGGAGATTTCACTTAGAACCTCATATCCTAAATCCTTAAATTAGTAGGTTGACTTAAATGAATTCTAAACCAATTAAATTCTTTGTGGAATGCCTAGGAAGTCAGAGATTGGAAGCACCATTGTTTGCTTCAGGATGGAGGGGGCTTCCTGACAAGGACTGTGGGGGACCTCTAGGAGCTGAGAGCAGCCCCCACCTGAGAACCAGCAAGAAAATAGAGAATAAGCCTGGAAGCAACTTTTCCCCCAAAGCCTCCAGACAAGACCTCAGCCTGACCAACGCCTTGACTTCAGCTTGGTGATATCCTGGGCAGAGAACTGAGCCATGGCTTGTCATGCCAGCATTCTGACCTACACAACTGTGAGCCAATAAACAGGTATTGTTTTCTGCCGTTCAATTTTGGTAATTTGTCACATAGCAAGAGAAAATTAATACATGACACAAATTTTGATTTGGAAAACATGGTCACCGGAAATATAACTAGAAACATAACATTTGACCGCTTACCAGGTACCATTGTTCAAAATCCTTTACATACATTAACTCATTTTAACCTTCATAACAAGTCTAGGTAGTAGTTAGAATTATTTTTTTCATTTTCTCTTGGTTTTACAGAAAGGTTAAGCAACCTGACCAAAGTCACACAGCTTATAAATCACAAAGCTGACAAATAGCAGAGCTGAGGTTCAAAAACAGCAATCTGGTTTCAAAACCTACTCTTAACTACTATACTACAGTGTTTCCCATTTTCATAGCCTATCCAGAGCCACAGATGTCTCCTTCTCTCATATACGCAAGTTAAAATCCCTAGGTGAGTCCAGGCGATTAAATTTTGGGCTATTACTTTTTAAATTATTTAATAAATTTCCTTGGGGTAAAAATACATGCAAGGTTCTAAGTCTGCTCACTGTATTAACTGCAATCTGTCCACATTTCATATGTGGGTCCTGGGTGTTTTATCTATTAACATATTACCTATCCCTTATAGAGATATAATGACTATAAAATGCTTTAAAATTTCATTTTGTGTGATGGGGCAGGTATAGTGGTGAATATTACAGCGGAGTGTAATTTCCTCAGTACTATTCTGGGATAGATATTAGGGCTGTTCATAAATCCTCTAGCTTCAACTTTTCTTCCTCTTTAAAGGTGAACCAGTGCTTGATTAGCTACGTTTCCTGTTTCTGCATTGGTGATCATGGAAACAAATGCTGAGAAGGAGCCTCTGCTGCCTGGGTACGTGAATGACCACGGTGAACAGAGGGCTCAGTAAGGAACCCTGACGGGTATGTAACATGAGAAAGAAATAAACCTTTGTTTATTTCTTTGTTGTCTTAAGCCATGAGTTTTGGGGCTGTTTGTTACTGAAGCATAACTGTGTCTACCCTGATTCTAACATGCTCTATACAAGTTTATTCAATAATTTTTTAAAAAGCCACGTTCATACCTTATTCATAGTAACTAAAAACTGGAAACAACCCAAATGTTCACCTACAGGAGAATGATCATCAAATTTTTGTATATTCATAGAGTGAAGTATTACTCTGTGATTAAAGGAACAAACTTTTGATAAACACGACATGGATAAATCTCAAAAATGTTATGTTAATGAAAGAAACCAGACACAAAAGAATAAATGCTGTTTGATTCTATTTACATTAAGTTTAAGAACAGTTGAAACTAACCTATAGTGACAGAAATCAGGAAGCAGGTGGCTCTTGGGAGAAGGAGAGAGTGACTGTAAAGGGACACCAGCAATCTTTTGGAGGTGAACGAATAGTCTATATTTTTGTTTTGTGTGGAGGTTACACAGGTGTATGCAATTATCAAAACTCAATAGACTTAAGACATAAAATCTATTGCACTGAGTATAAATTATACCCCAATTAAAAATAAATCCATGATAATGTGTAGTACAAGACAACTATGTTGGCTTGGAAATGAATATAAGCAAAGGCACAGACACCAAAGCAAAGGTATGGATTCTATCACTGATAAGATATAAATAAGATACAAAACAACTTAAAACCCTGGTTTCTCAACCTTTAAAATTGGGATAATGTCTAATATTAATAGAATTGTTATGAGATAATGTAAACGTCAAAGCCAAAGCACACTAACAGAAGTAAATATTTAATGTTTTATGGCTTTGTGATGTTAAATCTCAAATGCTTAAACTTCCAGGTGCTACATCCTCGGTTGCTATTAATTCATTCAGCCATCAACCAAAAAATTTAAAACACCGCTGAGTCTAATGGTTTAATCTAAAGGCTTTATTCTTCTTTTTTCTTTTAATCCCACAGTTTCCATCCTAATTCATGTCCTTTTCATGTTGCCTGGTCTATGACAACAGTATCACTACTTGTTTTCTTGTTCTGCTTTCTCTGCATCTGAATCCATCCAAATTGCTCCCTCTCAACTGTGAAAACTACCCACTGGAACCGAGCCTGAAAATAACCCAACATCAATGAGTTCCCTCTATGGATGTTTGTTTTGCCTGATGTATAGTTTCTTATTTGCATGTCTTTGTAGTTGCTGGAGAACTTCTTACTTAACTGTATGACCTTTTATGGCATATGACATACAGGAGGTACTCAGTAAATCATGAATTTGCTGATGCCATTTGGACTCAGTTCTTTCCTATGTAAGTCTACCTAGCTAGTATTAAATATTAACTAACTCTCGCTGTACCCACTTCTCCAACAGCAATCGCTTGCTCCTTTGAATTTCTAAACTGCTCATGTGGCTTGTCTCAGTAACTTCATTCTATTCTTCTAAGGGTATTTCACTGTATTTTTGGATGCACATATATGTCATATACAGCACTTTGTTGATATAACATTATATATTTATTCTTTATCCCTCAAAGGTGTAACCATAATTCAAACTGTAATAAGGGATTTCATTAACATGTTATTTGATAGCCCTTGACTAATTCCTTAGGATAAATATGGGATACTCTAATATAAACTCGAAAAGAACACTGTAAATTGTTGCCAAAAGAAAAATTAGTGGTCATGAGGAGAACATACTCATGCTTCAGGGAAACACAACAAGCCCATGATGACAATTTATGAATGATGAAAAATAAGACATCTAATGTAACAGGCAGTGTGTGTATGTTTGTAGAATGCCATCACTTCATCAGGATATGAGATATTCCTAAGAAGCATTTCTGCCTCTTCTAAAAGCAAGAAAGTGTGTTTCATCTTAAAATTCATAGGGAATTTCAAGGCATCCCAAATAGCCAAAACAATCTTGAAAAAGAAAAATAAAGTTGAAGGTCTTACCTTTCCTTGATGTTCAAACCTACTGCAAAGCTACGGTAATCAAAACAGTGTGGTACTGGCATAAAGATAGACATATTAACCAATGGAATAGGACAGACAGCCAAGAAATAAACCCTGGTATACGTGTATGTATGTATGTATGTATGTATGTATGTATTTTGAGACAGGGTCTCGCTCTGTCACCCAGGCTGGAGTGCAGTGGCATGATCATAGCTCATTGTAGACTTGAAACCTCAAACTCCCAGGCTCAAGCGAACCTCCCACCTCAGCCTTCTGAATAGCTGGGACTACAGGTACAGGCTACCATTTCTGGCTTTTCTTTTCTTTTTCTTTTTTTTTAAACACAGTCTTCTTCTGTTGCCCAGGTAGCAGTGTGGGTGACATGATCATGGCTCACTGCAGCCTTGACCTTCTGGGCTAGAGCAATCCTCACACCTCAGATTCCCAAGAAACTGGGACCACAGGTGTGTGCCACCACACTGGGCTAATTTTCTTTTTGAATTTTAGTAGAGATGAGGTCTCGCTATGTTGCCCAGTCTGGTCTTGAATTCCTGAGCTCAAGCAATCCTCCCACCTCAGCCTCCCAAAGTGCTGGGATGACAGGCGTGAGCCACCACACTCACCCTGTATATGATTAAGGGATTTTCAACTAGAACACCAAGACCATTCAATGGGGGAATGGATGATCTTTTCAACAAATGGTGCTGGAAAAACTGGATATCTACATGTAAAAGAATGAAGTCTTCTGGATGAAGGTTACACTGATGGGGTGCATCTGTAATCCTAGCTACTCAAAAGGCTGAGGTGGGAGGATGGCTTGAGGCCAGGAGTCTGGGGCCAAACTGTGCTATGATCATGCCTGTGAAGAGCCACTACTCTCCAGCCTGAGCAACATAGAGAGATCCTCAACTCTAAGAGAGGGGAAAAAAAGAATGAAGTCATAGCCTTCCTTTATACCATATATGAAAATAAATTCAAAATGAATCAAGGGCTTAATATAAGAGCTAAAACTATAAAACTCTTAGATGAAAATATAGGGATGAAATGCTTTGTGACATTGGATTTGACAATAATTTCTTGAATACAACACCAAAAGCACAGGTAACAACAACAAAATTAGATAAATTGGACATCAAAATAAAAAACCTTGTGTATATCAAAGGGCACAATCAACAGAGTGAACAGGCAACTTATGAAACAGGAGAAAATATTTGCAAATCACATATCTGACAAGTGGTTAATATCTACAATATGTAAAGACTCCCATAACTCAACAACAGCAAAACAAACAATCTCATTAAAAAAATGGGCAAGGGACTTGAATAGACATTTCTATAAAGAAAACACACAAAAAGCCAATAAGCACATGAAAAGATGCTCAATATCACTAATCCATCAGGAAAGTGCAAATCATGCACATCAAAATCACAATGAGATACCACCTTACACTCATTAGGATGGATACTATCCAAAAAAAAAAAAAAAAAAAAAAAGGAATGTTGGCAAGGTTATGAAGAAATTAAAACCTGTGTACATTGTTGGTAGGGATGTAAAATGGTACAGCAACTATGGAAAACAGTATGGAGGTTCCTCAGAAAATTAAAAATAGAATAACTGTATGACTCAGGAATTCCATTTGTGTGGTATATATCCAAAAGAATTGAAAGCAGGGTCTGGAAGAGATATCTGTATATCCATGTTCATAGCAGCATTATCTACAGTCACCAAAAGGTGGAAGCAACCCAAGTACCTATCAATGGATGCGTGGATAAACAAACATGGCACATACATAAAATGGAACGTTATTCAGCCTTAAAAAGAAATTCTAGCACATGCTGTGACATGAATGAACATTGAAAATACATGCTAAGTGAAATATACCAGTCACAGAAGGACAAATACTGCATGAGTCCACTTATGTGAGGTACCTACGGCAGTCAAATTCAGAGACAGACAGTAGAATGGTGGCTTCCAGGGGCTGAGAGGAGGGAAGAATGGGGAGTTGTTGTTTAATGTATACAGAGATTCAGTTTGGGAAGATGAAATAATTCTGGAGATGGATGGTGATGATGGTTGCCCAACAGTGTGAATGTACTTCATGCCACTGAACTGTGCACTTAAAATGGTAAAGATGGTACCTTTTGTGTTATATGTTATACTCGGTTGCTCCCACCTTTTGGCTACAGCAAATAATGTTGCTATGAACACGGAAATAGAAATATCTCTTCCAGACCCAGCTTTCAATTATTTTGGATATATACTCCACAAGTAGAGTTGCTGGGTCCTATGGTGAAATTGTGTTATGTTTATTTCATTGCAATTAAAATTACCTGAGCAAGAAAAGAAGTGAAAGTGTGATGAAAATATGTTTGAATTATTTAGAATGTCACTTAAAATCATGATTGTCTTCAGCATGCTCTGGGCCTGCCTCTTGGAAACGTCCTTTCAGCAAATCCATAGGATCTCATTTTATGCCAACAAAATACCGTTTTATCAAAAGCAGAAGTTATGTGCCTGAATTCAGCCTGGATTGTTGAGCAGGCTGACTTTATTTATTGCAACTTGTTCTAAAATGATTACAACTACAATCTAGTGCCTGGTACATCATTTAGGTGCATGTACACACACACACAGACACACACACACACACACACACACAAATGTTGAATAAATGAACACATCAACACAACTCACCAGGCCTGGATATTGCTTTCTGATTATACTAAATCTAGTCATCTGAGACATTCCAGGATAGTAAAAAGTAATCTCTATACTTCCTGTATTAATTGGAACATGACACTGAATTAACATTCAGCCAGGAAAGCTCCATGTAAATGAACCAGAAGTAATGTACAAAACAAAGCAAATCATTCTATCTCAATGGGAAAACTCCTTTCCAAAAAGATTCCAGGAGATATTCCTAACTATATGAACAGAGTAAACAGTTCCAATTCACAATTAGAAGAAACTACCAAAATAGCTGAGTATGTCAAATCGGAAATAAAAGTCCATTGACAGTGGAATAATGAGTTCTATTTACTTGGCCCTTCAAACAATGTCAATTACTAATGAGGGCTGCTGGGAGAAAGCAGTTTCTAGACCCACATTCTACACAGGAGGCCTGAGGCATGTTCTAAATAATTGTCACCAGTTGTGCCGAGGAAAAGGTGGCTCATAAAATATTTGGCAGTGCAGGCTGGCAGGGGAGTTGATGTGGGGAACTTAGGACTGGATGGAATGGATGACTTGGCCTAATAAGTTTATCAAAGAGAGCCTTTTATTTATTTATTTATCTATTTGAGACAGGGTCTCTCTCTGTCACCCAGGGTGGAGTGCAGTGGCACTACCTCAGCTCACTGCAACCTCCACCTCCTGGGTTGAAGTGATTCTCTTGCCTCCGTCTCTTGAGCAGCTGGGATTACAGGCACATGTCGCCATGCCCAGCTAATTTTTTGGCATTTTTAGTAGGGACAGGGTTTTGCCATGTTGGCCAAGCTGGTCTCGAACTCCTGGCCTCAAGTGATCAGCCGGTCTTGGCCTCTCAAAGTGCTGGGATTACAGGCATGAGCCACTGCGCCCAGCCATCCAAGAGAGTCTTTCTAAAAGATAGTACCATAGATACTCTCAGCTATTCCCCTCTTATTCCTGGCTGGCAAATCCTAAACGTTCAGATACACAGACCTTAATATACAGCCCTCACCATAAGGCCATGTGCTGGGATCCTCACCCTCAGGGACAAACTGGGACAAATCCTGCCTGATTCCTCTTTGATAATCATGGTAATCTCATTTCAAGAGCCAGCAACGGTTTGGCAATGGTAATGAGTGATGCAGGAGATCCTCAGTAGAGACTTGTTCAGAGGCTTTATACTCTGCTAAAGTCGTTTGAAGGATGAAAAACTCAGAATTCTAAGGCTAAAAGCTTACAAGTGACAGGAAGATGCACAGAGGAAACCAAATGTCTCACTCTGGTTGCTCGTAATTTGTTCAGATAGCTCTATTTCTTATCTGTTCATTAAGATTCTTTGACAGTAAGCAATAAAAATAAATTTGGGCCAACTTAAGCAAAAGAAAATTTACTGGAGGGATACTGAGCTCTCACAAAATTGATAGGCTATAGGATCAGGCTTGGGACAGTTGGGAACTAAGAGACTTCCAGAGGACAAGGAAGTAGGAAACAGAATGATGTAGCAGGAGTGTCTGGCCAGGGCACTGTGGCTCTATGAATAAACACCATTCGTATCAAGTCACTCACATTGCTTGCTTCCAATTCTATGCCTAAGGTATCATATTGCCAAAATGTAAGACACATTGAACACCCGCTGGCCACACTTTGGCAGTGAGAGAAAGAATTGGCTCCTTCACCTTCCACAGAGGGAGACAGGCATCTAGATGTATTGTTTCACTGTGTGTGTGTGTGTGTGTGTGTGTGTGTGTGTGTGTGTGTGTGTGTGTGTGTGTGTGTTGGGAGGTGGGAAGTGGGGGTCTACCCAAGGAAACAGGAATTCCACTGGGCAAATAGTATAAATATTGACCAGCAAAAAAGAAAAAAAGCAAGCTCATGTCATCCCTGATGACCATCTCAATTAGTTGTTTCTGAGTGCCAAAAGAGGTGAAACAAATGTAGGCATAATTCCTGTAAGCTAATATATGCAGGTATTATATTAAGGAATGGACGTAGCAAAGAAAAAATTACCAATTCTGCCCACGAAAGAGTAAAACTGAATAGACCAATATCAACTTCTGAAATTGAATTGGTAATTAAAGAAAACCCTGCCAACCAAAAAAAGCCCTGGACCAGATGGATTCACAACTGAATTCTACCAGATGTACAAAGAAGAACTGATACCAATCTTACTGAAACTATTCCAAAAAAATCAAGGAGGAGGGGCACCTCTCTAACTCATTCTATGAAGCCAGCACCAGCCTAACACCAAAATCTGGCAGAGACACAACAAAAAAAGAAAACTTCAGGCCAGTATCCCTCATGAACATAAAAGCAAAAATCATCAACAAAATATTAGCAAACCGAATTCAGCAGCACATCAAAAAGCTAAACACCACAATCAAGTAGGCTTTATTCCTGAGATGCAAGGCTGGTTCAACACACACAAATCAGTAAATGTGATTCACCACATAAACAGAATCAAAAGCGAAAATCATATGATGATCATCTCAATAGATGCAGAAAAAGCTTTTGATAAAATCCAACATGGCTTCATAATAAAAACCCTCAACAGACTATGCATTAAAGGAACACCTCAAAATGATAAGAGCCATCTCTGAAAAATCTGCAGCCGACATCATGCTACCTTACAGAATTCAAAATGATTGACATACACAGTTATACTTACTCAATGATACTTTCCTAAAGAAGGATTGCTTCTCTCCTAGAAGCAAATGTCCAGGTATTTTGATTGGGTATCCAATTGTGGAATCTTTGGGTTTCTATACATCCTATGACTTTGCTTACTTATCCTTCGAGTCTTAGCCTAAGCATCTTTCTCTGTGATATCTTCCCATGGGCCCCAAAGACTACATCAGATGCATCTCCTATATGTCCCTATAGCATCACAGTACTTATATCACTGGATAAGGTACTAGACTATTGTTTATTCTCTGTCTCCTCCTTTCAGACAGAAATTGTGTTCTTTCCATCACTGACTCCACAGCATTAACACAAGTAGGTGTTCTGTAAACACCTGTTAAAAAAATGAATGAATGTTTCTTTATGAAAGTTAAACTCATGCTTATGCATGCATTCTTTTTTCCTGTTTACCAAAACTAGATCTAATGAATCAAGAGCACAAGAAGGATTTTTTTTTTTTTTTTGAGATGGACTTTCACTCTTTTTGCCCAGGCTGAAGTGCAATGGCGCGATCTCGGCTCACTGCAACCTCCACCTCCTGGGTTCAAGTGATTCTCCTGCCTCAGCCTCCCAAGTACCTGGGATTACAGGCACCCGCCACCACGCCCAGCTGATTTTTGTATTTTTAGTAGAGACAGGGTTTCACCATGTTGGTTAGGCTGGTCTGGAACTCCTGACCTCAGATGATCTGCCTGCCTGGGCCTCCCTAAGTGCTGGGATTATAGGTGTGAGCCACCATGCCCAGCCAAGAAGGATTTTTAAAATAGGCATCCGAGTTGCTTCTTCAGATGGTCATCTCCTTAAGATGACTCTGGCATTCACATTAATTCAAGCAATATCATCTTTCAGGGATATGGCCAGAGGATAACGAGCCACACTATATTTTTAATTACAAAAGGAAGACATATGTTCAATCGATACAGGAAGGTGGAGCCCATGGTGAGTCCACTTTTACTCAGTGGGGCTTGACAGCTAGCACTAAATCTTTCCAAGGATTTCAGTTTCATCTCGTTTCCTTTAGCCCCAGGAGTTTTTACACAGTACACATTTTCCACATGTAATTAAGTAATGGAGAGTGAGTTGTTATACATGACATTCAATTTTTGATAGTGGGGGAAGGTACGACAAGAGCTGCAGGCAAGATCATTAATCTCCTTGGATCCCTGCACTGCCAAATACAGCAATTCATTTGTTGTGTTAATACAGCTCTCCTCTTGTACTTAAATTGGTGTGCTCACATGAAGGGGAGAATGCCAAACACGAAAACCCACAGAATTGAATGTAGAGTACATAGCAAGCACCCAGATTGTAATACACATCTGGATGATCCAGAGTTGAATAATTTAGTGTATCAGGGACCATATGTTTAGGGTACAATTTCCAGGATTATCCAAAATCTAATGATGCGAAAAGCAAAAGGGAAAAAGTGATTATGTAAGTCATGTATAAATAGCTGCAACTTGCTGATTTGTGCTAATGACACACAGACCCCTTGCCAATTATAGATAAATTAGTATATGAATAAATACAAGTGTTAAAAGAATATGACAAGGACCTGATTACAAAATGTACATTGCTATAGACTAAAGGCCTTAGTTAATTAAAATGTTGCCTGCAGCATATTTTAATAGCTTTCTGTGATTACTGCTAATCGTTCTCTAAAACCTGTGGCCAGTTCCCATTTCCATCTCAATTGTCAATACATTTGAAAAACAGTTGTCAAGGTATAAAAGCCAAAATTTTCTGTATAATGGAAAAGCACAGAGAATAATTTCAACTAAGGAAGGAAATTTTGCCAAATAGAAGTGCAAATTGTAAAGAAATACAATTTATAAAAACTAGTCCTCAAAGTAACGTTATAACACAGTACAAGTTATGCAGAGTTTAAAAGAAAAACAAAGTCGCATCTGTGGTACTGAGATGATTTAAGTGTTAACTTCTGGAAACTTGATAATGAATCGAATTTTAACTTCTTCAGGATTTGATTCTAAAATAAGCAAAATCAGGATTCTTATAATAAATAATTATTCAGAATCACTCCTATATGTTTTTTCTCCCTATAAAAGAAGGTATAAAAAAACTTAGCTAATTTGGGAAAGTACTGGGAAGAGGGACTGACGTATGAGGAATTTTGTAAAATACTGAGTTACAGAAATATATATATTTTTAATCCACAAAATAACAACAACAACGAACTTACTATAATTGTTGATTTTGGACAATAAGTAACCTAGAGTTGCTTAGTAGGAGTGAAAAGGAAATTTATTCAATAAAGCTTTCTGAACACTCATTATATGCCACACACTGTAATTGAATGACCATGCAGGAAAGGTTTGTGCTACAGTCTGAATGTTTGTGTCCCCTCAAAATTCATTTGTTGAAACCTAATCACCAACATGAAGGTATTAATAGGCAGGGCCTTTTGGAAGGTGTTTACGTCATGAGAGTGGGGCCCTCATGATGGGATTAGTGCCCTAGAAAGTAGGCCCAAGGGAGCCCCTCCTGTTACGTGAGGATACACGGAATAGATCTATGAAACAGGAAGTGGGCCCTCTCCAGACATCAAATCTGCTAGAGCCTTGATCTCAAACTTCCTAGCCTCCAAAACTGTGAGAAATAAATTTCTGGGCCTGGTGCAGTGGCTCACGTCTGTGATCCCAGCACTTTGGGAGGCCGAGCCAGGCAGATCATTGATGCCAGGAGTTTGAGACCAGCCTGGCCAACATAGTGAAACCCTGTCTCTACTAAAAATAAAAAAAAAACTAGCCGGGCCTGGTGGTACACACCTGTAGTCCCAGCTACTCGGGAGATTGAGGCATGAGAATTGTTTGAGCCTGGGAGGCAGTGGTTGCAGTGTGCCAAGATCGCACCACTGCACTCCAGCCTGGGTGACAGAGCAAGACTCTGTCTCAAAATAAATGAATGAATGAATGAATGAATTTCTGTTCTTTATAAGACACTCGGGTATTTTGTTATAGCAGCCCAAATGGACTAAGAATTAGATTACAGATTTTAAATGTACATTGATACTTCTAAATTGCTTAAAATCACTTCCAGTAAATAAGCATTCAGCAGCATCCTTAATCTTGTGTATACCATTAATTTAGTCAACAAATTCTTTTCTTGATTCTGTTCTGTTCAATGATCAAAACTGAAATAATCAGACTGTAAATTGATGGAGCTTTACTACTATGATTAAAATTCTATTCAGCTTTCCCTTCTGTCTTCTAAATAATTTCAAATTATTTAACCTTTCTTTATGGAAGGAGGAGGGTTTTATTTCCCAACTACACAATTGCATTACATTATTTCCTTTGGACTCTATTCAATTTTCTTTTTGCTCTCTTTAAAATGGCATGGCCCATGTGGATAATAAAAGCCCCACAAATGCTGAAGAGGTACGTACTGTTGATAACAGCTCTTGTGGTAGCAGCCATCACTACGTACTAAATGTACATTTACATTGCATATGTACATAGTACATTGTACCATTTGCAATGGTACAAATCTGCACCATGTGCAGATGCTGATACTGTTAAGTGCTACATATATCTTCTCATGTACTAGCCACAGAATTTTTTTTTTTTGAGACAAGGTCTTGCTGTCGCCCAAGCTGAAGTGCAGTGGCGTGATCATGGCTCACTGCAGCCTCAACCTCCTGGGCTCATGCGATGCTCCTGCCTCAGCCTCCCGAGTAGCTGGGACTACAGGGCACATGCCACCACGCCTGGCTAATTTTTTTTTCTTTTGCACAGATTTGGTCTCACTATGTTGCCCAGGCCAGTCTCAAACTCCTGAACTCAAGCCATCCTACTGCCTTGGCCTCCCAAAGTGGTGGGATTACAGGTGCAAGCCACCGCGCCTGGCCCCCACACAACTTTATGCAAAGTTTTCAAGTCTAAACACACTACTTTTGTGGACTTCTCTTAATGAACAACATCTTAATCTCTTGAGTGCTGACCTTTCTTCAAAGTCTACTCAAGTTTTTTTTTTTAATCAACTAACTCTAATTTTATAACCCTTGCCAAAAGAAAGGACAAGAAAACCAAAAAGGAGACTGGTGTCTAACAGAGGATGTCAAAGGAGAGTAAGGATAAAGGGCTCATCTTAATATACAAAGACATAGGTGAAGGAGGAAGCTTTCACTCTCTGAAAATAGAGTGAAAAACTAGAAAGCCAGAAAGTGCCACTAGATGAGAGAAAAGGATGCTAATATAGGATTTCCTTTTTTTTTTTGAGACAGAGACTCGCTTTGTCAACCAGGTGGGAGTGCAGTGGCGTGATCTCGGCTCACTGCAACCTCTGCCTCCTGAGTTCAAGATGCAATTCTCCTGCCTCAGCCTCCTGAGTAGCTGAGTAGCCACCACACCTGGCTAATTTTTGTATTTTTAGTAGAGACAGGGTTTCACCATGTTGGCTTGGCCAGGCTGGTCTCGCACTCCTGACCTCGTGATCTGCCTGCCTTAGCCTCCCAAAGTGAGCCACCATGCCCGGCCTTTTTTTTTTTTTTTTGAGACAATCTCTCTCTGTCGTCCAGGCTGGAGTGCAATGGTGCGATCTCAGCTCACTGCAGCCTCTGCCTCCTGGGTTCAACCAATTCTCTTGCCTCAGCCTCCTGAGTAGCTGGGAGTAGAGTTGTGCGCCATCACACCTGGCTAATTTTTTGTATTTTTTAGTAGAGACAGGGTTTCGCCATGTTGGCCAGGCTCGTCTCAAACTCCTAATCTCAGGTGATCCTCAGGTGATCCTCCCAAAGTGCTGGGATTACAGACGTGAGCCACCGTGCCTGGCCCTAATGTAGGATTTCTTCAGGAGCAAAGTAGAAGTGGGAAGGGATATTTCAATCACGTTAGTGCCCAAGCTGGGAATAAAACTACCTCCTAATCCCAGTGGTCCCTGGGAATGGACAGATCTTACTGCTGGTAACTAACGAGAAAGGGAAGAATAATAATGATTGTCATAATCCTAAAATAGCAGCTAACATTCTTTCACCCCTTACTCTATGCTAGATGTTGTATTGAGCATTTTCAATTTCTGAAATATCACAATGAATGAGGGAGATGCTTTATTATCCCATTTTACAGATGATAACTGAGTCCCAGAAGGAAAAAGAAGCAGAGCTACAGTGAACATAGAGGGTTAGGTACATGACCTAAAAGTAATTCAGATTTACTTGTCATTTCAGTCCAGTAAAGAGAATCAAACAACCTCATTTCTATTGCTAATGTGGCAATGTTGACTACAAACAGTAAGATTCCTAATTCTGATTTACTTGTACCATGAGGGCTCAATCAGCTTGCAGGGAGGTCTGAGTAAATGTGAAGCCCCAAACACACAACACAACTCTAGGCAGCAGTGCTGAACATCTTCTCTACTCTGAGCTTCTCACCAGCACTCTTAAAAGGAAGCTCCTAAGAATGTCCTCAGTTCTGTTTTCCTGTTTGTTCTTTAATGAAGACATTAATGATTCAGCAAATGTACCAAATAGTAGTGACAGGAAGAGAAGTTAGCAGGTTTCATTATATTTATATACAGGAAAAATGGATCCAGAAAGGGAAGAATGTTTTATAACTGAAATATAAATACTAGCCTCAGCTACCAATTCTATCCCATGAAACATAAGCAAATAAGACAATCTCATAATCAAAACAATCAATACTTTTCTTGAAGTGACAGTTACAAAAGGAATATATGTTTTTAGAAGGAACAGTGATTTCGCTAGACAAATCAAAGATGACATAGTCTTACACTAATAACATCTTCAGAAGAGGTCTTTGATTTTGCAAAACCAGATCTAGCAATCTTACCTGATGAAAACCAGCTTGACCTTTGATGGGGCAGTCTTAATAATGGCAGATGCATTTTGGTGACTTCTTCCATACAGAATCTGATTGTTTATCTGTTTGGGAAAAACCACAATGTACTAAATTATACATGTCTACAAGTATATATGTATATACTTGGAATTAAATGATAAAGTCTACTGAATTTCTTTTCTTTTCTTTTCTTTTTTTTTTTTTTTTTTGAGACAGTCTCACTCTGTCGCCCAGGCTGGAGTGCAATGGTGCAATCTTGGCTCACTGCAACCTCCGCCTTCTCGGTTCAAGTGATTCTCATGCCTGAGCCTCCTGAGTAGCTGGAATTACCAGCATGTGCCACCACGCCTGGCTAATTTTTTTGTATTTTTAGTAGAGAAGAGGTTTCACCATATTGGCTAGGTTGGGGTTGGTCTTAAACTCTTGGCCACAAGTGATCTGCCTGCCTCAGCCTCCCAAAGTGCTGGGACTACAGGTGTGAGCCACCACACCTGGCCCTAAGTCTACTGATTTTTTTTTTTTTTTGAGGCGGAGTCTCGCTTAGTCACCCAGGATGGGGTGCAGTGGCATGATCTCGGCTCACTGCAACCTCTGCCTCCCAGGTTCAAGCAATTCTCCTGCCTCAGCCTCCCGAGTAGCTGGGACGACAGGTGTGCACCACCATGCCTGGCTAATTTTTGTATTTTTAGTAGAGATGGGGTTTCACCATGTTGCCCAGGCTGGGTTAGGACTCCTGACCATGTGATCCTTAGGCCTTGGCCTCCCAAAGTAAGTCTAATGATTGTTAAGTGGGTATATTAGGACTCTCAAATGCTAAAAATCTTAATATTCTTTGTAGTAGAGATTCAAACAGTAATTCTAAACAGCTATCAAAAATCCTTAAATTCAGTTTTGACTACAGTTAATGAAGAACATACAGTCCTTTATCCTTTTGCTAAACTTCAAGAAAGCAGTAGTTAAGCCTGATACAAAAAGTTTAGGACACATATTTCATTTCCTACAGCTTTCCCAGATTCCTTAAAAATGTTGAAAACAGACCAAATTGTGGTATTCACTGGAGCTCTGGAGAGCCCATTAAACATGATTTTGTAAACATGTCAAGGTTATTACATAACATAAATTTGTTACTCTAGGGAAGGTAAATATTATATCCCTGTTTTAAGTCAAATTTTAAACCAACTACACAGAAAGATTTTACTGAACGCCATCAATGAGTCATATGCTCATATCCAAGACATGGTAGAATTTTAAACTTGATTGGATCTACCAAAAGATGACCTAAACAACATTTAAATTCTAAATTTCTTTATTCCTGATTTTCCCACTGATAAACTATGATGATAGCTGGAAACTCTCTTATTTTATTTCACCCAATTGATAACAGCTCATACAGTTTTGACTTTTTCCTTCTATCTCTTTAAAAAGTAGTTAATGATCTATAACTATACTATTCCTATTCAAGTGTGGCATTGACAATTTCTACTATTTAAGAGATAGTATAGTGTACCATATAAGGGACAGTAAAAGGAATTGCAATTAGCATCTAATTTGTTCTGTCTCTGGAATTTTGCATTTTAAGGCACACCTGATGTTCCTTTCAAGACATCTAAAAATGTTATTTTTTTGTCAAAATAGTTATAATGTGACAGCATGTGGAAGTGAACACTTTAAAATATGAAATGAAAATATAGTATTTTCAACTATCTAAAAAGTGGCCCTTCCATCACCTTTCCTAAGTGGTAAAGCTGGGATTCATATCCAAGGCTGATGGAAAGACCAATCTTGAGCTACCTCCTCACTCTGCCTCTTATTCTATCAGCTTTCGTTCTGCACCAAGATCATCAATCTCACCGGGCACAGTGGCTCACACCTGTAATCCCAGCACTTTCGGAAGCCAAGGGAGGCAAATCACTTGAGGTCAGGAGTTCGAGACCAGCCTGGCCAACATGGTGAAACCCTGTCTCTACTAAAAATACAAAAATTCAGCTGGGTGCCTATAGTCAGCACTTTGGGAGGCTGAGGCAGATGGATCACTGGAGGCCAGGAGTTCGAGACCAGCCTGGTCAACATGGCGAAACCCCATCTCTACTAAAAAATACAAAAGTTAGCTGGGCGTGGTGGTGCATGTCTATCGTCCCAGCTACTTGGGAGCTGAGATGGCGCCACTGCATTCCAGTGTGGGTGACAGACTGAGACTCTGTCTCCAAACAAAAACAAAAACAAAAACAAAAAACAAAAATTAGCTGGATGTGGTGGCACACACCTGTAGTCCCACCTACTGGGGAGGCTGAGACAGGAGAATAGCTTGAACCTGGGAGGCAGAGGTTACAGCAAGCCGAGATTGCGCCACTGCACTCCAGCCTAGGTGACAGAGTGAGAGTCCATCACGCACACACACACACGAAATCATCAATCTCATAGAAAGCACCGATTTCCACACTGTCAGTTCTCTGTGCCTCAGTTTCCCCTTCTCTAAAAGAAATCTAAGTACCTACTTCACAAAGCTATTGTGAGAATTAAACAAGATAATGCCTTTACATTTTATTTAGAGTACCCTTGATATCAAAAGGATTTTTAATTTTTATGGGTTCGAAACTACTCATCTTTGCTATTACGTTTCTTTCTTTTTTTTTTTGAGACAGAGTCTTGCTCTGTTGCCCAGGCTGGAGTGCAGTGGCATGATCTCAGCTCACTGCAACCTCCGCCTCCAAGGTTCAAGCAATTCTCCCGCCTCAGCCTCCCGAGTTGCTGGGATTACAGGTGCCCGCCACCAAGCCCGGCTAATTTTTTTTTGTATTTTTAGTAGAGATGGGGTTTCACTATGTTGGCCAGGCTGGTCTTGACCCCCTGACCTCAGGTGGTCCGCCCTCCTCGGACTCCCAAAGTGCTGGGATTACAGGCGTGAGCCACTGCGCCCGGCATACGTTTCTATTCTTAATATCATGCATTTAAAAATACGTCCACTGTCTAGATTATATATTTTCTCCTGACACTTCAGAGTTCAGCTTTTCTTATATTTGTATCTTCTTACCTACTTAGCTACAAGGGAAATGGTTAAAGAAATCATGCAGTGGCCAGGTGCAGAGGCTCACAGCTGTAATCCTAGCACTTTGCGAGGCTGAGGCTGGTGGATTGCCTGAGCTCAGGAGTTCAAGATCAGCCTGGGCAACATGGTGAAACCCTGTCTTGACAAACAATATAAAAATTAGCCAAGTGTGGTGGCATGCACCTGTAGTCCCAGCTACTTGGGAGGCTGAGGTGGGAGGTTTGCTTGAGCCTGTAAGGTTGAGGCTGCAGTGAGGCAAGATTGTGCCACAGCACTCTAGCCTGGGCAACACAGTGAGACCCTGTGTCAAAAAAAAAAAAAAAAAAAAAAGGAAAGAAAAGAAATCGTCTTTAAAAGTTTGTGAAAAAGCATACTTAATGACATAGAAAATGTTCAAAATATACTAACTGGTAAAACCAAGTTTTAAAATAGTATGTCTAGTATGATCATGTTTTTTGCTGACCATATTTTCCAATCTCGTTAATTTATAATTAACTACAAACAAGGTACTTTAAATCATATTTGAAAATCAGATAAGGCCAGGTGTGGTGGCTCATGCCTGTAATCCCAGAGCTTTGGGAGGCTGAGACAGGAGGATCACTTGAGGAGTCTGAGACCAGCCTGGGCAACACAGAAAGACCCTGTCTCTACAAAAAAATAATAAAAAGTTAACCAGTTATGGTGATGTGTGCCTGTAATTCCAGCTACTCAGAGGAAGCTGAGGTGGGAGGATCGCTTCAGTCCAGGAGTTAAAGACTGCAGTGAGCTATGACTGTACTACTGTACTCCAGGCTGATTGACAGAGTGAGAAGAATGGGGGGCTGGGTGCGGTTGCCCATGCCTGTAATCCCAGTACTTTGGGAGGCCGAGGTGGGCGGATCATTTGAGGTCAGGAACTCAAGACCAGCCTGGCCAACATGGCGAAACCCTGTCTCTACTAAAAATACAAAAATTAGCTGGGCATCGTGTCAGGCGCCTGTGGTCCCAGCTACTTGGGAAGCTGAGGCATGAGAATCACTTGAACCTGGGAAACAGAGGCTGCAGTGAGCCAAAATCGCACCACTGCACTCCAGCCTGGGCAACAGAGCAAGACTCTGTCTCAAAAAAAACAAATGACGTTTGGAATGAGCCTGATTCAAGGCCTGGCATTCAGTTAAGCATTTGTGAATGTCTATGTCTTCCCCACTGTGTTCAGCCTCTGCTTCCAGAAGCTTTTTCTAAATCACCTATCCTACCCTCCTGTCTTTGAATCTTGTGGCACTAGGTTTAAAAAAATTTCTCTTCTTGCACTTATACCACAACACAACATGGTAAAGTCAGTCCTTGTTGGGCAGTAACCATCAGCGCAGGCACGCAACACCTACTGAACTGAGTGGAGCTCCTTAGGGCAGGAGCCAACATCCTCCTCTAGGTGGTTCCCAGCTTTTCATGCATAGCTTGTGCATAGTGGCCCTCAATGAGGATGTGCTGAGTTGCAGTCCTGAATGGAAGTGGTGCTTAATCAACTGCGAGTAGGCTTTCACTAACATGGGCTCCAGCCTTCGAAGTGACTAAGGTTAAAAAAAAAATGGTTTTGATCAGCAAAACGCTTGAGCATGTAGGAAATCTAACTGTTTCATGTTTATGGATATGTCTGCTTCTTTAGTGGTGGTCCTCCATTTTGGTAGAATAGAATCTATGGTACTATTATTCTGAGAGAGAAAAATGAGATCCCAAATGAAGAAAGCAGATCGTTAATTTTAATTTACGTAAGAGGAAATCTGAAGTTATGCCTTTCACGGTTCTGTTTCTAAATGTGCAGAGCCTCTGGCAGTGGAAAGGCAAAGCAGCTTGCTTGCTGTTGATGTTTTTTCCAGTGCCAATACGGGTGTTTATGGCTAAGGCAGCTGCTCCCGGCAACATGCCGAGGCCTCTGGAGAAACTCTGCTATGCAGTGGAAAACTGGGAACAGAGCAAGAAACCCAAGAAAGAGTGAACCTTGATTCAACTGGATTAAATCTAAAAGAAAAATGCTGATCTCTGGATAGAAAAATAAATCCAAGACAAAGACTCTTTTATGGCCTTAAAAATAACACATTTAGGGTTAGGGCTAGGGAAAAAAAAAATAACACATTTGCAGCCATTCGCTTTTAGGAGAGGTCTCTCTTTTGTTTTCTTCTTATTTAATATAAAACAATTTCACTATTTAAATAAAAGTTATACAGCTTCCAACTATTCAAGCAGTTTTCATATTTTTTCATCACTAAAGGAAATATGCTCCACTGAAAATTCAATAACTAGTTGGAAAGAATGATATATTTTATGCACAATTAGCTTTAGATTATCATCTATTGTATTATTGAGAAGCTGTTCTCTGAGGGCATTATTCTTTAAACAACAGATATAGAAAGTCTTCCAAATAATATAGGCAAAAAAAGAAAAAAAAGAATTCTTTTTTGGAAGTCTATTAGGTTAACTACAGTTAATAAAGGCTACCATTTACTGAGTGCAGAACACCGTGCTAAACTCATTATGCACAGTATCTCATTTAGATCTCAGAACAACTGGGGTATGATTTACTTTCACTAGATTATGAAACTATAATTTGCCCAAGGTGCTTTAGCAATTAGTTTAAAAGTCTATAATCCTAGGGCATACCCAGAGGTCATATCATCTGAATGGTACACATAAAAAATGAGATAATTTCTAACAGCCATCTCTATAAAAAGATGAGCAAGAACAGATGGTCACTCTACCATCTTAGGTCTTGGATTTTGAGATAAAAAAGTCAGTATCAACCAAAAACCAGGTCACTACAACACATGGGGGAAATGCCCAATAGTTGACTTTTAAGCTATATTTTGTTTTTTGCTTGCTTTTTTTTTTTTTGAGACAGGTTCTCACTGTCATTCAGACTGGAGTGAAGTAGTATGCACATGGCTCGCTACAGCCTCAATCTCCTGGGATAAAGAGATCCTCCTGCCTCTGCCTCCTGAGAAGCTGGGACCACAGGCATGCGCCACCATACCCAACTAAGACTTTTAGGCTTTTTAAAGTCCCAAATGCAATATGGAGTCCCATACAACTGCACCTTTCTCTTCATGCAAACAAATTGCACCTTGAACAATAACATACCCTTATGACACTTTTTTCAGTATATAGGTACATCTCATTTTATTGTTTTTTTTTTTTTTACAAATGGAAAGTTTGTGGCAACCCTGCATTGAGCAAGTCTACTGGCACCATTTTTACAGTGGCATGTGCTGACTTCCTGTCTGTGTCACATTTGGGTAATTCTCTCAATATTTCAAACTTTTACATTATTATTCTGTCTGTTATGGCGATATGTGATCCATGACCTTCAATGTTATTATAATTGTTTTGGGGCACCATAAACTGTGCCCATATAAAATGGCAAACTTAATTAATCAGTTAACACATAATTGTGTGTTCTGATTACTCCACTGACCAGCTGCTCCCCATCTCTTTTTCTCTCCTCCGAGGCCTTCCGATTCCAAGACACAACAATATTAAAGTTAGGCCAATTAATACCCTACAATGATCTTTAAGTGTTCAAGTAAAAGGAAGAGTCCCACATCTCTCACTTTAAATCAAAAGCTAGAAATGATGAAACTTAGTGAGGAAGGCATGTCAAAAGCTGAGCTAAGCTGAAAGCTAGGCCTGTTGCACCAGTTAGCCAAGTTGTGAATGCAAAGGAAAAGTTCTTGAAGGAAATTAAAAGTGCCACTCCAGCGAACACAGGAATGATAAGAAAGCGAAACGGCCTAATTGCTAATATGGAGAAAGTTTGAGTGGTCTGGATAGAAGTTGGAATCAGCCACAACATTCTCTTAAGCAAAAGCCTAATCCAAAGCAAGGCCCTAACTCTCTTCAATTCTATCAAGGCTGAGAGAGGTGAGGAAGTTGCAGAAGTTGTTTGAAGCTAGCAGAGGTTTAAGGCGAGGAGTCTCAATCTCATAAAATGCAAGGAGAAGCAGCAAGTGATGATGTAGAAACTTCAGAAAGTTATTCAGAAGATCTAGCTAAGCTCAATAATGAAGATGGTTACATTAAACAATAAATTTTCAACAATAGCCTTTCATGTGAAGAAGGATGTGTTTGCTTCCCCTTCAGCCATGATTGTAAGTTTCCTGAAGCTTCCCCAGCCATGAGGAACCATGAGTCAATTAAACTCCTTTCCTTATATGGAATCAACCTAAGTGCTCATCAACAGGTGAATGGATAATGAAAATGTGGTATATATACACAATGGAATAATATTCAGCCATAACAAAGAATGAAATCCTGTCATTTGCAATAATATGGATGGAACTGGAGGCCATTATGTGAAGTGAAATATACCAAGCACAGAAAGAGAAATATCATGTTCTCACTCATATGTGGGAGCTAAAAAAGTAGATTTCATGAAGACAGAGAGTAGACTGGTGATTACCAGAGGCTGGGGCGGGGTGGGGAGGGGGTTTTTTGGGGAGCTGGGAGAGAGGAAGGAAAAAAAAGAATATACCTGTATTTATTACCACTGAGCTGTACACTTAAATAAATGTGGCTACAAAAAAAAAAATCAACATTAACAGGAATTTTGGAGAAGCTGATAACAACTCTCATGAATGACTTTGAGGGGTTCAAGATTTCAGTGAAGGAAGTCACTGCAGGTGTGGTGGAAATGGACAGAGAACTAGAATCAGAAGTGGAGCCTGAAGATGGGACTGGATTGCTACAATCTCACGATCAGACTTGAACAGATGAGGAGCTGCTTCCTATGGATGAGCAAAGAAACTGGTTTCTTTCTTTCTTTCTTTTTTTTTTTTTTTTTTGAGATGGAGTCTCACTCCCCCAGGCTGGAGTGCAATGGTACGATCTCGGCTCACTGTAACCTCCCCCTCCCAGGTTCAAGCGATTCTCCTGCCTCAGCTTCCTCAGTAGCTGGGATTACAGGCGCCCACCACCACACTAGGCTAATTTTTGTATTTTTAGTAGAGATAGGGTTTCACCATATTGGCCAGGCTGGTCTCGAACCCCTGACCTTGTGATCCGCCCACCTCGGCCTCCCAAAGTGCTGGGATTACAGGCGTGAGCCACCAGGCCTGGCCAAAAGTGGTTTCTTGACATGAAATCTCCCGGTGGAGATGCTTTGAACATTGTTGAAATGACAACAATGAATCTAGACTATTACATAAACTTCATTGATAAACCAGTCCTAGACTCCAATTTTGAAAGAAATTCTACTGTGGGTAAAATGCTATTAAACAGCATCCGATGTTACTGAGAAATCTTTCCTGAAAGGAGACAATCGATGTGGCGAATGTCATTGTTATCTTAAGAAGTTGTCACAGCCACCCCAACCTTCAGCAACCACCACCCTGATCAGTCAGCAACCATCAACATGGAGGCGAGACTCTCCACCAGCAAAAAGATGACAACTTGCTGAGGCTTAGATGATCGTTAGCAATTTTTAGAAATAAATTATTTTAAAATTAATGTATCTACTTGTTTAGACATAATGCTAATGCACACTTTATAGACCATAGTATAAACATAACTTTCACATATGCGGGAAACAAAAAAACACACATGACTCACTTATTCTGATACTTGCTTTATTGTGGTAGTCTAGAATGGAACCCATAATCTATCTGAAGTATGCCTGTAAATAAATAGGTTCAATATATATATAGGTTGACTACCCTTTTAGCTTTTTCTGACCCAGCCCCAAGGAAAACAATTAAGATATTTCATTTTGGATCAAATATTGCTCCCCACCTTTCATGACCTGAGTGCTCATTCAGATTATCTTGAAATTGGGAAAATATTATTTTTTTCCATTTACTTCCAGTAAATTGAGAGGTAGAGAAACTAAGTGCCTTTCCCAAAGTTTCTTCTTTCAAAGGTGACTGAATGATATAAAGGAAGAATAATAAATTATGTAGACATGTCTTTATCTTTGATATCATCCCACAATGGTGGGAAGAACTATCTTTATTCCTGATTTGATGCTTCCCAATTTACCCAAATATCTATTTATTATCTTAAAATCCAAGATCTACAACTCTTTCATTCAATGGTAATCATATATCCTGATTTTCCTGAGACAGCCTACTTTATTTATGTTGTTCCAATTACTTATTTATTTATTTATTTATTTTTGAGTCAGGGTCTTGCTCTGTCGCCCAGGCTGGAGTGCAATGGTGCGATCATGGCTCACTGCAGCCTTGACCGCCCAGACTCAAACAATCCTCCCACCTCAGCTTCCTGAGTAGCTGGGACTACAGGTGCGCACCACACACCGGGCTCATTTTTTTATAAAGACGGGGTCTTGCCATGTTACCCAGGCTGGTCTTGAACTCCTGGACTCAAGCGATCCACTTGCCCTGGCCTCTCAAAGTGCTGAGATCACAGGCATGAGCCACTGTGCCGATTAGTAGTTACCCAGTTTGGATGATAAATTATATCTTTTTCCCACATTCATCAAGCCATGACTATGGGAAGTGATTTAATGGCATTCTATCTCAATTTCTATATCACTAAGATGAGAAAGCCAGACCAGATGAGGAATGTAGTAGAGATCTAGGGGGATCTTTGCCAGCACACAACTGCTTCTCTTTGTAAGGGACTGTCCTTCAAATCCTCTCATCACAAATACCATCCTTTATGGTGGGCAGCCAAGTTTGTGTTGCTTGTCATGACACTCCAGGCCACAGCTGAGGAGCATATAACATAGGCTAGGACAACCAAGATTCTCTCTTTAGGGGGTTTTAAATTGGAGCTGAGACAACAGCTAGCTTTTTTACATGTTCATTAAGCTTCTGTGAGATGTCCATATTCTGCCACACAGATGAAGGGACTGGAAAAGCCATCATTTCCCAAAGCCCTGGTGCATCCCGATCTTCAGATTCCAGGAGGGATTCACACCATTACAATAGATTCTACTTTTTTGGTGAAGCTATTGTTATGGGCTGAATTTTTATGTCCCTCTGCAAATTCATATGTTGAAGCCTTAATTCCCAATACGATGGTATTTGGACGTGGGGCCTTTGGGAAGTAACAAGGTCATGAGGATGGAGCCCTCATAGAGGAAATTAGTGCCTTTACACTAAGAGACATAATCTCTCCCTTCACCATGTGTGTGCATACAGCAGGAACATTGTCTGCAAACCAGGAAGACAGCCCTCAACAAGAACCAAATTAATCAGCATCTAGATGTTGGGCTTCTCAGCCTCCAGAACTGTGAGAAATAGATGTCTATGGTCAGCCCAAGCTGACTGGGACAATTATTTGAACTAATTTCTGTTCTTTGCAACCAAAAAGTATTCATTGATATGGTTTCTTAGGCTCCTGCTAATTCTGAATATTAATTTGTAAATCTAACTGACATACCTCTTTCAATCTCCTAGTCTTGTGCTCTTTCAGATGTTCAGTAATTTGCCTTGGCATCCAAAAAGATACAAAAGAAGAAAAAAGAAAAAGGGAAAAAGCTTTCTGTCCAAAGGAGCTTTCTATGCTCTTGACCTACAATTCTGGTTTTCTTATCTGTTTTTAGCTTCCTCATCTGATTACTGACAAAGTGGGCCTTCTGAGGTCTTCCAGATAGTTCTAGTAACTTCTGTCTCAGCTTCATGATGCCTAGTCCCTGAAAGACAGTAATATTTTACCTTAGGGGTGAGTTCATTTTTTTCCCAGGTTCTGAATTTCCAACTCAATAAAATGTCGTTCAGTAGCAAATTATAGTAGCTCTGGATACTGAAGATAACAGCCTCAAATGAGAAATACCTCTATAATCAGGTGCCACATAATAATGCCTCAGTCAAGGATGGACCACATATATAATGGTGGTCCCATACAATTATAATACCATATTTTTACTGTGCCTTTTCTGTATTTAGATATAAAAATATTTACCATTGTGTTACAGTTGCCTACAGTATTCAGTACAGTAACATGCTGCCCAGGTTTATAGCCTGGGAACAATAGCCTTATACCACATAGCCTAGGTGTGGAGTGGGCCACACCATCTAGGTTGTACACTTTATGACCTTCATACAACAAAATCACTCAGTGACGCATTTCTCAGAAATGTATCCCTGCCATTAAGGCCTGACTGTATTTGCAAAGCTTCTAAGCTATATTATAACGGATTTTCATTGTGTTTTGACTTTTCCCCTTATAGACTGGTTTCAACTACTGTAGTGGGGGAAGACAATCTGATATGAGGTAAGTCTTCTTATATTTATGTACCAGAGATGGGATACTTAGTTATAACATTAACCTAGCAGAAGTAGAATTAGGGTTAATCCAGTGAAAATTCAGCAAAAGTAAATGAATTCAAATCCTTTTGTTATACTATACAAACTTTCACTTTAGAGATCTTTAATGAGATTTGTTTCAATAAAATTAACTATTCAAAAATATCATGAAGTGATAGGTTTTCAACTACTGTTAATTTTTTATAGTTCAACTAACATGAATAGAAATTTATACTGGGCTGAACACGGTGGCTCACGCCTGTACTCCTAGCACTTTTGGAGGCCAAGGCGGGTGGATTGCCTGAGCTCAGGAGTTCGAGACCAGCCTGGGGAACATGGTGAAACCCTGTCTCTACTAAAAATAGAAAAAATTAGTGGGGTGTGGCGGCATGCGCCTGTAATCCCAGCTACTTGGGAGGCAGAGACAGGAGAATTGCTTGAACCTGGGAGATGGAGGTTGCAGAGAGCCGAGATTGCGCCATTGCACTCCAGCCTGGGGCGACAGAGCAAGACTGCGTCTCAAAAAACAAAACAAAACAAAACAAAACAAAAAAAGAAAAGAAATGTATACTGAAGAGCAGCTCAATTAAATCTACTAAAAAACCCTGCCAAATTGGAAGTAAAAGTTAATTAACTTAAGCTAGGAATGGAAATATTAATTATATAAAAATTAAAGTTTAGCTCAAGTAATAGATTTGCCTGAGGTGTGAATATCACGTCATAATATATTATACCTAACAATACCCCACCCACAATTTTATTAAAGCAGAAGGATTGATTATGAAAAGTGACAAATTATTATTAAAGAACTGAGTTGAAATTCATGTAATTTGAATTGGTGATAATTAAATCTGAGAGTCCTTCTCTGTAATTTACTTTTTTTTAAAGAGGCAGGGTCTTGTTCTGTTGTCCAGGCTGGAGTGCAGTGGCACAATCATAGCTCACTGTAGCCTAGAAGCCTCTAACTCCCAGGTTCAAGGAATACTCCCACCTCAGCCTCCCAAGTAGCTAGGACTACAGGTGTGTGCCACCACGCCTGGCTAATTTTTTTGGTAGAGACAAGGTCTTGCTATCTTGCCCAGGGTGGTCCTGAACTCTTGGGATCAGGCAATCCTCTAATCTCAGCCTCTCAAAATGCTGAGGTTATAGGTATGAGCCACTGTGCCTGGCCCAACTTTTTTTCTTTAATAAACTCTTTTACTGAATGTAACACACAGACGAAAAAAAAAAAAAAACCACATCATATTGAATATTTTTATAGGTTAACTTTTAATCTAATAATTCCACTTCTAAGAATTTATCCTAGGCTGGGCGCCTGTAATCCTAGCACTTTGGGAAGCCAAGGTGGGTGGATCACTTGAGGTCAGGAGTTTGAGACCAGCCTGGCCACTCAGGAAGCTGAGGCACAAGAATAGCTTGAATTCTGGAGGTGGAGGCTGCAGTAAGCTGAGATCACGCCACTGCTCTCCAACCTGGGTGACAGGTGAAACTATGTCTCAAAAAAAAAAAATCCTAAAAAATTTAAAAACCCAGTCATCCCTCTCATGGCTATTCCTTTAAAAGAGAAAAAGTGAAAAAAACTACGTATTAACCAACAAACAATTATACTAATAATCGTATATCAATAAATGGAAAACTGTGGTATTAAACAGAGGTAGGGGAGGATGATACAGATGTAGATGCATTGTCATAGAAAGAAAACACTGCATGCAGAGTGAAGAAAATAACAAATTTCATGCAACCTATTTACCACATTATTTTCATTTATGTAAAAGTTTCTGTGTGGGTTTAAAGAAAGTTCTGTGAGTATCTCTACTAAATGTCAGCAATGATCATATCGCTGGTGGGATTTAAGGTGATTTTCAGTTTGTTTTTCTATATTGACATTTTATAACTATAATAGTACCATTTAATAAATGTTTACAACATAGAAGGCACACACACATACATGTGCACACATGCCTAATACATTACTTGTCTCACTCAAACCAGTAGAGAACTGCATGGTTACGTCATTATATAGATGGAGAAATTGAGGCACAGTGAGTTTAAGAAATTTGACCAACATAACACATCTAGAATCAGAACTTATAGCCAAAATATCTTTCAGTTTAAAAGCTTATTAATTAAAAACATTCCCTAAGGGTATTTACTCGGGGTGAAAAAAAGCCATAGTATAAGTAACTCATTTTTAGTCCTATGAAATCAGAATTCCAATTTATAGGGCTCACAAAGTAGAAACCCCAGACCAAGAAATATTCCAATAAAAGTATAATAGGTATGTTGAATATTCACCCATTTATTCACTTAACAATCATTGCATAAGTGATGAGGATACAGGAATTTTCATTACCATTGTCATCATAGCTGCCATGTATTAAACACTGTGTTCTAGGTACCAGATTCTCTGAAAGTCACTTTGTAGAAATGACTTTATTTAGTCAGATACAGTTGCCGCCCTCAAGGATCCGGTACTCTGTAAGTGACATGGTTTTGGAAACAAATAATTGCATTGCCATATGATGTGTGTAGGCATAAAACAAGAAGCAATTGTCTCATCTTGGAGTTGGGTAGTTTGCTCTTAAGAAGCAGTAGACAGATGTTTAGACAGAAGCTTAGCAGGCACAGGGGAAGTGAGTGGCAAGAGGACTCCATGACTGGGGAAAAGCATATGAAAGGCACGCAGGTGTGAAACTCAAGGTCTCTCTGTAGGAACCACAGGTACTTTTACAGTGTAGCTTTCGGGGTGGGGAGGAGAGAAGTAGACTGACAGAGATAATAGAGGTAGTTTCTTCTTTCCAAAAATCTTGGGCACTGGCCCCCATGAAGAAGATGCCCACTTTCCAAACCATTGCTCCCACTTTGCAGATGGGAGAACCAAAGGGAGGAAAGGAGTACCAGGCTAGGGATGGGACAGGGCAGATGCCTGAAACTCAGGTGAAACACAATTTCACAATAATGAAAAAAGACTTCTGAATAAATTATCACATTAATTTTTTCCTTGGAAAAGACAAAATAGTGTACAACAAGCAGCCACTTCTTAATACCTTGGGCAAAGGAGCAGGTTTCAAGGACTCAGTTTAATGGAAATCGCAGTGCTGAAGTAAGATCTTCCACAGCTGCAATTTAATCTATTTCTTGTGAAGTATAATGTTTCCAAAGGATCACATTCATTTAAAAGGCTTAAAGATGAGAGATTTATTTTCTCTCAAACAAAACTAATTAAATTGAAATACATTCTAAAGGCAGCATAATAGTAATATGCAGCTCACACATCTGTCTAAATTTGTTATATTGGGAAAAGAGTAAGATATCCTTTTGAATTCTAAACCCTGACATGTTTTTGAAAAATACTGACTTCGAGAAAATAGAGAAATATGTTTCTGTGTTGTTCTAATTTTGAATACTCCTGTGAAAGTTGCTCCAATTGCCACAAGCTGTTTCACTTGACCAAATGAAGTAGGTGACTATAGGTAATTTCCCATTAGCTGCATGGCAAAGGAAAGAATAAATGAATGAAAGCACAGTATAATCCACCTCTTATATTACAGAGGAATCAGTGGTTTCCTAGGACATTGAGATATTACAGCCTAACTCTATCAATGGTATTATTAGCCACCTAAGCAGACAGGACTGGTGACCAATGACCGGGAATTTATTCTTCTAAGAACATTGATATATGCTACCAGTCAAGACTTTCCCTAAACTAGGAATGCTTAATGTTTGCTCCTTTTCATAAAAACAGCTGATCTAATTAGAACCCCACCTCAATTCTCTCTGTTGCTAGAAATCTTTTTCTCTTGCCTTCAAAGTATTTCACTTGTCCCTTGTATAGACATAGTGAAAAACCCATTCAGTCATCAAAGGACTCTATCACTCCCTAACTGTGCTCCCTTCCAACTCCAGTTTCTCTCTCTCTTTTTTTTTTTTTTTTTTTTTTTTTGAGACAGAGTTTCGCTCTTGTTGCCCAGGTTTGAGTGCAGTGGCACGATCTTGGCTCACTGCAACCTCTGCCTCCCGGGTTCAAGTGATTCTCCTGCCTCAGCCTCCCAAGTAGCTGGGATTATAGGCATGCACTACCACACCCGGCTAATTTTTTTGTATTTCTGGTAGAGACAGGGTTTCACTATGTTGGCCAGGCTGGCCTCAAACTCCTGACCTCAAATGATCCACCCGCCTCAGCCTCCCAAAGTGCTGGGATTACAGGTGTGAGCCACTGCGCCCCGCTCTCTTTTTCTTTCTTTTAAACAGTTATCTTGTTAGTGAATCAGTCCTGTAGGGGCAGGATTACATGATATACAGTTGATAGCTTTTAAAGTATAACTCATCCAGAGTCCAGTACTACCACACTACCCACCATGAAAGAGAAGGTTGGTGTTTCTGTACTTTTGTAATGACGACGTTGAGACTCACAAACTCAGTGACTTACAAAGGGGTTCTAGGTAAGGAGGTGGCAGAGCCAGAATCCAAGCTCAAGCCTCCTGATCCCAAAGCCTCTAGGTAGGTTTGGGGCCTCTGGAATGGGTAACAAGAAGATGGAACTTGGTGCTATGGGACTCCTGCTACCTCTGTAATACTCAGCCTAATCACCCGCATCCCCAGCTTCCCTGCCACCACTAAAACAACAAAACAAAACCCAGCACCCAATTCTCATTCATTATTTTTTTACAGTGGTAAAGAAAGAGAAAAACCCAACTCAAGTGTCAGCTTTAAAAACTCTGGGCTGTCACGTCCTTTCTGTTTGTTAGTTTTTGTGAAGGACCTCATCAAGGAGAACTACAAACCACTGCTCAATGAAATAAAAGAGGATACAAAGAAATGGAAGAACATTCCATGCTCATGGGTAGGAAGAATCAATATCGTGAAAATGGCCATACTGCCTAAGGTAATTTATAGATTCAATGCCATCCCCATCAAGCTACCAATCACTTTCTTCACAGAATTGGAAAAAACTACTTTAAAGTTCATATGGAACCAAAAAAGAGCCCGCATTGCCAAGTCAATCCTAAGCCGAAAGAACAAAGCTGGAGGCATCACGCTACCTGATTTCAAACTATACTACAAGGCTACAGTAACAGCATGGTACTGGTACCGAAACAGAGATATAGATCAATGGAACAGAACAGAGCCCTCAGAAATAACGCCGCATATCTACAACTATCTGATCTTTGACAAACCTGAGAAAAATAAGCAATGGGGAAAGGATTCCCTATTTAATAAATGGTGCTGGGAAAACTGGCTAGCCATATGTAGAAAGCTGAAACTGAATCCCTTCCTTACACCTTATACAAAAATTAATTCAAGATGGATTAAAGACTTAAACGTTAGACCTAAAACCATAAAAACCCTAGAAGAAAACCTAGGCATTACCATTCAGGACATAGGCATGGGCGAGGACTTCATGTCTAAAACACCAAAAGCAATGGCAACAAAAGCCAAAATTGACAAATGGGATCTAATTAAACTAAAGAGCTTCTGCACAGCAAAAGAAACTACCATCAGAGTGAACAGGCAACCTACAAAATGGGAGAAAATTTTCGCAACCTACTCATCTGACAAAGGGCTAATATCCAGAATCTATAATGAACTCAAACAAATTTACAAGAAAAAAACAAACAACCCCATCAAAAAGGACATGAGCAGACACTTCTCAAAAGAAGACATTTATGCAGCCAACAGACACATGAAAAAATGCTCATCATCACTGGCCATCAGAGAAATGCAAATCAAAACCACAATGAGATACCGTCTCATACCAGTTAGAATGGCAATCATTAAAAAGTCAGGAAACAACAAGTGCTGGAAAGGATGTGGAGAAATAGGAACACTTTTACACTGTTGGTGGGACTGTAAACTAGTTCAACCCTTGGGGAAGTCAGTGTGGCGATCCCTCAGGGATCTAGAACTAGAAATACCATTTGACCCAGCCATCCCATTACTGGGTATATACCCAAAGGACTATAAATCATGCTGCTATAAAGACACATGCACACGTATGTTTATTGTGGCACTATTCACAATAGCAAAGACTTGGAACCAACCCAAATGTCCAACAATGATAGGCTGGATTAAGAAAATGTGGCACGTGCACACCATGGAATACTATGCAGCCATAAAAAATGATGAGTTCATGTCCTTTGCAGGGACATGGATGAAATTGGAACTCATCATTCTCAGTAAACTATCGTAAGAACAAAAAACCAAACACTGCATATTCTCACTCATAGATGGGAATTGAACAATGAGAACACATGGACACAGGAAGGGGAACATCACACTCTGGGGACTGTTGTGGGGTGGGGGGAGGGGGGAGGCATAGCATTAGGAGATATACCTAACGTAAATGACGAGTTAATGGGTGCAGCACACCAGCATGGCACATGTATACATATGTAACTAACCTGCACATTGTGCACATGTACCCTAAAACTTAAAGTATAAAAAAAAAAAAACAAAAAACTCTAGGCTGGGCACGGTGGCTGTCACCTGCAATCCCAGCACGTTGGGAGGCCGAGGCGGGAGGATCACCTGAGGTCAGGAGTTCGAGACCAGCCTGGCCAATATGGTGAAACCCCATCTCTACTAAAAATACAAAAATTAGCCGGGCATGGTGGCAGGCGCCTGTAATCCCAGCTACTCAGGAGGCTGAGAGGCTGAGGCAGGAGAATTGCTTGAACCTGGGAGGCAGAGGTTGCAGAGCTGCGATCACACCACTGCACTCCAGTCTGGGTGACAGAGCAAGACTCTGCCTAAAAAAACCCAAAAAAACAACAAAAACAAAAACCACAACTCTGCCTCACCTCAGCACACTACTACTTTCTTCCTTAACTGTATATGTATATGTGTGAAAAACTTTCTGTAATGACAAAACTTTCACCTATCAGGTTGCCTGAGATCTTATAATACCCAGTATTTGCTAGCTTTTGGGGTGGAAGGAGTGGAACGGTCTCTCTTATATACTGGTTTCTGTTTTGTTTGTTTTTTTGAGATAGAGTCTCACTCTGTCACCCAGGCTGGAGTGCAACGGTGTGATCTCAGCTCACTGTAACCTCCAACTCCTAGGTTCAAACGATTCTTGTGCCTCAGCCCCCCGAGTAGCTGAGATTACAGCTGTGTACCACCATTTTTGGCTAATTTTTGTATTTTTAGTAGAGATGGGGTTTCACCATGTTGGCCAGGCTGGTCTTGAACTCCTGACCTCAGGTGATCTGCCCACCTCAGCCTCCCAAAGTGCCTCTCTTATATACTGTTAATGGGGCAGAAAATATACAAATAAAGTAAAATACAAAAGGCTAATATAAGAAAACTTCTCTCAATTCTAAGAGCATATTTTTCCAGGCTGCATTTCACTACAGTCACTACAATATCCATAGGACAGGAAGGAAGTTGGGAAAGCGCTGGACAAAGGAGGAAATGGAGGCCCAGAGAACAATCCCAGTAGGTTATGGAAGACATGGGGGAAAATCGCAGAAAGAAGAGTCGAGAGAGGCACTGCTGAAAATTACTCCTTCCATAAATTTCTTCCCCAGCATACATTCCTGTCGCTATTTTTTTTTTAACAGATTTCTTCAGTAATCTGCTTCTTCAATCATCATTTTTACTTTCTATTTTCATGGCACTTTCCATAATTTTAAGATAATTTGGCTCACTGGAGAGACCACACATAAAGCTTTTGTGTGAGCAATAATGAGGACTGCAGTAATAAAAAATAAACGATTGTCCTTCCTCCAAGACAAGAATATGGATTTTTGGCCTCAATATTTCAGTGGCATAAGGAAGTATGACTAAATAATTTAACTCTTCCCCTAACAAGCCATAGTCAGAAACAAAAATGGCAGAAATAGAGCTCAAAGACTTCACAGCAGGAAACAAAAAAGAATGAGGCCAACCGATACGAACTAGGTTTTACATAATAGTTCCTGCAGTTGGAAAATAAAACTCGAACTCTATGAAGGAACTGAAGGGTAAAGGTCTTTAATTATGAAGTTCAGACAAGCTCTCCTAGTGCAAGAACAAGCTCAAAAAATAAATTTTCTTCTTCTTTGGTTCTTAAGTGATGAACATAATTTCACTAACTACATTCTGCTTTTAATTAATTCAAAGTGGCGTTAAATTTTTAGAAGACAGGCTGGGCACAGTGGCTCACATCTGTAATTCCAGCCCTTTGGGAGGTTGAGGTGGGAAGACTGCCTGAGCCCAGGAGTTGGAGATTAGCCTGGGCGATACAGAAAGACTTTGACTCTACAACAAATAAAATAAAAATTAGCTGGGCTAGGCGCAGTGGCTCACGCCTGTAATCCCAGCACTTTGGGAGGCGGAGGCAGGCAGATCACTTAAGGTCAGGAGTTCGAGACCAGCCTGGCCAACATGGTGAAACCCCATCTCTACTAAAAATACAAAAAAAAATTAGCCAGGCCTGATGGCTCATGCCTATAATCTCAGTTCATCGAGAGGCTGAGGCAGAAGAATAGCTTGAATTTAGGAGGTGGAGGTTGCAGTGAGCTGAGATCATGCCACTGAACTCCAGCTTGGGTGACAGAGTGAGATTCTTTCTCAAAAAGAAAAAAATATATATTATATAATATATATTTATTATATATAATATATATAATAAATATATAATATATTATATATAATTAATATATATAATATATTATATATACATATATAAGCTGGGCACAGTGGCATGCACCTATAGTTCTAGCTACTCAGGAGGCTGAGGAGGGAGGATCACTTGAGCCCAGGAGTTTCAAGTTACAGTGAGCTATGATCATTCTATTGCACCCCCAGCCTGGGTGACAGAGCTAGACCCTGTCTTTTTTTTTTTTAAAACAAAACAAAACAAAACAAAACAAAACAAAACAAAAAACCGCACACATAAAAAACTAAGAAGATAAGAATAGCATGGAATTGTATTGTGAGAAACTATCTTGGGTGTTTTAAACTAGTACTGGATAAATTGCATTAATCTTTATCTACTAAAACTATTAATACAAAACGGTAATGAATTCACTTATTACCTTCTAGAATCATTATTAATCCAGAACTCAAATAACTTAAAAACACAGCCTACTGCCAGGCAAATAATTAAGTACTCAATGTTAGCTCAATTCCCTATTCAGCACCCTAACCACACTCTCAATTTCTTTTAATGAGCAAGTCTTTTGTAACTGAAACTGAGTATAACACAACTGATTACTTAAGGAACATGATTAGCAAGACACAGATAGCTATTGGTTACAACGCTGTAATGACCAGAGGACTGCACTTAGTGTGTGAGGCTGACCACTCAGCCAGCACCACAGTCTTCTGGTGACTTTTAGAGTTGTGAACCGGGTTGCAGATCATCTTACGAGTAACAAAATGAGGTGACTTTGGCTCTGCATATGGGAAGGTCATATTCAGGGCTTGCTTACAATATGTATTTGTGTCAGGTTTAATCACTCATTTTTTAATAGCTTTGAGATACAATATTGACATATAGCAAATCACATACTAAAGTGTAATATTTTAGTATTAGTGAATAGTATTTAGTATTAGTGAAACCATAGCTACAATCGAACACTTGATCAATTTATTTTTACACTTTTAGCTATTTAGAACCTATCTCTGGCCAGGTGCAGTGGCTCACCCCTGTAATCCCAGCACTTTGGGAGGCCAAGGCGGGCAGATCACTTGAGGTCAGGAGTTCGAGACTAGCCTGGCCAACATGGTGACACCCCGTCTCCACTAAAATACAAAAATTAGCCGGGCATGGTGGTATGCACCTGTAATCCCAGGTACTCGGGAGGCTGAGGCACAAGAATCACTTGGACCTAGGAAGCAGAGGTTGCTGTGAGCCAAGATTGTGCCACTGTACTCCAGCCTGGGCGATAGAGCAAGACTCCATCTCAAAAAAAAAAAAAAAAAAAGAAAAGAAAAGAAAAAAAGAACCTATCTCTATTAATAAAGCTACAGGAAAAGTCATTTTCTTGCAATTTTTAATTCTTTGTTCTTCTTCCTGTTCCTCAAACTACTGTTTCTATAATGGGATATTTTATTACATGAGGTCTCTGAGGGCATAGTTATTTCATTAAGAAACACACTTCATAAAATTGCATCCATGTATGGTAATCTAAAAAAGCCAATCTAGATGACAGAAGCTTCTGACTATAAATTATAAGTAATCTTATCCATACATACACAGAAGCTAGTGATTTATTAAGTACTCTACTGTACTTCCAAACACATCTAAGTTTTCCAAAAGATTTCAAAAACAATTCACTGGCAGCAAGCAGAAAGTCAGGGATAAACTGCTGAGACAGTGGTGCTGGTAAGGGCTCCTGGTAGGACTTTTGCATGAAGCAGCTGCATGTATACCTGGGCCAGTCATTTAACTTTTATGGTTTCGGTTTTTTCTCTTATAAAATAAATATTACTGGACACTGAGATCTGAGATTACCTGTAGCTCTATGTCTTTATCCCTGAAAAATATGGGACACATTCATGCTTTTGATTTTTCATGATTCTTAAATATCATTTTACACATAAGCAAAATGACAGGATTTTACTTGGGTTATCCTTTAGGTGAATGATACAAAGGGAATGTACTGCATACTTCTTCTATCTCAAAAGGCTTGGGAGGCAGACAAAACACAGCTCAATACACTAGCCCAATCAATTGTGCACCTCTTGTGCCACCCACTTTGTTCCTTCTGGCTGCTTCTGGAACCTGACAAATCACTCCAATTCCCTGCACAGCACCATCAACTCTTTTTTCCTACATTGGCACTGAAGGGAAGATTATAAATGAATCCTGTATTCATATGACAGCCCCATGCTCAGGCCTGTGCATTTTCCGGGACTAATTGCTTTGGGAAAGCCAATACTCTAGCATAAGTCTCATTCCAGTCCACATGGTGATTATATGTTAATGCCTTTTGAAATTAATTCAGTAACCCTCTTACTAGCATGGAAGTAAAGGGCAAAGAAGCTGAGATTTAATCATATTGTCTTTTAGGGGCTTAATGTAAAATTTCTTTTGTATGTGAACCAAGCCATTGATGGACAGAATTTGCTGAATGCTCTTCCACTGTAATGGTGCAGTCCCGCAGCAACAAAACTGCTAGCAAATGTCACACCAAAAGTGTGTCATGGACAGGGCTCTCAAAGAGAAGCTGAGTTTCTGGCTTCAAAGAAGCCACAATGTATGCTCAACCTCTCTTTTTGCTATTTTCTATAAATTAACCTCATCTAAGCGTCTGAAGGAATTAAGATCAAATATAACTAAAAGGAGGCTGTGAGCAAAGCCATATCATAGAGACAAAACAATAATGATAAATAATATGTGCAAATAATGAAGTTATAAAAATAATCAAGACATTGAGCATTTTACTTCAATTGAGGGAGAGACGATAAAAATAAACAGTGTCAGGGGGTAAAGCAACCACTCATGATTTGCTCTCAGAAACCCAATAGGTATAATCTAAAAGCCCACTTGCAAATGCTTCCCATATAATGCAGTATACTTCTACAATCTACTACACTGCAATATCCAAAGAACAGCTATTATAACACTGGCTTTAGCTTTCTTGGTACTCATCATTAAATAAATTTCCTATACTCAGCTCAAAAGCACATTGGATTTGATATTATACTACATACAAATTCTTCACATATCATAGAGTAATAATTGCAAATTTTTCTGAGTTATAAAAAGAAAACAGGGAAATGGTTCTCACATGAATTTAATTCTCTATCATCTCTGACCTAAAGCCCAATGAGAAGATGGGTTATAAATGCTTAAGAATCCTGTATATGGGCTGGGCATGGTGGCTCACCCCTGTAATCCCAGCACTTTGAGAGGCTGAGGCAGGTGGATCACCTGAGATCAGGAGTTTAAGACCAGCCTGACCAACATAGTGAAACCCCATCTCTACTAAATACAAAAAATTAGCCAGGCGTGGTGGCATGCACCTGTAATCCCAGCTACTTGGGAGGCTGAGGCAGGAGAATTGCTTGAACCTGGGAGGTGGAGGTTGCAGTGAGCCAAGGTGGCGCCATTGCACTCCAGACTGGGCAACAAGAGTGAAACTCTGTCTTGGGAAAAAAAAAAAAGAATCCTGTATATGCATTTTTCCATTCTCCCAGCTCTTCAGGATGTTGCATAGAGCCATCAAGGAATAAAAAGATGACTTCCCTATGGGACAGACTTTCAGAGACAAAGGCATTAATATAAATGAACTAAAAAGAACTGAGCTATACAACGCTGAAAAAAAATTATGAATAAAATCAAAATCATCTGAAATGTATTAAGGTATTGCTATGTACCAGATACTCTTATTAATTCCCACACTACCCTCTGAGGTTGATGCTGTACAATCACTAGACTGGAAGCTCTGTGAGGGCAGGTATTATGTATTTTGTTCACCAGCAGAGAATCTACACTTTGTTCATACAGCACCTGCTATATGACAGATGCACAGTAAGATATTTGCTGAATGAATTAATTTCTCCATTTGAAAAAGGAGGTAGCTGAGGCTTAAAGAAGATAAATAATTAGCCAAAAATACATGATGCCAGAATCTATATTCCAACATATTTTTATTCGTTATTTTTTTTTAAACTAGAGAATCTTTGTGGAGTGATGGGGAGTTAAGTTATTGGTATGTTTAATCTTTTTGCTCATTCCATCTCTGAATGAAGATGAAATTGCTGAATTGCAATGAAAGGGCCAAATTCCGAAAGTCAAAGGAAAGCATAGGAGGAGTCCAATAAAGCAAAATGTTATTTTTTATCCAGCAGAGTTCTTCTAGACTCTAGCTTAGCAAACAGATACCGGAAGTTTCTAAGGGAGTGGAAGTCTGTTTTCATTAACAGTTAACTATTCACCATGCTGTGCTATTGTGATATAATCAGAAATACATATTTGTTCTCTGCTTGCAGTTTCTGGCACAGAGCTCCTAAAACCCTTGGAATTTCCTGAGCAACAGGGGTGCTAGGTGTTAGGTACATCTCTTGTTTTAATATTTGGTCTCTGATCTGGGTTCCTGACACAGAGCTCCTAATCCCTTGGAATTCCTTGGGTAACAAGAGTGTCTTTTGTTCTAATGAGGCAACTCTTGGTGGGTTCTTGAATGGGAGATGATTGCCAGAAGGACCAAACCACAGCTAAAAGCTTGGAATGTTCAGTTCCGACCCTCAGGGAGAATGAGGTAATAATTGCTCATGCCTACATGATGAAGCCTTAATAAAAACCCCTGAACTATGGGGTTTGAAGAGCTCTTGGCTTGCTGAACACGTGGACCTGTCTGGTGGGTAGCACGCCCAGACAGGGCATGGAAACTCTGCCCTCCCCTTCACTTACACCTCAATCTGTATATCTATCTCTTCATCTGGTTGTTCACCTGTATCTTCGTAACTTCCTTTATGACTAAATATAAGTAAATTGTTTCCCTGACTTGTGTGAGCCACCCTAGCAAATTAATCAAACCTGAGTTAGGGGTTAATGGGAACTCCCAATTAAGAGCTGGTTGGTCAGAAGTTCAGGTCATAACCTGGGATTGCAAACAGCCTCTAAAGTGGTGGGAGACAGTATTGTGGGACTGAGCCCTTAACTTGTGGGACTGACGCTGTCTCCAGGTACCTAGTGTCAGAATTGAATTGAATCATAGGATACTCAATTGGTGTCAGCTGAAGAATTGCTTGGTATGTGGGGGATAGTCTTCACACACTTGATGTCAGTTGATGTTCTGCTGTCTAAGAGAAGGAAAACTCTTTACCTCTTACATACATTATGCTGAGCAACTTCTGAAATACAACCAATAACCAAAAGAATCGAGACAAGTTACGGTAGGTCTTCCAAGTCCAGTGCTTGCTGCCACATACATAGTGCTGAATTTTGTGTTTGACCTGTAAAACACTCTCATTACTCTGCAGCCACAGCTCATTTGTTACCACTGTCTAATAAAATGTCAGACAGAGAAATAAAATACCCATGCTCCTGTTGGTCTGGATATCACAGGACATTCCATCTTGAGTCTTAATAAGGTAGAAAGAACAGAACAAGAATCTTCATATTCCAAATTATAGCCTTTGGAGTATTTCCATGTACCAAGCAAGACAGGAAATCTCTGTCTAGATATGTATAACATAACAGAGTGACTTAATGTACATGATTCCCTGAAGACTAAAGCATCAAAAATCAGGAATCTCCTGAATCTAAACAAATTGGGTTGGTTAAAGAAGTCCCATGGGGACCAGGCCTGGTGACTCACGCCTGTAATCCCAGCACTTTAGGAGGCTGAGGCGGGTGGATTACCCGAGGTCGGGAGTTCGAGACCACCCTGACCAACATGGAGAAACCCCATCTCTACTAAAAATACAAATATTAGCTGGGCATGGTGGCACTTGCCTGTAATCCTGGCTACTCGGGAGGCTGAGGCAGGAAAATCTCTTGAACTTGGGAGGCAGAGGTTGCAGTGAACCGAGATCGTGCTATTGCACTCCAGCCTGGGCAACAAGAGTGAAACTCCGTCTCAAAAAAAAAAAAAAAAAGAATCCCACAGGGAACATAGTATACTTTAGTGGCTGTAACACGGGTCTTGGAGTCTGGCAAGCCTGAGTTCTTATCCACACTTATTCACTTAGTTCTGCAATATTAGGTATACTATTTACCCAGTTTCTAATCCATAAAATGGAGATAATAATAGTTGTTACCATAAAGGATTTTTAAGAATACCGAATACAAATATGTACAATGCATATGCACAGTGCTAGCAATAACTGAGTACACTGGCTCTAACTTTCATCATTTTTACTACCAGCATCACTTTTGTCTCATCTCTGAGGAAGTCTCTAAACATAAGCCAAAGGAAACAAACTGAGGCAATGAATAATATTGGTTACATAAGGTCATCTTTGACTTTATTTATGTAATGATTATGCTAGTCAGTGTTACGACCCAATGTGGGTCCCATTCGTGGTGCTATATTATAAAAGAACAAGAAAAGAAAAGTAATCCTGGAAGTGACTTCTTTGCAGAAACAGGTTTTAAGTGGGGAGAAGCAACCAAGGTTTGGAAGAAAGAGTTGATGGCGATGGTCTTCCTGTTGCACCTGGCCAGCTGTGGCAGTAGTTATTATTAGGCAAGTAAAATTATGGATGACTGTAAATTCTATTCTGAGTCAGAGTCTGAGGAGGAAATCGTAAAATGCAAAATCAGTAAGCCTTCATTTCAAGTAAGCAGTCTAACACTCAGTGTCTCCATGATTTAGCTCCCCTAAATGTCCTAAAGTTGGAACATTTTAACAAATAGGCTTTAAAGCACAATGGTTTACAAAGAGCTACAAGTCAAACTGCCTGCCATTGAATCCTAACACCATCATTTACTTTGTGATCTCACCAGTAAAAGAGGTTGTTGTGTTTGGTACCAGGTATATTTTAGCTGTTATTGTCATCATCATCATCATCATCATCATCATCATCATCATTGCATTTCTTATTTTGTAGTATAAATATCTTTTCACGTCTGTTTTCTTCTTCTAGACTGTGAGCTATACTAATGAAGGAACTGGATGTATTCATCTCTTTTTCTGTTTCTGGTCCTAATAGACACTCAAAAGTGTTAGCTGAAAGAATGAGTGAATGAACAAGCAAATGAGTATCAAACTAAGATAAGCTCAGAACAGATACCTTAAATTTAAGTGTAGAAGAATAAGAATAACCTTTTCAGATTATTAATGAAATTATCTGGAGTAATTAAAAGAGGATCAGTCATCTTCTTAGCTTCTCTTTTGTCTATTCTATTCCTAAAGAAAGAACCTATGTAGCCTTACCCATATCCTGAACTTCACAGACATTAACTATTATTTTTGAGAAGTTCACAGGCTCTTGTTGGCTCTAACATCTTCCCCACTTCCCCCCAAAAAACTGAAGAACCACAACAGTTACATGTATGACTAATTTAAAACCCAAAGAGAATTTTGATAAATACTATCAAAATTAGGTTAATATACAAATTAATTTTGAATACTTAAAAATTGATATTAAAAACAAAGGTTTTAATATGTTTCCATGATATTTTACTGAAGAACTTCTAAAATATTCTGTGAGATTAGTTTTTACTTAAGCAGCAAATAACATTTGCAAACAACAGTTTGATTTCTGTTCTTGCTTTGAAAAATGATTTTAAGTAGTTGAAGGAAATATAATTTGACATCATTCTTCCCTTTCACCTCATTTTCCTATACAACATCCACTGCACCCATCCACTTCACCAAAAGATAAGTTAAAAACACATGCTTCTCACCTCTAAGAGTTCATCTCCAATACGCATTCGTCCATCTGCGGCAGCAGGTCCTTCCGGGTTAATTCCCACCACAAATATGCTCATGCGTGATCGGTCTTTATTACCAGCAAGGCTGAGTCCAAGTCCATTCTTATCTTTTTCAAGTTCAATAATGTGCAGTTCTCCAGGCAGATCTGCATATCTTTGTCTGATTTTTTCTATTAAAAGAATTTTTTTAAAATTAAATAGAGTAGCTTGATCTGTATTATTGAGATGTCAGCATTTCCCCATCCTTACTGTGATTTCTCAACTATGGTACCTTTTTTGTTTTTTAAGAGACAGAGTCTTGCTATATTGCGCAGACTGGAGTGCTGCAGTGGCTATTCACAGGTGTGACTATAGCACACTACAGCCTCCAACTCCTGGGCTCAAGTGATCCCCCTGCCTCAGCCTCCCAAGTAGCTGGAACTATAGTATGTGGCACTGTGCCAAGCTCTATAATAGTTTATTTTTGAGAATGAAGGTACTTAAGGTCATGCATGGCCTTAGATGTAGGTTACAGTTAAAAATTATTTTATTTCCTCCTAAGAAGTTTAACTCACCCATAAGACCTTCTGATTGTTCAGGTTCACACTGGCCTAGACTTTCTGTGGACTCTTTTCTTACCTAAGTCAATCAACACAAAGTGGTAGAAACCATGGTCCCCTTCCTATCTGCCCCAACCCACCCGCACTAAAAAGGGAAGCAAAAACATTAGCTGAGCACCAGATTTGAGGCAAGCAAAGTATTTGGTCTTAGAGATTTAACACTGAACAAAACAATCATGGTTTCTACTCTTAGGACTTACGGTCCAGTAGGAAAGAAAATCAACAATTCTAAATAATTACATTAATATATATTAATACAAAGGGTACCAAATAACACTGGGTTATGGGAGCAAAAGCAAGGGGAATTAAGGGTGTTGGTTTAGCTCTCATATTTGAATTCATTCCACAAATCTACCATTTACTCAATATCTAACAATGAATACATTGGTTTATCTCTATGAGGTTCCACTTTTTCATCTGTAAATTGTTACTATCCATTTCATGGATGTTGAGAAAATTAAACAACATACATGTTGAAGGGCTTAGCGGCTCATAGTTTATAGGTGTTCTATACTTCTCTTATTCCATCTTCTGTCTCACTTTGCTACCTCTATGTTAGGGTCAAAAGGACCTGTTTTAGGAGATGGCTGGCTGTGTCTCACTTGTGTTGGTTCTGTGCAGCAAAACCACACTGACAAATCAGTGTGAGGATGGTACTGCTTTAAGCATGTGCTGTGCCCCGCAGAACACAAGATCAGGCCAGGTGTGCCACCACACTCAAAGGCTTCATGCCTACTACCATGGCTGGAAGCAATCATCTCATCAGCTTTTAAATAACAAATTCGTAGATTGTGACCCTCTTGGAACCCTAAATGCTCATTCTAATGCTTCACTTATATTACATTTGCTGTCCTTAGGAGGGAACCTTGCAAATTAAAAGCTCAAGTCAAATCATTTGTCTTAAGGTAGAGTGGGGAAGAAGACAGCCCAGTCCACTCTATCACTTTACCAGACTTAACAAACACTGCTTTATAAGTGAGTAGGTAAATTTAAACTTGTAAAAATGACTTTATGCATAAATTTATAATAAAAGAATAAAGCACAAGGGGGGGCTTATTTTAGAATGAAAATAAATCGGCTTTACAAGAATTTTGAAGAGAATCTTAAAGAACACTCACTGAACAAAGCTTGTTACTAATAATAATGAACACATTTAGCAAAATACAGTAAAATGAAGGACTTGCAAGATCACAAAACTGTTAACTATATAGGAAAAGAGTTAAGTCATATTAACATTGAAGTGAATAAATACAAGGCATTTTTGCTGGTCGGCAACCAAGAACAAGATGCTGTGTGGGTACTTGAATGAATAGAGACATGTAAGACATGCATTACAGTAAAGATGCTCACACAGCATAACAGGAGAAATAAAGTTAACACAACAAATATTCAACAACTACAATTATTTTTGAAATTCCCAACCATTACGACTGCTGGTCACTGAATAAATACTAACTTATTAGTTAATTAGATCAGTGAATAAATACTAAATTAATTGTGCTACCAATAATTGCTTTTATTTTATTTTATTTTATTTTTTGAGATGAAGTCTTGCTCTATCACCCAGGCTGGAGTGCAGTGGTGCGATCTTGGGTCAGGGCAACCTCCACCTCCCAGGTTCAAGCGATTCTTGTGCCTCAGCCTCCTGAGTAGCTGGGATCACAGGAGTGCGCCACCATACCCAGCTAATTTTTTAATTTTTAGTAGAGACAGGGTTTCGCCATGCAGCCCAGGCTGGTCTCAAACTCCTGATTTCAGGTGATCCGCCCGCCTTGGCCTCTTATAGTGCTGGGATTACAGGTGTGAGCCACCATGTCTGGCCCCAGTAATTGCTTTTAGAATTCCAAGAATGGATATGGCTAGAAAAGATGTTTTGGAATTAGCAAAATTTAAGCAGAGTCTTGAGTAAGGTATGGAATTTGATTATGTGAAGAAGAATCTTGGTGGGTGAAATGGCAAGAGGAAAACGCAGTTGGGATGGGGAGGAGAACATGGGTAGCTGTTGGCTGCAAACTGGAAATTCTTTGGACTAGTGAGTGGGTGATCAGAAATAAGACTGAAAGGTTAATTGATAGGCTGTTTACAGCAATAATATTCCATTTTAGGGGTTCTGCAGAGGTGCCATAGAGTCCCCCAGGGATGGGGGGTTGAGAGGAGGCTCCATTTAAGACCTTTTCTCCCGGATTCAACCAGAGCACTTATGCTCTCATCTGCTTTGTTTATTGGACTTATAGGGTAAGATGGTTAAGAAATGATATCGCAGCTAAGAAAACAACATGAAACACCAATTTTAACACACCTCTCTCAGAAAGTAATAAGGCATCTTTTTTTTAAAAAAAAAGATGTTGATAACTTTAACAAGACAATACACTCAAAATAGTAGATATAAGATAACTCTACAACTGACAGACACAAAATGCACATTTTTTGCAACTCACACACAGAACAAGTACAGAAACAGACTGCATATTGGGCCATAAAAGAAACTTCAATAGCTCTCAAAGACTCAATATTACACAGGCTGTGTTCTTGAAATATAGTGCAATAAAACAAAAAAATTATAAATTAACAATAAAAAGAGAACTTTAAAAACCTCAGGTGTTTAGAAATAAATTAATATTAGCAAAAAACCCAAGATCTTAAACAGAAAATTAAGAAACACAGTATTCACAATTGAATAAAAATTATAATTCTAGATGTCAAACTTGAGAGACACAGCTAAAGAAGAACTTAGAAGGCAATTTTATAATTTTGAAGAATTTACCAGAGAACAAGAAAAGTTAAAAAAAAAGTATTATAACTAAGAAATTGGAAAAATACATAGCAAATGCAAAGAAATAAGAAGACAGAAAATAGCAAAGATAAGGGCATCTACTAATGAATGAATATGGAACTATCACCAACAAACAAAACAAAATAAAAATGCATTCTGAAGTTCAGTGAAATTAAAACCTACTTCTTAGAAAACATTAATAAGATAGGCTCTTTAAAAACTTAACGAGAAAAAATAGGTGATGAAAATAAATTACAAAGCTGGATACAGTGGCTCATGTTTATAATCCCAGCATTTTGGGAGGACTGCTTGAGCCCAGGAGTTTGAGACAAGCCTGGGCAACATAGCGAGACCCCGTTTGTACAAAAAATTTAAAAAGTTAGCCCAGCATAGCGGCACGCGCCTATAATTTTGGCTGCTCTGGAGGTTGAGGCGGGAGGATCATTAAGTCCAGGAGTTCAAGGTTACAATGAGCCATGACTGTACTACTGCACTTTAGCCTGGGCTACAGAGGAAGACCCCCATCTCTAAAAGTAAATAAATAAAAATAAATTACAGAACTAAAAGAGAAAAATAACTGCAGACAGGTTTTTTAAATAAAATTATGGACCGTACATCAACACAAACTATAAGTTGGTACATTTTAAAATCTATATGATGTAGACACATTTCTCAAAAAAATTAAAACACAATATTTAGTGCAAGAATAAATGTAAAACTGTAATGAACTACTAGCTATTAAAGACACTGAAATGAGGCTGGGCACGGTGTTTCATGCCTGTGATCCCAGCACTTTGGGAGGCTGAAGCATCACACATTCTTGTGGCAGAATAGGAAGGGTAAGGGTTAGGGTCACAATTAAGTCCAAACACAAGCTGAGGCACTTAACATCTCTGATTCCTTGGACCAATTACTAAACCTCTATGAACCCAGATTTCTTATGTAAAATGGGGTTGTTACCTTAAAAGTGGATGTTGCCTAAAAATGCCTGGGAGATAGGAGTCCAAATAATGTTAGGGGAAACAAAATCTCATGATTTTTGTTTCCATGATATAGTTATGTCGAGTTTTAAAGTTAGTCTTAAGTTGGTGACCAAGCTGCTCTTTTCTACTTAACTTTTTGTTTGTTTTAAGAAAAATGGAGACTTAAGGAAGAAAGAAGTTTTCCCCATGATGGCATGAAGAAAAGCCACACAGTCCTCTGGCGGGAACCATTAGAGGAAGGGACTAACATTGTTCTCCCCTGAGTCTCTTCTTTGAGGCAGGGAGAAGACCCTGGAACATCTGCAGGTGCAGAGAAATGCCACCACTGGATCAAGTGTTTGTCCTGTGATATGGAGACCACTCAAACAGCTTTACAATTGTGTGCTAGTCAAGTGTAGAATCAAAACCCTTTCTGTAGTTTCTGTTTGAGAAAATAAAAAAGTTCTGGAGATGGATGGTTGTACAATGTGAATGTATTTAACACTGAACAATACAATTAAAGACGGTAAAATAGTAAATGTTGTTATGTATATTTTACCACAATTTAAAAAAGACCCCTATCAGTGGCTTAAAATACCCTCAAAAAATTGGTTCCCTTATCAATATCCCACTGAGGGACTAAGTTATAGATTTATTATTCTGACTTTTGAAACCAGCAGCTTCTTTTTTTTTGAGTCAGAGTCTTGCTCTGTCGCCAGGCTGGAGTACAGTGGCACGATCTCGGTTCACTGCAACCTCCACCTTCCGGGTTCAAGCGATTCCCCTGCCTCAGCCTCCCAAGTAGCTGGGACTATAGGCATGCGCCACCGCGCCCAGCTAACTTTTGTAGTTTTAGTAGAGATGGGATTTCACTACATTGGCCAAGATGGTCTTGATCTCTTGACCTTGTGATCCGCCCACAACGGCCTCCCAAAGTGCTGGGATTATTAGGCGTGAGCCACCATGCCTGGCCAAAACCAGCAGCTATATTTTTCTAGTCAATGCTTTTTTGTGACCCTACTATAATCCTGCTTATTCAATGAATTACTATGAATTGAATCCAAATTCATGCCAGGCTTGTGATACAAAGGGAATATAATACTGAATTTGTTTTCAAGGACCTCAAAATCTATCACTGGAGACAAGCACGCATATGACTAGTTATAATTCAGAGAGATAAGAGCATTGAGAAAAATACCAGTAGCTGAAGTTACCCACTTATTTCAGTGTGTTGTCAGGAAAAACAACTAATATCTGCAAATATACTGAATAGTATAGATGTTCTAGCTAATTCTCAACCCACTGGTCAGCTACACTTTCTACTGTATCATGCCAAGGACTCGTTTTGGTTGACATTTCCAATAATCCTGCATCTATCTTGTTCTGACTTTATTTGCCTAAATGCTAACAGATGAGTTATTCAGCTTTCCTTAATTTCTTTTTATTGTTTTCTGTTTTGTGGGAGAATGAAATAAGCTCAACAGAATAAAGCTCAGCAAAAAAATCCCAACCCTGAAACATTAAAGAATTGGGTATACTTAAGGCCGAGCACAGGGGCTCATGCCTGTAATCCCAGCACTTTGGGAGGCTGAGGTGGGCAGATCACTAGCCAGGTCAGGGGTTCGAGACCAGCCTGGCCAGTATAGTGAAACCCTGTCTCTATTAAAAATACAAAAATTAGATGGCATGGTGACACATGCCTGTAATCCCAGCTAATCGGGAGGCTAAGGCATGAGAATCACTTGAACCCAGGAGGGGGAGGTTGCAGTGAGCAGAGATGGCACCTCTGCACTCCAGCCTGGGTGACAGAGCAACACTCTGCCTCAAAAAAAAAAAAAATAATAATAATAATAATTGAGCGTATTTCATAGTTATACAATTTTATTAATAATTTTGGGGGGCCAGGTGCATCATCCCAGCATTTTGGAAGGCAGAAAGATTGCTTAAGGGCAGGAATTCAAGACTAGCCTGGGCAATATAGCAAGACTCCATCTCTACAAAAAATTAAAACATCAGCCAGGCATGAGGGTGGACACCTGTAGTCCCAGCTACTTGGGAGGCTGAGGTGGGATGACTGCTTGAGCCCAGGAGGTTGAGGCTGCACTGAGCCACAGTCACGCCACTGCACTCCAGCCTGGGTGACAGAGCAAGACCCTGTCTCTAGTTTTGTCCATCTGTCTTCATGGTCCTAGCTGAAAAGTATCTTTTTAGATTCCTTATTTCCTTCGACTTCCCTCCCCTAGAATATAAACTCCATGAGCTCCTTGTCCACCCAACTCTCTGCAGTCTTCTGTACCCACAACAGTGTCTGGCATATATTAGATAGTCCATCTAAAACTACTGAAAACAGAAATGAGTGATTTTGAAGATCCTCTTCAATTGCTAGGACACACTGTTCTGACATTGCTCCAAACAATGCTACATAAAAGTGATTGGAAATCTAAAAGCTTTAGACAGATACAATTTTTTTCTCAAAGATAATTATCCCTTCAGTTAAAAGAAGTAAAAGTTTCCTCTTTAGAGCTGTATTCAAAATTAAAATCCATTAGTAGTACTAGAAAAACAAATTACTACGTGCACATTATCTTTTAAAACCCACTTTATCAAGCTGAAGAAACTTGATAAGCAAAAAGATTTATAGGTAATCATTTTTTTCAGTGCCTCATAAAACAGAAAGCATAATAATAAGAGAATAAAAGTGCCAAATACTCTGTAACACATATACTTCCATTGAATTTTTATTAACATTTTCAGGCCTCAGAATTTGGGTTATCCTATGACTTTTATTTAGACTCATAGTTAGATGGAGTTTAAAAGATGACAGGTCCAGCCCTTCAGATACATTAATTGCTATGTTTTCACCATATCATGAAATCAGAGACTTTTAATTCAGGCAAAAGGAACTAAGAAATCATGGACCTTCTCTTACAGTCACCCCTCCTTAATTTCAGACTCCATTTGATAAAGAAATAAGACCACAGAATGAAAATCTCATATAAGGTTATGAAGCTAATTTATGGGTAGAAACTATAGACTAAAGAGGTAAAGAGTATTCTTTTATTAGGTTGGTACAAAAGTAATTGTGATTTTTGCCAGTAAAAGTAATGAAAAAAACCATAATGACTTTTGCACCAACCTAATACTTGAAGCCAATGAAGTTCTCCCTTAAAATTAAGAAACAGAAAAAACAAAGAACCCATCCTTTGTTGCCACACAAAAATACACACCACACACACATAAATTATGTCAGTACTAGCTTTTGGCAACTAAATATGAAAAGTGTTAAAAAGTCTTCTAGCATATAGTTCAATTTTTTTTCTCTAACAAATCATGTATAAAATTCTCCAATATCATTTTAAAGGAAAGATAAAATGACTTTGAATTTCTCCCTCAGTTTTAAGAAGCTATCGTCAGAATCCTCACATGGTCACAATACCTCCTTATATGAAAGAAACATTTCACAGTTCACTGTGTCATCGATTCTTCCCCACACCTTCGTAAATGCCTCCATTTGCAGATGAACTGACTGATACTCAGAGAACTGAGGTGACCTGGCCAATGTCAGGGTCAGTTCTGCTGAATCCAAGTGCTGTGACCTGTTCATCACACCACAGCCATCTCTTCAACTGGTAGACATTTTAGGTAATAAGATCCCTTCAGAGATGAAACAATGGTTCCCAGGCCTATCTCCTTAGATTATTTGTCAGGCTTAGATTTATTGTTATTGTCAGGATTCAGAACACAATACCCTAAAATGTAGCACCTTAGCAGACTGAGTATTTTACACTGAAGGAAACTGAGAAAACCACAGAAGCAGGATTATGTGTTCTGACCTTCTCTTACCCCCTTCTCCTGAAGTGGCCACAGAAACTAGAAAGCCCCCTGCCCCCACTTCCCAGAAGCAGGCCACAAAACCTAAGAAGGTCACTCTCTGACCTCCCTCCCTTCTCCCCTGCAGATGTGTATGTGACAGGTGTCCTGCCCTATACTCAGAGGAAGGGAATAGCATACAGAGATGCACAAGAATCGCAACAAGGCTGAGTGCGGTGGCTCACGCCTGATACCCCAGCACTTTGGGAGGCCAAGGCGGGTGGATCACCTGAGGAGGAGTTTGAGACCAGCCTGGCCAACATGGTGAAACCCTGTCTCTACTAAAAATCCAAAATTAGCTGGATGTGGTGGCACATGCCTGTAATCCCAGCTACTCGGGAGGCTGAGGCAGGAGAATCGCTTGAATCTGGGAGGCGGAGCTTGCACTAAGCCGAGATTGTGTCACTGCACTCCAACCTGGGCGACAGAGTGAGACTCCGTCTCCAAAAAAAAAAAAAAAGAATCACAACAAATAGGCTTTCCTGAGTTTCCCCCAATTTCATACCACTAGATCATACCCTTTTGTCCTCCAGTCATACTTCTGCAGGACTGTCCATAAAAACACAGTTTTCCCTGGGTCTTTGGGTCTTTCTTTCTGAAGGCTCCTGTGTTGTATAAAATTTTGGATAAACAAATTTGTTATGCTTTTCTCTTGTTAATCTTTTTGTTATAAGGGTCTCAGCCATGAACCTTGCAATGGGTGAGGAAAAAATAATACTTTCTCCCCCTTACTACCTAAAATATCACCCTTGGTGCTTATAAAACAGAACCATGACTGGGACCCACTAGCTGAGATTCTGAGCCAGGTTTTCTGGGGTAAGGTTTAGGAATCTTTGTAACAAGGTGCTCAGGTGCTTCTCATGGGCCACTAGGTTCGTAAACTACAGATTAATCTCTCATGCAGTGCACTCATTTCTTTCCAGGAAAAACATGTTGATGATGACAGTCAACAAAAGTTCACAGAGACCAAATTTAAGGCAGCCTTCACAAGACTAATCTAACATGGACACTATCTCTGTCTCCACAGTCAGGCTTCGGGATTAAATAAAAGGTCTATTTTGATTGCATAATAGATTTCCCTTCCTCTCAGCCTCCTAGGCTGCCTCCCTCCATCCAAAATCTCTGGGGTTTCCTGTAATCTCTGTGACAATTGCTTCTCTTTAGTAAGTACAACAAAAGCTGAACCTAGAATTTCAAGGGGAGAGGGAAAAATGATTTGGTTTTTGAAACTGACTTGGTTTTTCATTTTTAAAAAATCAAGACACTGCAATGCCAGTTTAGTTTTTAATTCAAAACTTAAGAGAGAAATGGTAGCACTCCTCCTGTGCATGGCTGAGTCAGCACAAACTGTTGCGCAGTATCAGACATGTGGCTCCACTGCGGGGAACCCCGCATGGCCTGGCATTTGCTCTAAGGGCTGCTGGGAGTCGTTGCCACAGCAACCAATGGGGTGAGAAAAGGATAAGTGGAAAGAAAATGTATAGAGAATGGTTTTCTTAAAATTTACTAATTTCAATTTCACTGAAAATACATGATTTTAAAGAGGTGGAGTAAAGAGTATTCTTTTACTTGAAGCCAGTGAAGTTCTCTCTTAAAATTAAGAAACAAAAACACCAAAGAACCCATACTTTGTTTACTATATGAAAATGCATACCACACACACACACACACACACACACACACACACACACACACAAATTATATAAGTACTAGCTTTTGGCAACAAAATATCAAAAGTGTTATAATGATCTAGAATCTTCCACATCTGGTATTTCTGGGAAATATTTGTAAAAACAACAACCATCTTTATATAGACTTTTGCTGATTTTATTTATTTTTTATTTTTTTTGACACAGGGTCTCATTCTGTTGACCAGGCTAGAGTTCAGCGGCATAATCATGGCTCACTGCAGCCCCAACCTCCTGGGCTCAAGCAATCCTCCAGCTTCAGCCTCCTGAATAGCTGGGACTACAGGCATGTGCCTCTATGCTCAGCTGTTTTCAATGACTTTTGATGGGATTCAGTACACCCTACATAACAATATGGCATCTTCGCATTTGAGAAAACAGCAGAGGCAGGAAGGTAACTCTCACTCCTCCTACCCCTTCTCCCCTGAAGCAGGTCATAAAACCTAAAAAGGATTTCTCTGATCTTCCCCTGAAGCAGGTGATAAGACCTTCATTACAGAGGTGCCCTGCCTATACCCAGAGGAAGGGAGCATCCTTATCTCTGAAGACACAGGGACACAGAGAAGAATCTAAGCAGCAGACGTTAGTAAGTTCCTCCTAGTTCGTTACCATTAGATCATGCCTCGTTTGTCCAATCTTACCACTCCATGGCTATTTACTTCTTTGGTTTAAACCTAGCATAAAAACCACACAGGTTTGTTTCCTTGGGACTTCATTTCCTTATGAAGGCTCCTGTGTATATTAAATAAATGTGTATGCTCTTCTTTTGCTAATCTTTTTTTTTTTTTTCTTTTGAGACGGAGTCTCCCTCTGTCGCCAGGCTGGAGTGCAGTGGTGTGATCTTGGCTCACTGCAATCTCCGCCTCCCGAGTTCAAGCCACTATCCTGCCTCAGCCTCCTGACTAGCTGGGATTACAGGTACACGCCACCACATCCAGCTAATTTTTGTATTTTTAGTAGAGACAGAGTTTTACCATGTTGGCCGGGATGGTCTCAATCTCCTGACCTCGTGATCTGCCCACCTTGGCCTCCCAAAGTGCTGGGATTACAGGCCTGAACCACCGCGCCTGGCCTAATCTGTCTTTTGTTGTTATAAAGGCCTCAGCCATTAACCTAAGATGGGAAGGAAAGATATTTCTCTTCCCCTCCACTTACACAGTGTGTCAGTCAAGTGGCTGTAGTTCTTTTTTCAAATAACCTAGATGCCCTCCCATTTCTAAATAAAAATCAGAGATGAGTAGATAAGTAAACTACTTCTTTTGGCACCAGGCTTTATTCCAGTATCCCTGAATGAACATCAGACTAGAATAATTGGAGAGAGAACAGTCTCTTGATGCAGCTGAACACTCATGCTTGTTTTAAACATGGATTGTCTAGCCCCAGGACAATGTTATCTGAAGAAAGGAATCCCAAGTTGCTCATAATTCTCTATCAAAGCATCAATGCCTTTTTCTTGTTCAAGAAAGTCAATAACATTTCTCCATTGTCACAGTATGTTTTCCTATCATCATAGGATATTAGGTGTTGCTAAGTAACAGAGCCTTTCTCCCAAGAAAGAAACTTAATTCAAGTCACTGCCCAGTATTTTAATAGCAAATGTTCAACACACTGGAATAATGACTCAATACAATTTCAGAAACATTTAGTTATCTGGTCTGTTTCCAAATAACAAAGAATAATATAATACAGAGAAAACATTTAAAAACACTCTTCTATACATCAAATATAACAATTCCACTTAAAAAAAATCAGGTATAATAAACATCTCAATCTAATTTTTCTTATGCACTAACCAACTTCTAATTCTCTGAGTTAGTACTTTTAGATTTAAGAGGTAAAAATATATAAAAGAAACTGTAACTTATCAGAAGAAACAGCACAGGCTGGGCGCAGTGGCTCATGCCTGTAATCCCAGCACTTTGGGAGGCCGAGGCGGGCAGATCACCTGAGGTTGGGAGTTCGAGACCAGCCTGACCAACACGGAGCAACCCCCTCTCTACTAAAAATACAAAATTAGCTGGGCATGGTAGCACATGCCTTTAATCCCAGCTACTCGGAAGGCTGAGGCAGAAGAATCGCTTGAACCTAGGAGACAGAGGTTGCAGTGAGCCAAGATCGCACCATTGCACTCCAGCCTAGGCAACAAGAGCGAAAAACTCTGTCAAAAAAAAGAAAGAAGAAAGAATAAAGGAAGGAAGGAGGGAGGGAGGGAGGGAGGGAGGAAGGAAGGAAGGAAGGAAGGAAGGAAGATATGAAGATGAAAGTCCAAACAAGTAGAGAAAATGTCTCTTCCTGTAAGAGATGAACAACATCAACCATAAACAAATAGAGAAAATAAGAAAATGATGACTTTCAGAGAAGAGAGAAG